>NC_000017.11:21143480-21469665 GCF_000001405.40 Homo sapiens | reverse complement strand
GATGATCTCGAACTCCTAAGCTCTGGCATTCTGCCTGCCTTGGCCTCCCAAAGTGCTAGGATTACAGGCATGAACCACCATGCCTGGCCTAAAATCAGCTCTTTTAAGTATGTCCAAAGAGCTACAAGAAACCATGTTCTAAAGAACTACGGTGAGGACAAAAACAGTATCTCACCAAATAGAGAATATTAACAAAGAGACAGGAATTATAAAAAGAAATTCAGAAGTTGAAAAGTACAATAATGCAATCAAAATTCATTGGAAGGCTCACCACTGCATTTGATCAGGCAGAAGAAAAGAATTGACACCTTGGTTTAGGTCACAGCATCCCAATTGCTGCAACTAGATTTTTCCTTTTTTAGGAACCTCAGGGTCCAAGGGTTGTAGTCCCACTGACGTTCAACAACACATGATCAATGTGTGTCCATGCAGTGCATTTAATTCTGAACCCCCATTTAGGGGGTGCTGTCGGGCTCACAGATGCCTTCATATACATACATTATGAGATGCTAGGATGTTCTTGCTGCTCCTTACTAGGACAGAGCTCCAGCTGCCCTTTCAACAAAAAATCCCAAAAAGTCAACTAAATTCAACTCCTTCATCTGCACTCAGTGAGCCTGTCTGCCCAGTGGGGATTGTGGACAGAGCAGAAGCATTATGACACATTATGTGTTGGGGTTTTTAGTGCTAAGTTTGTGTGATGAGAATCGCTGAACCCTCCTGCTGGGACCAGCTCGGTCGGGGAGACCCTAACCCAGTGGCGCTAGAGGAATTAGAGACACACACACAGAAACATAGAGGTGTGAAGTGGGAAATCAGGGGTCTCACAGCCTTCAGAGCCGAGAGCCCTGAACAGAGATTTACCCATGTATTTATTAACAGCAAACCAGTCATTAGCATTCTCTATAGACATTAAATTAACTAAAAGTATCCCTTATGAGAAATGAAGGGATGGGCCGAATTAAAGGAATAGATTGGGCTAGTTAACTGCAGCAGGAGCATGTCCTTAAGGCACAGATCGCTCAGGCTATTGTTTGTGGCTTAAGAATGCCTTTAAGCGGTTTTCCCACCCTGGTCAGGCCAGGTGTTCCTTGCCCTCATTCCCGTAAACCCACAACCTTCCAGTGTGGGCATCAGGGCCATTATGAACATGTTACAGTGCTGCAGAGATTTTGTTTATGGCCAGTTTTGGGGCCAATTTATGGCCAGATTTTGGGAGGGCTTGCTCCCAACACCTCCAATGTGGGGTGAGTCATTAAATTGTCTCCCCTGCCACTGAATAGATTCCAACATAGCGCGGCCACACGTCCAAGGGCATGGGGGACAGAGGGGGAGCTGAAGAGCTGATGCTCCCTGATCCCTCAGGTGGAGGGGTCAAGATGACTGAGGTGGGTGCATGCAGAGGGCGGGGGCAGGAAAGTGCTGGGGCGGATGTTGGAGAACCGACACTAGTGCAGCTAACCCAAAATAACTACATCGGGGATTTCAGATGGCGTCTTTTGATAGGGAGACAAGAATCCTCATGCGAGATGAGTCAGGTTCTCCTGGGAATTGCCCTCGGTGGGGGGAATTAAATGGCACTCCTGAACACTAGGGCTAATTAATAATAAAACCCTATATTTCCATTTTACTGCCGATCACATGGAGACATAAACGTCTTCCTGATGGGAGCCATAGCCAAAGCCTTTCCACTTGCAAGAGCTTGGACCTCCCTGCAGTGCATGCAGGTTGACCAGGGAGACCACAAGAGGGGGCAGGGGCAGGATTCATGGCAGGTGAGCCTGGGAGCAGAGCAGAGAGAAGCACTGTTGTCCTGTGGCTTCTTTGTCTCTGCTCCACTTTGCCTGCATCATTATGGACTATCCCAGGGGGAGAATCTGGATGAACGCAGGTGGTGGTTGAGTTCTCCACAGCCCACCTGCAGTGAGTAAGGACCTGCCTCTTCTCCTGAATGGTACCTCTTTAGCCAGCAGATGGGCACATTGTTCCTCATCCTGGATCTTCTAAATGTGTCCAAGAAGTCTTAGTGCCAGTTGTTTCTCCAGGACTCTGGGAGGCTGTGGCAGCTCAGGGGCTGATTGGGAGATCATCTCCTTTCCAACCTTTCCCTCTATGAGTTCCAACTTCCATGAAGCCTGTGTCTTCTCAGAAGAGATGGGAGAGGTTTCTTTTTCTCATCTAGCCCACAGCCCCAGCAAGGGATCGCCCATATCAGTGGCTATCATGGGCCTGAGCATGAAGTGACCACGGGAATTGGGGCTGTGTGAAACGCTCACCTTGCAGTTGGCGGCAGGTGTGTCCTCAGGGGAGTCCTGTCAGCCTGCACTCCAGATGCGTGGAGGAGGGCAGGGCAGCCTTCAGGGACAGCAGAAGAGCGGGTTGGGTGAGAGAGGGCTAGGAGGAATCACTGACGTATGCTCCCCAGTGTTAAACCTACAAAAATGTTGATAGGATAGAACTAACAGTCTGATCATTTCAAAAGGTAAATAAAACTCTCCTTACAATCCTTGCCCTTCAAACTCAATTCTTTCTTGGTAATTATCCTTTGATCAAATTTGAAAACTGAAAATGATGTATGGAGAGCTTTATTTCCTTAATTTTGACGTTTCTAGAGGAGAAGGAGTGTAGTAGATGGAGCAAAATGTAGCGTTCTGTGGCAATTTTGAAGGACTGGAGAGACCAGATTTGGTAGTGAGGCTTCTATCTCACCCATTAGCAGATACACAGGACAAAGACGCAAGAGCAGCAATGGTGACTGATGCTTCGAGGTCCCACAGGACACTGAGAACGGAGGCCCCATTGCAGGAGGGGTCTGCATGAGCCGCCCTGCAGTGCAGCCTGGGCTTCTGCTCTGAACTCTGTCCTTAGCCCCGCACACACAGGATTGTGTGGGATGAGGGAAGCTGCACCTGCCAGCCCAGGCCTGTGGAGCGCTGGGCGTTGCTTCATCGCTCTGTGTCACTCCATAAGGGACTGTTCACATGGATTTGTTCAGCTTCGCTCTCCAGCAGGCCCCTCACGCATTAGTCCATTGGATCTCTCAACTCTCCCAACAGGTTGTTGAACCATTTCACGGAGGAGGAACCTGAGGTTCTTATGAGGGAATAGTTCACCCAGAGTCACAGCTGATAGGCCACAGGTTGTGGAGATGGCTTGCCTTGGGATGAGTGTGTAGATTGACTTTAAATTGTTAAGGAGGGGAGTTTAGATATGTATTCCCAAAACTTACCATCGCCATCTGGTAGTCTGAATTACCATCTTACTGGGAACTGTCCAGGTGACCTCACACCAGAGCTCATGTGATATCCATTTATGATAAGGTGGTTGTGTGCTCAGCGTGCGCACATATCTCTGAGTGGATGTGAGGCACATGCCAGATGGGCACAGAGACATCCACCTGGAATCCCAGCATGGTTTGAGCCCCTCTACACATAGACCTTTCCTTGGTGCTGGGAAGTCAATTGTCCTCCCCTGACCCTTGGAAGGGAAGGTCCTGGCTGGCCCAGAATGTTTCAGATGTTTTAGGTATCAGTAACCTTTGAGGACATTACTGTGGATGCCACCCAGGAACAGTGGGCCCTGTGAGGCCCAGCCCAGAGATGCCATCCTGGAGAACAATGGTCCCCTGGGCCTAGTGGGTGAGTCTGTCAGCACTGATTGATTTATTCATTTATCTTTAATAATTTCAACTTTTCTTTTCGATTCAGGGGGTCCATGTGCAGGTTTGTTACATGGGCATATCGTGTGATGCTGAGGTTTGGGGTACGATTGATATAGTCATTCAAGTAACGAGTGTGCATGGTACCCAATGTTTAGTTTTTTAACCCTTCCCCGCTTCTTCTCTTCCTTCCCCCTCTTGAATTCCCCAGTGTCTATTGTTCCCATCTTTATGCCCATGTGTACTCAACATTTACCTCCCACTTGTAAGTGAGAACATGCGGTATTTGGTTTTCTGTTCCTGCGTTAATTCACTTAGGATAATGGACTGCAGCTGCATCCATGTTGCTGCAAAGCACGTGATCTCGTTCTTTTTATGACTGTATGGTATTCCATGGTGTATATGTACACATTTTCCGTAGCCAGTTCACCATTGAAGGGCAGCTAGGTTGGTTCCCTGTCTTTGTTATCGTGAATAACGATGATTTATTTTTTGAACATGTGTCCAGGACAGCCTGGCCACACCCCTCCTCTCAGCCCTCAGTCACACTGGTTCTTTCACAGCACGAAGGACTACCTGAAGGAAGCTTGTTAATGTCTCTACATCTGGCTTGTCACCGACCAGAGCATCATCTTCCCATTGCAATGTCCTGCCTTTCTGGCTGCTAGATCTCCAACACCCAGAACACTGTGGCTATCTTAAAAAAATAAATCACTAGATTAAATTTTTACCAAGCAACAACTCTGTTCTGAGCACGAAGCTAGCGTTTGAGAGCATAGCAGGAAAAATAACTGGCCCTTGCCTTTTCCATGCAAGACTGACATTGTGCTGGTAGAGCTTTCATTGATTGGATTATTATGAAAATAAAGGTCAGCCAGCTGTGGAATCTTCCTTCACTCTGCTCTGAGCCTGGCCATGCAAACCAGCAACATGAGCTCCCACTGCCTGGGGATCCGAAGCAGGACTCCCTTCTGTCCTGTGAGGGACGCTGGTGTCCTTGGGGTCAGGGCTCCCTCCTGTCCTGTGAGGGACACTGGCGTCCTCAGGGTCAGGGTGCTCTACCCCGGCAGCCCTTGGAGACCCACCTCATTCTTCCTCAGGAGCCTGCCCTGAACCTGAGGCCTATGCTTGGTTCTCAGCATAGGATTCAAATCCCTGTAGTTTCACTGCAGAGCAGGAACTCTGCCAGTCAGAGATGATTTCCCAGCAGGAGCAAGGGCCGGGCTGTGGAGGGCAGGGAAGGTCCTCCCTGGGGCCTGAGTCCAGGTGAGCGGCAGACCGGTGTGCTCCTGGGAGGACCCTGCCATGGAGGGAGCAGGGTCTTAGTGAGCGCGGTGCGGAGTTCCAGGAACGGTGTTTTCAGGTAGCATGGGGGCTGCTGGTGACCGGTTCCTTCGAGGTCATATTCCTCACACATATCAGTCTCCCTTCCTATATGTTCCTGCCCTCCTGGGCGTCAGAGTTTCCCGTTGCAGCCTCTGCCCTGACCCTTGCCCTTGGACCGTTTCCCTCCGCTTTCCTCCCTGATATCCCAGATCTACTCTATTTTTCCTCTTATTTCAACCTTGAAAATGTTGTCTGTCAGTTTCCTAAGTCGTGTTTCCACTCGCTGGTGTACGGAGTGTCAGGTTCTACCCCGTGCAGCCGGGTGGGCCCCTCCTGCTCCTTCCTGCTCCTGGAGGTTTCATCCCCCACCTCCCCCCACAGTGGCTTTTAGCTGCCTGGAGCGGGGTGAAGCGGCTGGAATCCCCAGCCGCCCGCCGGCCCCTGGGGCGAGTGCGGAACGACCCTCTCTCCACGCGGAGCCCTGAGCGGGAGGAGGCAGGGGCCCGGGCAGCGGGAACTGGGAACAAGCCGCCCGGCAGGAAATTTCGCGTGGCTGGAATTTAGGAAGAAGCTCGCGGGAGCTCAAAACCTCCTGCTAAACGGACAACTGTTAAGGCGCGCATCCGGTTCTGTTTCCCACCTGCAGGCTCGGCGTTCCTCAGTCTGGCAGGCGGGGAGGCGGGTACGCGCTCGGAGAAGTGGTGGAAGGCTGGGGTTGCGGGGTGCAGAGAGTGCTGAGCCACGAAGACTTGGGGCAGCGAGGCCGCCGAGCGATGGCAGAGCCTGGGGAGGCGTCCAGGCTGCGGGGGAGCGGGGACTTGGGAGCAGGGACCCTGGGAGACGCTGAGCGCAGGGCCAGGGCCGCGTCCAGAGGTCTCGGGTAGGCCTTGACTAAAGAGGGGGCTGGGAAGAGAGACGTGGAGAGGTCAAAGGGCCCTGGTGAGTCTGGGTGAGGAGCAGGGGATCTAGTCCCCCCAGAACTGAGTCCAACGTTTTGGGGGGTAGGGACAAGGAAACAGTGAGGGGGTGGGGGCCATGGGCCACCGTTCAAGGGACAAACCCCGTTCAGAGGAAATAAGGCACGGAAGTGAGGTGACAAGGGACATGGGCGTGACAGGGCCATGAGATAAGGGGTGTCGAGGTCGGGCCAGGAAAAGATCAACTAAACAGCTGGGGGAAGTGGGGGCCGGGGGAAGCAAGACATGGAGGCATGAGGGAGAAAAAGGGAGGAGGGGAAGCTCAGCAAATCAGTCACTGCCGGGCGCCTCTAGGAGCCTGATTTTGTGGCACCTTAGTCATGTTTTCAGAGAAGAGGTTCATAGTCTAGAGGATCCCATGGCCACATGGCCAACGCAGGGAGGAAGTGGGGTGAAGAGCTGGGGTGCCCATCTGTGGCCCCACTTCCTTGTGAGGTTCTCACAGGCCCTGTGGGCACACAGCCCAGCCCTGCCCTGAACTCGGGGCCTGCCTGGATCTTGTCTCTTCCCTCCTGTGCTTTCTGTCTCAGCTGAGCTGTTCTTACCTGCACCTTAGCACCTCAGGCTGAGTGGGAGGGAGAATCTTAAACTGGCCCTCAAGATTCTGCCCCCTGGGGAACAGCCCTGTATATAGAATCCACTTTGCCAGGGTGGCCTGGACCTCTGAATACTTTGGGATCTCACTCCCCAAGTTACATGACTTTACGTTGCAGTTAGTGGGGTTTGAAGATGTAATTACAACCCCTAATCAGTCTACTGTAAGGTCATCAAAAAGGAGATTTTCCTGGAGAGGCCTGGCCTAATCAGGTGAGCCCTTTCAAAGAAGGGCTGGAGGCTGGGTGTGGTGGCTCACGCCTGTAATCTTAGCACTTTGAGAGGCCAAGGCAGGAGGTTCACTTGTGCCCAGGATCACTTGACCCCATCTCTACAAAAAATACAAAAATTAGACGGGAGTGGTGGTTGCACGCCTATAGTCCCAGCTACATGGGAGGCTGACGTGGGAGAATCACCTGAGCTCAGGGAGGTTGAGGCTGCAGTGAGCTGTGATTGCACCACTGCACTCCAGCCCGGGCAACAGAGCAAGACCCTGTCTCAAAAAAAATAAAAGAAAAGAAAAAAGAAAAAAAAAGTGGGCTGGAGGTCAGAAGCAGAGGGGGTCAGCGTGATGCAAGGCAGACAGTCTCCTGCAGGCCCTGAAGAGGCCTCCTCCTGTGCTGTGCCGCTGTGCCGCGGTGCCGCTGTGCGGAGGGCCTCCAGGAAGGTTTCTGAAGCTGCTGCTTGTGTGGCAATTGGTTACATAGCAGCAGAAAACAAATGCAGCCATCTGTTCCTCCCTCTCTTACCCCAGCCCTGGATCTAACCAGTTCCTGATATTCTCTAACCAATGACCACCCTGCACGTTCCTGGACAGCCCTGGTGTGAACCTTCACTCACCCTGGGTGGCTGAAGATGGTTTGGGATAATAATGATAATAGTGGCTCCTGATATCTGTTGGGCACTAACTACTGTGCAAAGTGTTTTACGCCCATGAAGCCATCCCATTTTCACAACAGCTGCATAAGGAGGCATAGCTAGAAGAGGATCTAGCAGCCTTCCAGTTCAACTTCATTTAGACGTCAGGATCCCAGGCCCAGAGGCGCAGCTCATAGTTTCCAAGCCCCACACGGCGCTGTTTCCAACTGTTAGGACAATCCTGAACACCTAGAAGGCGCTCCTATGTGCTATGGGTGTAGCAAAAACATCCTTCATTCACAGACTCTCCCCAGGCTGAGCCTGCAGACCCCCTCTTGTGATAGAGTCGGAACTCAGTTTTTAAAGAGCTTAGTGTGTAGATACTATTGACGATCACTGGGAGCTGAAGTGTTCTGGAACTCCAGGCATAGTAACATGTTTTAGGTTCATTGATTTGAAGTATTATGAAAGGAAAACAAATGTTACACCTCAAAAGGAGTTTAGATTCTCTGTAGTGATAACTACAGTATAGTCACTTATGACTATTTTCTAAATTTTAAGCTAAATATTCAGTGTGATAAGATACTCATTTTTGTACATGTTACATCCACTTAACTATTGAAGCTGGTCATTTATTACCTCACATGCAGTGTTAAGATAATGAGTAAATTGTTCATAAATTTTCACTACTATTATTGGGAAGCATCATGGCATGTAATAAATCATCTTTTTTTATACATAGAATGAAATCAAGGCTAGGGAAGGTACATACTACTCCATTCGTGCTGTGTGGCTAAGCATGGATCTCATCGATTGTGTATAATGGCAAGATGAGTACTAAAAATATTTGTGGGACCAATACTTGAATGTTCATAGGCAAGATGTCAAAAATATCCCATCATTCTACAAATTAAAATAATTTTAGTATAATGTTGAGACAGCACATTTATAAACATGTGCCAAATAGAACGTAGCCACCTAGCACAGTGACTGGATTGGATGTAGTGCGTCTCTGGATTCCTCCTATGTGTTTACTGGAGATGTTTGGGAAGTCACCCAGTCCTTTCCTTGTTCATATTCTTTATCCGTGTATTGGAATTTCATAGTAACTGCTTAGCTGATGTGTTTAATGTAAGTTACAGAATTGTCTGTTAAACATGCTGTGCTCATTACCTATTATAGGATATTGATTTTTTTCTGTATCTTTGCCCTTCTTTAAAACATTCTAGTGCTTTTACTGTTTAGAACATGCATGAGAAGACATAGCAGGAGGAGAGCAAACATGACACCAACTTTTTTCATTTCTTAGCCCTTTTGATCTATGTTACAGCTGAAGATACAGATGAAAATTAAGGCTGAGCTATCTGATATCCTGGTATCTGTTGGGCACTTTTAATCTGTTGGGAATTTTAATCGTTAGATATTTTACTTCTGATTATGTGAACATATACAATTTAATGATTAAAATATTATAAATTTCATGCTTAATAATAAATGTCTTTCATATATGGCTCCATCAACTCTTTAAACTTTGCATATTTATACTGTGAAAAAAATGAATTAACTAAGCCTCCGGCTTTCTAAAATGGAAGCAGGAGAGGCACTCACATCCGCTAAAGGTCAAGCCACAGAATGTTCCAGTAGACTTGGATAAACAACTGAAGCCAGTGTCCACCAGCCTTCAGCATCTTTCAGCTGGGAGTAGCCTCGTTAACTGACGAATCAGAACGAGTTTGCAACTTAGGATTCCTGCCCAACAAATCAACTGCCTTTAAAAATAACTTTTTGTGGAAATCCTCGATTCAAAAATGTTTCCTGTGCTTGCCTTACAGGACACTCTTCAGGGCTGCCCTGACTCACTGTACCTGAGTTGCAATTCTTTGTTTCCCAGACAAATGCTATTTCCTTTGACCTCCATGCCCATCTTTTTTAGTGAACAGCACAGTATCTTAACTGTTATTGGTATCTATTATTAACACTGTTGGATCTTTCATTGCTTCATAGAATTATCTTTATCTTGGGCAAGAAAGTGAAAATTATCCATAGTTTCTTTAAAATAGTAATATTTTAAGCCACTCAAAATAAGAAAAAGTCAAAGTTCACAATAAAAAGATCCTGATATACCTGAATAAGATTTGAAAAGTGAAGAACAATTCCTTCCACCTGAAAAGGGTGTTGACCCAGAATCCACCTCTGACGACCCTCTAGAGCTGGCAAGTCAGCATCATTCCCAGTGCACCTGTGACTGATGACACATCTCACCCAGCTGCCATAGGGATGTCAAAGACACGGGATACAGTGCTGGAAAGGGAAAAAGCATCAGTGCAAAAGTAGATTTCAGGATTTGGAGCACGGAGGCAAGTGCCCTCTCCTGGCATCCCCGCATGGGGCCATGGTGAGGAGGCTCTGCAGTCTTCCAGGACGACTGGACCATGGATAGGAAATACCCAAGACATGGATTCTCTGGGGACATGGGCGATTCCAAAAGCACCGAGGAGTGTGCCCCTAGAGAAGCAGTCCATTGGGTCCATAGTAAAATCTCATAGCATAACCAACAGTGGAGACCAGAGACTAAAAATCTGTAACATCCTTGGAGTCCATGGACCTCGAAGCCAAACACAACAGCCCCACGAGCATCTGCCATCCAGGCATGGAGAGCTAGGGGTGAGCTTCTTAGAGTAAAGGAGGCTTCTTCCCTGTTCAGATGTGTGAACGGTTGGGTTTACAGATAATGGAGGTGTCTGTGTATGTTGTCATGAAAATATAAGGCAAGTGGCACCAAATGTGATTTAGCGGTCCCAGAAATTCAGTGCTGCGTGCTTTCTACATGACATTAATTTTAATTATATGTACACAGGAGAAAATTTAAAATTGAAATGTCTTATCATTGCTAGAAAAACAGAAGTTTTTTCCCTACGAGTTAGAAATCTTGATCTCTGCGTTTTTCTATGGATCGATTCTCAAAGTTTGTGCAAATACAGTCGGTGTTTCTCTCTAAGTGTCTTTGGTTATGAACTAAGGATGTAACCAACTCCTGCTTATTAGGTAAAGGGATGAGGCAAGAGAGATCCAGCAACAGGGTATGGTTATTTTTCAGTCTTTGGCAACATTTTTCTTCGTGATGTCAAAAGTAGTGAACTCCCTGACTAGGGTTTCAGACATGGGCTGTTCTAATCCACCAAACACCAAACGGCTGGGGAAGAAGAGATTTGGACATGGATAACCAGTGTCACCTACAACATGGAATGGAGGGTCGTCAAAATGGTCTGAGTCACTTTAATATGTGGCTGGAGAGATGCGAGAACAACAGAAAGAGCCCTCAGGAGGCATCCCCACCCAAGGTCAGTGAAGCTCAGTGCAGCTGCAGGGTGTGGGGTCATAGGGTGACCAGGTGACCGGGCTGATGGGGAGGAAAAATGCTCTGTTAAGGGTGTTGTCTCTGTCACCTCTTCAAGAAGCAGCACAGTCTCAGGCACATGTTCCCTCCTGCTCCCCGCCACACACACACACAGACCCACTGCAGCTCTTCCAAGATTCTTCCCTCCATTCTGGGACCTCCCCTTCCTCCTGAGCCCCTGTGGCCTCTATCTTACTCCCTTTCCCCAGTTCTTTGTACCTCCCTCCTCTCCCTCACTCATGTCCCCTCCCATGCAAAGCCCCTACTGGTTCCCCCTTCCCCACTTCACCTCCACTCACACTCCATCTTCACCCTCCATTCCAGTCCTTCCCTTCCTCTCCTCACTCTGACTCCCCTGATAAACTCACTTCCCATCCCCTCTGTCCATGTCCCTGCCTCAGTTTACCTCCCTTCCCCTCTCCTCACCTCCCTTGGATGCACCTGACCTCTCCCGCCTCCCTCCCCTTCATTCATGCCCTTCCCTTCTTCGCTCTCCAGTTCCATCTCCTCCAACATGCTCCCCTCCCCCTTTCCTTCAGCCTCTGTTGACCTCTCCACCCTCCCGCAGTCCCCTGCCCTCTCCTGCTAAGGCCATCCCTCCCAGCCATCCCCGCCCTCCCTACGTCATCTCAGTTGGCTCCATGTCCCTCAGCTCCCATCCCCTCCTTCTTCCCTGCCCTGAGAGCCATCCGGGTTTCCTTTCCAGTCTCCCTCTGCTCCTGTGCTTTCTTCCCCTTCCCTCACTTCCCCTGCTCTGTCTTCTCCTCAGTTCCCCGCCCTCCCTCTCTGCACCTGCCCAGTTTCCCCCATCTCCCCTCCATGCTCCCTTCCTCCCCAGCTCCTGAGTTGGACCACCTCAGCTCAGCGCCCTACTTCCTGTGCCTGCCCCTGCCTGCTGCCCACCATCCCTGCACACAGCTCACTCCTCCCTCTGGCCCTCCTGCTGAGCAGGCGGCTCCCCCACTGCCCTGGGCCTGCCCACCTTCCCCAGCCCCCGCAGTCAAGGCTCTCCAACTCCACACCACCGGGGTGAGGGCAGAGAGGCACCCTCTCCAGGGCTGCGCTTCCTCCAGCAGGTACCAGCTCCTCCCCCTCAACTAAGCTCCATGGCCCATCCCTGCCCTGGGGGCGACACCACAGGGACCTTCCGCTCACCTTGCCAGGCTTTTCAGAGGCCTCGGAGCTGTGGTCAGGCAGGCGAATGGGGAGCAAGCCAGGGGTTACAGATCCAGAGCCTAGGGCAGTCCAGGCAGGGGGGGCTGTGGTCCCCTGTGACCACTTCTGTGACCTTGCCACTTGAATCCTCCAGGGCCTGTGTCCTCACCTCCAACGTGAAGATCAGGCTGGGCCATTATTGCAGAGCTGTGCTGAGTGTTGAAGAAGGTGCGTGTCACGCGTTATTATAGGTAGCTGGTGTTTCCTGAGCGTTTGGAAACGACGCTTTGTAAAATACTGTGAACTAACCGCAGAGCTGGGCACAGCATGCTTCATGATCTCATTTTATACTGACGTGTTTAGTCATCGTGCTGTCAAGTATTCTCCAGCCACATCATTTGTTAGTAGTTTGACCTGCATAGGAGGGCACTGTCACCCTCCCTCCTGCTGTGCTGATTTCAGCTGGAGCCGCCAGGCCAGGCCGCCTCACGCGCCCCCTGCTGACTAACCCGGGAACTGCCCGCAGCCTGCTCTGAGCTTTCTGATGTGGGCGGGACCGGGCCGGGCAGGGCCAGGCGCCTGCGGGGAGGGGCGGGGCCCGGCGACTGAGGGGAGGGGCGGGGCCAGGCGCCTGCGGGAGGAGACCTGGTCCAGGATCAAGGAGTCGCTCAGTGCAGGACCGGCCCAGAGTTCACATCCCTGGCTTGATCTACAGGTAAATTTTTTTTGTATACTTTAAGTTCTAGGGTACAGGTGCACAACGTGCAGGTTTGTTACATAGGTATACATGTGCCATGTTGGCTTGCTGCACCCATAAACTCGTCATTTACATTAGGTATTTCTCCTAATGCTTTCCCTCCCCCACTCCCCCACCTCCCCTACTGGCCCTGGTGTGTGATGTTCCCCGCCCTGTGTCCAAGTGTTCTCATTGTTCAGTTCCCACTTATGAGTGAGAACATGCGGTGTTTGGTTTTCTGTCCTTGTGATAGTTTGCTGAGAAAGATGGTTTCCAGTTTAATCCATGTCCCTGCAATGGACATGAATTCATCTTTTTTATGGCTGCATAGTATTCCGTGGTGTATATATGCCACATTTTCTTAATCTACTCTGTTATTGATGGACATTTGGGTTGGTTCCAAGTCTTTGCTATTGTGAATAGTGCCGCAATAAACATATGGACCTACACGTAAACTAACTGGTGTGTGTCAGACATAGATACAGGCCAAGAAGAAAAGTCAAAGTAGGCAGGGGCAGCTCCAGGACAGTGATGACCTGGGTCGCTTCATTCTGTGCCTGGGGAAGAACCAAAGCCACTTGGAGATTAACGCCATGACAAAAACGAGGGACGACGTGTGTGCAGTTGTGGGTTTCATGTTTACTTTCCACGACTCTAGAGGACTTGCCCACCTGTTCATACATAAACCAGTGCCCAGGGCCCCGCTGCCCCGTGAGGGCTCCATCTCCCCCATCACCCCACCCCCTGCTTAGCTCCTGGCCCACCCCAACCATCCCTTAGTTGATGAGTTGGTGAAGCTGCCCCCTTTTTCCTCCCTATACCCTCTCTTCTCTACCCCAGGTCCTGCTGGGCCTCAGTCTTTGGTCTCTCTGCCCCACCTGCCCCAGCACCCCCCGGTCTCTTGGGTCCTCACCTGCATGCTCCCGAGCTCACCTCCAAGTTGATCTGCATTTCACAAGGCTGGCCCCCTGCAGCCCGCCCCCTCACCTGAGGCACCAGGACCATCCACTTCCTCCACTCTCCTCACACCCCCAAAGTGACTCAGGGCTCCCCTGAACAGCTGGGCTGGAGTCCTCCCACCAGCTCCCTCGGTTATACCTGCTCCCGTTCCCTCAGACCCAGCCCCCCAGGTCTCCAGACCCATTCATGGACGTGGCCTCCTAGGCCTCTCAACACTCACCTCCCAGCAACCCCTCAGCCCTGCCCTCCCCAGGCACCAACTTGGGACTCCCACAGCGGCAGAGACACCTATTCCCACTTGGGCTCATGTCACCACAGCTCCCTGGGGATGCTGAGCCTATGAGCCCAATCTTGCTCCATCCCTCCAGTTCCTTTCTCCAATCCAAGTTCTCTCAGACCTGCAGTGTCACCCCTGGAAGCCATCTGGACACCCAAGGCACTGCCTAATGGAGATGGCCATACTCTTCCCTGTAGGGATGGACAAGGGACACCTGCAGTGTGCAGGTCACAATCTGAACCTTTGGAATGGTGTGGCAGGCCGTGCCCTGCCAGGGCCCCCACCAGGGCCCCTGAATGGCTGCTCCCCATCAGTCACAAGGAAGACCCTTGATGATCATCCCCACTGCCTCTGAGATGGGCCCGGAAAGGCATGAGCTTCTCAAGCACCTGGGTCACCATCTGGGGAATGGCAGTCATGATCAAGTCAATCCCTTGTGCCCCAGAGACACTGTAACTCCCCAGTAGCATCCCAGAGGGACTGAGGCCACCCTGGGCAACAGAGCAAGGTTCCATCTCTACAAAAAATAAAAATGTAGCCGGGAGTGGTGGCGCACACCTGTAGTCACAGCTACTCATGAGGCTGAGGCGGGTGGATTACTTGAGGCCAGGAGTTCAAGGCTGCAGTGAGCTGTCATTTCGCTACTTCAGCCTGGGTGACAAATAGGAAGGGGAGGGGGAGGGGAAGAGAGGGAGAGGGGAGGGAAGGGAGAGAGAGAAGGAGAAGAGGGGAGGGGAGGGAGGGAGAAGGAGAGGAGGGGAGGGAGAAGAGGAGGAAGAAGAAGAAAGAAGGAAGAATCCCGGAGGGGAAAGAGCCACCAAGGGTATCCCCACACTCTGTGCAAGCGTCTCTCTGCCTGAAACATACATGTGTGAAACTCACTGTTGGCACAATCAAGATGGAAAATTAGACCTGAGAGCAGCTTCTGTGGTCTTTGAGAGGGACCCAGGTGATGAACAGAAGCAGGGAGGCTCCATGGAAGGGAGAAACCCAAGTAGATGGCCTTCTCTGTGGCTTCCAGCCTGGGGCAAAGGGTGGTCAGTCTCAAGATACCCAGTAGGGGAAGGGCTCATGTGGGAAAAGGGAAATGGAAAATCCTGCCGCCTGCACAGAATGGGGAAATCACCCGAGACTCCAAAGTGTCATTACTGTGATGTCTGTAGCATAACATCCACATCGCTGTAACATCCACAGGGGCCTCCTTAACACCATCAGGCTCTGGAATCGGAGAGCAGAAGAAGCTTCACAGCTGGAGCTGAAGTGGGTCTGAGTACAGACTAATCTCTATTGTGAGGCTTACTATTATCCCTCCTTTAGGGACATGGTCATTTTAAAATATTTTATTTTGAAATAATTATAGAACTTATAGAAAACTGCAACGGCAGCATAATGGGTGCCTGCTCCCTTCCCCCAGCTCCCCCAGGGCTTCTAGTTTTGCCATGTGTCCCCACCACCATGATGGACTCGGCCTCACTGACCAGCCCCAGTGGACGGCACCAAGGGCAGGCAGGATCACACACTCTTTGCTCGAAACACTCAGGGATCCTTCCTGCCCCACACACCCTCTCCATGCACCCACATTCTCTGCCCAAGGGTGGCCTGGCCCCCTATCCCCTGCATGTGGCTCCTTCCACTCAGGCTGTGGATCGATCTCATGTATTGCAAATGTGGTTTAAACTTTGAGAACAGCAATTCTGGTTTGTAGGAAAAAGTGAGGATCTAGGCCTTTGCAGTCATGCACATGTTCATATTTTAAATACAGGCCAATGAGCCGCTGCCTAGTGTGCCTACCAGAGACACACCTGTTGTTAAACTACAGCTGGATTTACTGTTCCATTCTGCAAGAATATGCCATGGCGCTGTGGAGGGTGCAGTGAGAGGCTTGGAAGAGCCTTGCCGCAGGCTGTGTGTGTGTGCCAGCTGGCCAGGGGTGGACTAACGGGAGAGGGGGCTGGCTCTGAGTTGAGCACTGTCAGGAAGCAGGAGGAGGTAGGTATACACTGGAAGCTTCATAAACCTCATCCCCCGGGAGGCCTGACAAGGGCAGGACAGGCTGTCACCAAGGCCAAAGCAGCAGTCACCATGTGGGCTGGGAGGGGACACGGCTGGCACTCCTGGCCTGAGAGATGCTCCCATCTGTCTGTATTCAGACAGGATGCTGGAGTGGCTTGTCTTTGTCTTGATCAGGACCATCTGGGGTCTTGCCTGCTGCTGCTGTCCTGAGGGATGGTTTGTGTTCTCCACGAGAGCCCCACAACCTCACTGAGGGTGCCAACCCAGCTCCTGGGACACAGCCACCCTCCTCCTTCTCAAGCTTTAATGAGAAACGGGCAGGAGGTGGCCGGAGACCATAGCCCATCTTCCGGGGTGCTAGGGGTGTCTGCTCGCAGTTCTGGTCTAGGGCAAAAAGAGAAAGGAAGGGAAAATCTCTCAGAAAATAACGGAACCACAGTGGGGCTGCCGGCGAGATGAGCAAACTGGGCTGGTGACATCCAGGGCGTTAGCAAAGAAAAAAGCACCAGTGTACAGGCAGCCAGGGAGCCCAACCGCTCTCTTAGGGCCGCCCCCTCCCAGTCCCTCCCGAAGCCACCCTTGCCCCGCCCTACCCCAAGAGCACACCCCGCGCCCCTCCCCCAGTCCTCTCCCCGCTCGGCTGCCCCCTCCCGCGGCCGCATCCCTAGTCAGTCCCTGAGACCGTCCAGAGGTCAGCCCCTGGGATCAGGCTTGCGGTGTTGGGCCGCCCTCCTTGCCAGATGCCGCCCCGGAGAGGGCAAGGGCGCAGAAAGGGCTGAGCGTCCCAGGTCCCTACGTGGCCGCATGTGAGCGCATTCCAGGAATAAGGAAACGAGAGGAGTAGGCATTTCTACCGTCTAAGGCACTTTGCATGAAATCCCGTGGCACTGGAAAAGTAGTTGAAACGAAAACAAAGTAACGCTGGCTTTTACGATGCAGATAAACGGATAAGCGGCGTAGGAAGCAAGTAGGAGGGCTCCGTGCACACCAGGCGCAGCGGAGCGGGGATTTGCCTGCGCGTCCGAGCGCACAGGGCGGTCGCCGAGTCCCAGGGAAGCCCCCTGGCCTCGCGCTGCAAACTCAGGCAGCCTCTGCTCCTGCCTTATGGCTCTGAGGGCACGTGCTCCTCCGGGGAGGCACAGCTTCCTCCTATTTCCCACTTCCTCATCCGGCCCTTAATTCACTAAAGACGAACAGGGAACGATGTTCATTACCAAAGTGGGTGCTCCCCCTAGCGTAGCACAGAACGCGGCGCTGTTCTCACTATTGAATTGGAATGATAATATTTTTAGCATCAAAAATTAATTCTAGAAATCTATTACAGTTCATTTTCCAGAGAATAAGGGTAGCAAAAATAGTATAGGTTTGTTTCTTAATTTCCTTATGACACACATCACTGGTTCATGTGATAACGTGTGGATTCTCACCTGGAAGACACACGAGGAATAAAATCACCATATTTTAAACTCTATCTCAAGTCTCTCAACATTTCAGGCTGTGTTCATTCACACACTGCAGAATGATGAATATTCAGAGGAAACTTTTGCAGAACAATTAAAATTGCAAAATCGGAGCCGGGCGCAGTGGCTCACGCCTGTATTCGCAGCAGCACTTTGGGAGACTGCGGTAGGAGTATCGCTTGAGCCTGGGAGTTCAAGACCAGCCTGGGCAATATAGTGAGCCATCATCTCTAAAAAGATAAAAATAAAAATAAAAAATTGCAAAATTACCTAAAATGAAATGCATACATTGAAATGCACACAATTATTATAAAAATTAAAGTTAATATTAATAACATATGACATGAGCCACAAGATTTACATTAAAATAGTCTAGTTGACAATAACTTGAATATTTAAATAAAGTCCTCTTTATCTCTAAGTAATATATTTACAGTCTGCCATTATATGAATCACTTAAAATTCAGATGAGGATATTAATCAATATTGACAATTTCTTCACGAATATCAAGTGAATAATAATGATTTTACTTTTTGGTTTCATTTTATTGTTGACATAAGATCTTGTTCTGTTGCCCAGGCTGGAGTGCAGCGGCAGGATCATGGCTCACTACAGCCTCTGCCTCCTGGGCTTAAGCAGTCCTCCTTCAGCCTCCTGTGTAACTGGGACCACAGACACGCACCACCAGGCCCGGGTAATTTTTTATTTTTTATTGTTTGGTAGACACAGAGTCTCATTATGTTGCCCAAGCTAGTCGTGAACTTCTGGGCTCAAGCGATCCTCTCGCCTCAGCCTCCCAAAATGCTGGGATTACAGGCATGAGTCACCATGCCCAGCATAAAGATTTTATTATGTGGAAATAAAAGGACATTAAAATATAACTTGAAATAACCCATTTCCTTGCAAATGTTTTATTTTTCCACCACTTAATCAAACAGTGCCAACACTAGACACTGTCACATTATTTGTTGAACAAACAGTATCTCAAATAACTTCATATAAATATTACTGGGAAACTTAGCATTTTATTAAAATGTTGTTTAAATTTCATATTTTATCAAAGTCTAACATATTAGTAATAATATATTCTTTTTATTCAAATTTAAAGTTCTATTTGACAATAGCAATTTATAATTTTATATTAATAAAAAGTCATTCATACAGTTTAATAATTATTTTATAACAGCATTACTGAAACCAGCACAGATGGTATAATGTTCATGATATTTTAATTTATAGGTTTAACATACACATACATAATTCAACATTAATGGCTTCCTTAATTACTCTACCATTAATATTGTAATTTTATATTATCATTTAGGGTTGCCCTTCTATTTTAATATTAGATGTTTCAGCATCCATCAGTTCTATCTAGCTCTTCTCACTGGTTCTTCTTTGAATTCCAGACATGGCCACAATCTTCTCTTCTAAAATTCTAAAATCTGAGGGCTCTCGCTGTCTGGGTGCTGCTGGAAGAAGTGTAACTTGGTTGTTACCTCAACCTTATTTTATTTTAAATGTTTTAATTGAAAGACACTTTTAAAACTGTGGAAATCCCTGAGAATATTCACTTCTTTAAATACAATGGGAATAGGTATGGATGAAGTCTGTTTCTCCTCATTTGATCCAGGGGTGCTTCTCAGAACTCTTCCAAGCGCCAGATCCTGGGCCACTGACAGCTTGGCCCTGGTGGCAGTTCAGTTACCCCATCACAGCTGGGGCACCAGGGGAGCCCCACAGGTGGGCGAAAATTACCGTAGATTAAAACCTAGGCAGTTTAACACAAGCAGCCAGCACCAACATCACGGTACTTGATCTTCCAACTTCCTGCACTACCAATTCTATGTCTCATCACATTCTCCTCTGGCCTCTCGGCCCCCAGCACGCAGGCTTCAGCCTCTGTTTCTGCTGAAGCCCTTTCTTCATACACCCTAGAACATAGAACACAGGACAGAGAGAGAGACTTTAGTAGGAATACTGACATTTAAAAACTTATCAGAGATGTGAAAAATCAACTACATGAAGTATGGCGGTATATTAAGGCTTTGTGAATAAAAACACAATAAAGGGTGGGTGTGTAAAGCTATTTTCCAATCATCCTTCCAAACCAAGGCTTTTGAGGGAACAAGGCCTCCCAGCAGGTGGCAGGATGGGCCCAGCAGTGTCTTCAGCCCATTGCTGTCCTGAGTTAGGAAAGGCTGAATTCTATTTTACATGCAAAAGAAAACACTTATTTAATTAAAGATTCAAGCTACATACAGTTCTTCATAAAACACTAAAATATTTTTATTATCGATATTTTTCTGTTGCTTTTTCTCATGAAACACGATTTGCCTTTGTGAAACCTGAAGTCTCCTATTCTATCAATGAGAAGGTATATCAAATGGATAGTCCATCCAGTGTATCCAACATCAACTACAAAATGTCTCCCTTTTTCCTAATTTTGCCTTTTTTTTCCCTTTGTCATTCTTGAGTCTCTGTTAGTGCACTGCAGAAGTGAAGATGTGTACTTAAAGAAATGCCAACATCTGCTGAAGATCAGATTAGATTCCATATTTTGTATTTTAGTTGATGTAATGATGATTTTAGTTATGATGACTTTAGTTGATGTAACGATTCTAATGAACAGGAAATATTTTGTTTCCTATTTTAAAAGATACCATTAAATCATGATGAATATTTTTCAATTTATTACAGATGTGTATTCAAGGGGTTGCCATTTCACCTGCTTCAGTCTTCCCTCTAAACCAATCCTAAGACATACCTAGGCTGAATTCATATCACATGAAAATTCATCATCTGATGTCCTACTAGGTCAAAAAGTATAAAAACTGACATTATGGAGAAAGACTTCATTGCAACCAGGACACAAAGACACTAAGGCACACAGTGCTCAGAGCGGCGTGCTGACAAGATCTCTGGTGGGAGGCCATTGTCTGGACACCTGCTGGGCTTTGTCCTGGACACCATTCATTCACTTGAGCATGTTTGGTACCCAGGGTTCCTTCAGGTACATCAGTATTCAGTGGCGTGCCCAGAAGTCAGATGATTCTGATGTCAGGGGTGCGAAGTCAGACTCAACTTGCTTTGGGAAGTCCACTGGGGTGCAGGCTGTGTCAGGAAGCTTCCTGGCAGGGAAAAATCAACAGTATCAGCTAGGATGGAAGTACATCAACTGATGATGACCCTGCACATGTGGCTTTATCAACGACGGATCTGCCAGTCTCCAAAACAGTGCAGATTCAATGCAATCCAGGAGGAAATTCACTCACGTGACCAGGCAAAATGCAACTAACAATTCACAGTGCTTTTTGGTTGTGGAGACCTTTCTCTGGGCTACTGTTTCCCAAAGGAAATCTATGTCTTCAGAAATAAATAAACTGATCAAAAGATACTTTCAAATGTTTCATGTAGAATTGTTTCTAATCTTCTAGCTATAGGATACTTCGTTACCCAGAGAATGCGCCACTCTCCTGCCTGTGCATGGGGCTCATCCGCTCCCAAGACATCCAGGGCCTCTGGGTGCTATAATTCAGAGGGTCTCTGAAAGAGCACGAGGGAGACTGTTGACATGAATGGTTTTCTCTTTTGGCTACACCTGTCTTACACGGAGTTCTATGTGTCATTCAAATACCTTCACATATTAAACTTCAGGACATTCCAAGTCTCATGAAAATCTCGCAAAGGAAATTTCCCAAGGGTTTTAGGCCCTCCTCTCCCATTTGGGAGGTTTTGTTGATTTCTAACTGCAGAATGAGGTGCTGGAACATGCCAGGTTCTGGTTCCCATGGCCATAACGGAGCTGGACGACAGGGGTGACCACAGAGGCACAGTCCTGAAAGCATTGCACAGTAAAAATGCAGAGTATCTACTCAGGGTAGAGGATGGCTACAGAAACATGCTCAGCTTGTCATGGTGGGTACAGTGGGCATGGGAAGGGGGCACAGGAAGCTCAGGGGCACCCCCAACCTCCACCATGATACCAAAAGATGTAACTGACCACTGGGAGGAGGGCCCCACATGGTCCTGCTGTGTCCTCTTCGATCTGCTTGGCACTTTTGCTGTTGCAGAGCTCCTCTGAAGCAGGGTCCCATGCAGCAGCAGCACTGAGGACTGCGTCCACAGTAACAGCCTCTCAGATGTGTGTGAGGCATCTCGTGCAAGGTCAATGGCAGGCCCAGTGCTGTTACGTGAGCAACTACTTTTTACAATTATTTTAAAACAATATATGGCAACATTGGGAAGCTGCTTTCCTTTAAAATGGTTCAATGTTTTTAGTTTGGACAAGATATGACTAAATTAATTTTCACATCATTGTGCTCAGGCACAAGCTCATGCATGAGGCATGACCAAAAATAGTTCTGGAAAGATCAGGCCAGTCTACAAGCCAAGGGCACATGTATGATGGAGGGCACCTATAGACGGTGGGGACACAGGAGGAGCATGCCGAGAAACCCTGTGAACTGACCTTCCCGCTGCCAAGGTTGCAGCCTCCACCACTGCAGCTCTGACTCACAGTTTACATTGCTGAAGTCAAATAAAATATAGAGATGACTCTCTAAACTTAACACTGATTATTTAGGAGGCAAGAATGGCAAAGTGGGGCATACTCACAGATCGGGTGGTCTTCAGTGTGTTCCAAGAACAAAGAGAAAGTTGAGAGTTTTTATTTTAAAATTCATATGGAACCAGAATAGCCCAGGGGCAATCCTAAGCAGAAAGAACAAAGCTGGAGGCATCACGCTACCTGACTTCAAACAGTATTACAGGGCTACAGTAATCAAAACAGCATGGTACCGGGACAAAAACAGGCATATAGACCAATGGAACAGAATAGAGAACCCAGAAATAAGGCCGCGTACTTACAAGTATCTGATCTTTGACAAACCTGACAAAAACAAGCACTGGGGAAAGGATTCTCTATTCAATAAATGGTGCTGGGATAGCTGGCTAGCCATATGCAGAAGATTGAAACTGGACCCCTTCCTCTCACCATATACAAAAATTAACTCAAGATGGATTAAAGCAGAGGTCCCCAACCCCTGGGCAATGGACTGGTACCATTCTGTGGCTTGTTAGGGACCAGGCCGTGCAGCAGGAGGTGAGTGGCTGGTAAGCAAGCATTACCACCTGAGCTCCACCTCCCATCAGATCAGCAGCAGCATTAGATTCTCATAAGAGTGCAAACCCTATCGTGAAATGCACATGTGAGGGATCTAGGTTGTGCACTCCTTTTGAGAATCTAACTAATACCTGATGATCTGAAGTGGAACAGTTTCATCCCGAAATCATCTCCCTGCCTACTGCTCTCTGTGGGAACATTGTCTTCCACAGAGTCAGTCCCTGGTGCCAAAAAGGTTGTGGACTGCTGGATTAAAGACTAAAATGCAAAACCCAAAACTGTAAAAACCCTGGAAGACAACCTAGGCAATACCATCCTGGACATAGAAACGGACAAAAATTTCATGATGAAGACACCAAAAGCAATTGCAACAAAAGCAAAATTTGACAGATGGAATCTAATTAAACTTAAGAGCCTCTGCAGAGCAAAAGAAGCCATCAACAAAGTAAACAGAAAACCTACAGAATAGGAGAAAATATTTGCAAACTATGCATCTGACAAAGACATAATATTCAGCATCTCTACGGAACTTAAAGAAATTTACAAGAGAAAAACAACCCCATTAAAAACTGGGCAAAGGACATGAAGAGACACTTTTCAAAAGAAGACATACATATGGCCAACAAGCATATGAAAAAAAAGCTCAATATCACTGATCATTAGAGAAACGCAAAACAAAACCACAATGAGATATCTTCTCACACAAGTCAGAATGGTTATTATTAAAAAGTCACAAAATGACAGATGCTGGAGGAAAGGGAACGCTTATACACTGTTGTTGGGAGTGCAAATTAGTTCAACCATTGAAGAAAGCAGTGTGGCAATTCCTCAAAGAGCTAAAAACAGAGCTACCATTTGACTCAGCAATCCCATTTGGAATTTATATACCCAGAGGAATATAAATCATTGTACTTTAAAAACACATGCACACAAATATTCATTGCAGCACTGTTCACAATAGCGAAGACATGGAATCAACTTAAATGACCATCAATGACAGATTAGATAAAGAACATGTGGCATATATACACCATGGAACACTATGCAGCCATAAAAAATGAGATCATCTTTTTCAGGAACATGGATGGAGTGGGAGGCCATTATCCTTAGCAAACTAGGCAGAAACAGAAAACCAGATACCACATGTTCTCACTTATAAGTGGGAGCTAAATGATCACAACACATGGACACATAGAGGGGAACAACACACAATGGGGCTTACTTGAGGGTGGAGGGTGGGAGGAGGGAGAGGAGCAGAAAAGATAACTAGTGGGTACTGGGTTTAATACCTGGGTGATGAAAAAATTCTGTACAACAAATGCCCATGACACGAGTTCACCTATGTAAACTGATAACAAACCTGAACATGCACCTTCAAACCTAAAATAAAAGTTTTTTTTTAAAAAAGGTGAGAGTTTTATTAGAGAAATGTTAGGTATTGTTTGGAAAGAAAGCACATTGGCTCTGGAGAAGCTTCTGGGAGCTGGCGAGCTCTGACTGGTGAGTGACAGCTGGAGGTAAGGTTAGTCTTCGAGTCAGGGCAGTGTGTTTGAGAAAATATGAGCTTAAACTGGTCCTCAGGTTACAACGGGCCTTTTCAGCAGCTAGGCTTGTGGAAAATTCAATTTTCAGAGCAGGTTCTCTTGGTATGACCAGTGTTCTTGTCCTGCAAGCCTGTCCCCATGCCACGATCACCCAGTAGACAGTCCCTCAGGGCCCGGGACCATGGGGCTTCTGCATCATGGGGAGCAAGGACTTCAAGCATCCTCTCCATTTCCAGGTCACCCCCAGAAGCAAGGCTGCTGTAGCTAATTTGTGTATCGGAGATGTAATCACAGCCATGGACTGGGGAAACACCAGCCATAGGGCACAGTGGGAAGCTCAGAACAAAATCAAAAACAGCGCAGATGACATGACTCTTATGGGAGCCAGATCTGAAGATAAAATCTGGTATCTGGTGACGGAGGAAGAGGAACATCATCCATACAAGATGAAATTAGCCTCTGCACCCCAGGAGGTCCTGCACGTAGGAAGGGCCCATGTCCGAAGCGCCATGCCCTTCACCACCTCACCGGCCTCCAGCACTGCCACCAGGGTTATCACGAGTCAGTGCAACCACCCAGCTGGCCTCTGCTCCATCGAAAAATCTCCGGCTTTATCCACGCCTTGCAGTCAAAGACACTGCCAGGGGCAGGGTAGCTGCAGCCCCTCAGAGCAGGCTTAGCCTCCAAGCAGTCTCTCATTGACAAAGAACCTGAAGTTTACGAGACTATTCCAGAGAAACAGGAGTTAACGCAGATATTGTGCTTTCTACAAATTGAAGGTTTGTGGTAATCATGCATCAAGCAAATCTGTCGTTGTTTTTCCAACAGCATGTGCTCACTTCCTGCCTCTGTGTCACACTCTGGTAATTTTCACAATATTTAAAACTTTTTCATTATTGTTATTTCTGTTATGGTGATCTGTGATCAGTGATCTTTCATGTTCCTATTGTAATTGAGGCATGAACCAAGTCCATATAAGATGGCAAATTTAATCAATAAATGTTGTGTGTTGACTGCTCCATCAATCGCCATTCCCCATCTCTCTCCCTCTCCTCAGGCCTCCCTATTCCCTGAGATGCAGCAATATTGAAATTAGGCCAGTTAATAACCCTACAATGGCCTCTAAGCGATCAGGGGAAAGGAAGAGTCACACAGCTCTCACTTTAAATCAAAAGCTAGGAATGATTAAGCTTAGTGAGGAAGGCATGTTGGAAGCCAAGATAGGCCAAAAGTTTGACCTCTTGTGCTAAACATTTAGCCAAGTTGTGAATGCAAAAAAAAAAGTTTTTGAAAGAAATGAGAAGTGCTACTCAGTGAACACAAGAATGATAAGAAAGCAAAGCAACCTTATTGCTGAGCTGGAGAAAGTTTTAGGGGTGTGGAACCAGCTGTGGGTCAAAGCCTCATCCAGAGCAAGACCCTAACTCTCTTCAATTCCATGAACCCTGAGAGATGAGGAAGCTGCAGAAGAGAAGTTGAAGTCTAACAGAGGTTGTTCATGAGACTGAAAGAAAGAAGCTGTCTCCATAACATAAAAGTGCCAGGTAAAGCAGCAAGTGCCAATGTAGAAGTTGCAGCAAGTTCTCCAGAAGATCTAGATAACATCATTGATAAAGGTGGCTACACTGAACAACACATTTTCAATTTAGATGAAACAGTCTTCTATTGAAACAAGATGCTACCTAGGACTTTCATAGCTAGAAAGGACAAGTCAATGCCTGGCTTCCAAGTTTCAAAGGACAAGCTGACTCTCTTGTTAGGGGCTAATGCAGCTGGTGACTTTATGTTGAAGCCAGTGCTCATTTACCATTGTGAAAATCCTAGGGCCCTTAAGAATTAAGCTAAATTAACTCTGCCTGTGCTTTATGAATGCGACAGGGCCTGGATGACAGCTCATCTGTTTACAGTATGGTTTACTGAACACTTTAAGCCTGTGATTGAGACCTATTGCTCAGAAAAAAAAGATTCTTTTCAAAATATTGCTGCTTATTGACAATGCACGTAGTCACTCAGAAGCTCTGATGGAGATATAGAAGGAGATTAATGTTGTTTTCATGCCTGCTAACACACATCCATTCTGCAGCCCGTGGATCAAGGGGTAGTTTTAGATTTTCAGGCCTTATCATTTAAGAAATATATTTCATAAGGCTATAGCTGCTATAGATAGTGATTCCTCTAATGGATCCAGGCAAAGTAAATTGAAAACCTACTGGAAAGGAGTCTCTGTTCTAGATTTTGTTAAAAACATTCATGATTCATGGAAGAAGGTCAAAATGTCAACATTAACAGGAGTTTGGAAGAAGTGGATTCCATCCCGCATGGATGACTTTGAAGGGTTCAAGACTTCAGTGGAGGTTACTTCTGATGTAGTGGAAATTGCAAGAGAACTTAGAATTAAAAGCAGAGCCTGAAGATAAGACTGAATTGCTGCAATCTCATGATTAACTGATGAAGAGTTGCTTCTGATGGATGAGCAAAGGCAGTGGTTTCTTGTGATAGAATCTGCTTCTGCTGAAGATGCTGTGAACATTTTGAAATGACAACAAAGGATTTGGAATATTACATAAACTTTGTTGATAAAGCAGCAGCAGGATTTAAGAGGATTGACTCAAATTTTGAAAGAAGTTCTTCTTTGGGTCAAATGCTATCAAACAGCATCGCATGCTACAGAGAAATCTTTAGTGAAAGGAAGGGTCGATCAATGTGGCAAATTTCATCATTGTCTTATTTTAAGAAATTGCCACAGGCTGGGCACAGTGGCTACACCTGTAATCCCAGCACTTCAGGTAATGGGAGGATCATTTGAGGCCAGGAGTTCAAGACCAGCTTGGGCAACATAGAAGGACCACATCTCTACAAAAAAAAAAAAAAAAAAAAAAAAAAAATTTTAAAAATTAGCCAGGCCTGATGGCATGTACCTGTTGTCCCAGCTACTCGGAAGGCTAAGGCAGGAGGATCGCTTGAGCCTGGGAGTTTGAGGCTGCAGTGAGCTGTCATCGCACCACTGCACTCCAGCTGGGGTGACAGAGCCAGACCCTGTCTCTAAAAAAAAAAAAAAGAAAAGAAAAAAGAAATTGCCACAGCCACCCCAACCTTCAGAACCACACTACCCTGATCAGTAAGTAGCCATCAACACTGAGGCAAGGCTCTGCAGCCAAAAGATTACAACTTGCTAATGGCTCAGAGGGTTGTTAGCATTTTTTAGCACTGAAGTATTTTTAACTAAGGTGTGTACACTGTTTTAGACATATGCTATTGCACACTTCATAGACTACCATATAATGTAAACATAATGTTATATGCACTGGGAGACCAAAAAATTTGTGTGACTCTCTTAATTGTGGTGGCCTGGAACCAAACCTGCAATATCTCCAAGATATGCCTATAGATTTTTGTTTGTTTGTTTTAGCTTTCTCATGGTGCTGAGTGTGTCTGTAGTTAAACAGCCCCTTGTCTTCATTCCCAGGAGCCAGCTGAGGAGGTGTGTCATGCAACTTGCCCCCCCAGCCCTCCCCTTCTAAGGAACCCCCACACCTGCTCTGTCTTCCTGCTACAGTCTCTGAGAAAAGCCCTTTCATCTGTCAAGAACTACAAAAGTCATTCTTTAAGGTAAGAAAATGTGAGGAAGCGATCCATATAGGAAGTTAGAAATATGTACATCAATCAATTCCTATAAGAAAAATGTATAAAATGCCATTTAGTAATGAAAATCTCTTACATTTGCTACCACAAAAGCGAGAATTGTATCTTTTTAAAATGTGGGTGAAAATAAAATAGAAGTATTCGTTAGTGAATATTTTATCCCTGTGAAATACATGCTCCTAAATATAGATAACAACTGAGGAAGAAGACCAGGCAAAGTCAAAAACAACTAAGACAAACAAAACCAGGAAAACAAGTGTCTCAACGGTTGTGACAAATGGAGGAAGGGAGCTTGTCTTGGTCTGTTTCGTGTAGCTATAAAGGAACACCTGAGAGTGGGTAATTTATAAAGAAAAGAGGTCTGTTTGGCTCACGGTCTGCAGGCTGCACTGAAAGCATGATGCTGGCATCTGCTCTGCTTCTGGTGAGACCTCAAGTGGCTTCTTCTTGTGGTGGAAGGGGAAGGGAAGCTGGCCTGTGCAGTGTTTACATGCTGAGACAGGAGGCAAGAGAGACAGGGGATGTTCAGGCTCTTTTTAACAACCAGCTCTCCCTGAGATTAATAGAGCTCAAGAGCTCATTCACCCCTGAGGGAGGGCATTAAATCCATTCACGAAGGATCTGCCCCCGTTAGGCCCCACCTCCAACACTGAGGGTAAATTTCAACATACGATTTGGAGGAAACAAATATCCAAACTATAATAGAACTACCCAGGAATGAACTTGGGCAGAAATAGGATTAAAGATTCCCCATTCTGGAAACATCTGCACAAGGTGGCCAGAAGTGAAAAAATTGAGAAAGTCCAAGCCGCCAGGGAAATGGAGTGAGGCTCTAAACGCATTAATATAAAGGGCAGGATAGGAGCTTTGCTATTGAGGAGACCTCCAGACAGATGCCTGCAAGCACCTTTGTAGTTGTAAGCACTGCTTTGCTGTGTAAACCATTCTTGGTCAACATCCTAACTTGATCTCACTCCCACCTGCCTTACCTGTGGAAAGCCCTTTTCTCCTTCAAGACTCAAAAAAATGTGCTTTCCTTGAAATGGTATTTGTAATCAATAAAGGGCAAAAATTAAATACTGCATAACTAGATTCATGAAAGCAGAATACATAGAACAAGAGCATATTAATACAGGCAAAGCATCTGTTCACAGATTTGCTACTGTGAATGGAGAAAAATGAAATATAATTTTTTAAATTGGCAGTAAAATCAAAAGTTTATTATAATTAGTACTAGTACAAAAAAAATTCTTAACCTGTGATTCTCAGAAGGAGCTTAGAGAAATAGAAAAGAACAGTAAGGGCTCATCTTTGGTGTCAAAGGGACAGCCCCAGAAAATCAAACTGCTTGGGGAGTGGACACTCTTTCCCTCCCAAAATGCCACCTTCCTCCCAGCTCACCCTCACCTACCACCAGCTGTCCCTGAAGAACACCAGTGAGGATCAATTGCTCTTCTGTGTTTGTACCAGCAGTGCTAAATAAACAATGAAACAGACACAAAGTTAAAGTTACCTGATCCAAAAAGGAGTGAAGCCTAGACCCCAGCCCACTGACTCAGTCTCTAAGACCCCTCACTCAAATCTTCAATCAACAGTGGAGATGGCTGTGAGCTCTTCTGATTCCAGATGACAATACTCCTCCCTTTAATTCCTTGATATGTTTAATTATGTAAGTAAATTTAATATAAAAATCATTGCATTAGAGTTCATTGTTTTTATACAAGATTCAGTGTGAGATCAATGTTATACTTCCAATTTGTCACACTTACAGAGAACTGAGAAGAATCACATTATTTAAAATCTTAGCAAATGTGCATAATTCCTTTGGATAATTTTAAAGTGATAGGATTGGATCACATATGATGCAATTGCCTGGGTCTGTTTTGTTTTTAGTTGTATTTGTCTCTCATATTGTGAATCTCATATTTATGTGACTAATTATCAGAAGATTTTATCTTTATTATGCATATTTAGTATAAAATGATCATACAGTGAAGAGTGTGTAAAATCAAAATAAAATGCCATTCATCACCTCTGGCTCTCATTCCAAGAGATAGTCATTGGCCATTTCTCATGCAAATTTCCTGAAGAGTTCTAAGTAAATAGAAGATCTATGTACACACACTTAACCTAAACAGGAGTTTGGTCCTCAGTCTTCGCTCATATCCTTTAATGAGATTTATAATTAGTCCCACTGTTTCCATGGAACAAACTCAACCATTATAATACCTGTGTGTCTTTCTATGGTCTTGTATGACCATCATACCAAGAATACTTCTAGGAATCCCAAGTCTTTCCTGTAAGATTCTTCTGCTCTATGTGGTCTCCACCTGGGACGCATGATGGTTTTCAGTGGTGTCTGGGCTGGTTTCAGACTTGGATGGCCGCACTCGTGCCTTGGAAGGGTTGCTTCCAGAGAACCTGCACCTGGCCTCCAGCCTGCTGGTCTCAGGTGGTTGGACTTCTTCCATGGAGGCTCAGGGATCATGAAAAGAAAGCCCCAAGAGACAGGCAGGGAAAGGTGCCAGTGTCCTCAGTCCTGGGCCAGAAACCAGCAGGTGAATCTTTCCCCGCCCTTCAGTGGGCACAGCTGTCTCAGAGCCCGCCCTGTTTCCAGTTGAGGGGACGTGATCCCCACCCACCAGCAAGAGGATTGGACACTCAACTCATTCAGCCTTGACTCATCCTGGGTCACACTAACTCAGCCAAGGCTCCTGTTTGCCCAGCCAGGGCTCCAATTTGCCACCTGCTGCTCCCCGACCGAGGCGAGGCCTCCCTGGCCTTGGTGGAATCACTGAGGGTGGTCATTTGCATCCTTGGACACAGGCCCAGGCAGAGTCATCCAAACACCCACCATGGTTTCCTCAGCCACCAAGTGCCTAGGTTGGGATCCCGGCCCTCAGGGTGGGCCACATCTGGTGGACTTGAAGGTTCTGTGGACCCTCGCTGCCCCCTCCTGCCCTCACCAGGCTTCTACACACCTGGGGTGTGGTTGGGTTTGAGTCTGAACAGGCCACGTCCAGGGAGAACTGTAGGGCTCACCCCGCAGTCCTGAGCAGTCTCATTTTCGTTTCCTCCTGCAGGTGGCCAACAGCAGGATTCCCTAGGGTCTCTGCATCTGAGCTGCAAATATTCAAAGATGCTTTAAGGACCATTTGTATTCACATTTTTCTTTTTTTCTGTCAATTTCAAGACTTTTTAAATATTAGCTAGATTAACCTTCTATCTGCTGCAAACATTGTCTCCCAATATTTTACTTGTATTTTGCTGTCATTTATGGTGTTTTTGGCCATGTAGAAAGGTTTCATTTAATATTTATGTATTAATTTGCTAGTTCATTCTGTGAGTGCATCAGATTCTTTGAAGCATAATGATAAAAGCCTTCTCTACACCCAGGTTTTCATAGAATTACTCATGTTCACTTCTGGTTCTTACATGGTTTCAGTTTCCACATTTAAATCTCCAGTCGATTGGAGTTTGATCTTGTGTGACATGTGAGATGTGTACCCAATCTCGTTGTTTTCAGGATGGCCATCTAGTTTTCCCAGCACCATTTATTTAAAAGTCCATCTTTTCCTCAGTGATTTGACATGATGCCTTTATCATATATCAAATTCCCACACATAGCTGGGATATTTCCAGACTTTGTAGTCTTCATGGGTCAGCTGGTCTATTGCTGTGCTGTATATTATGGCTTTAGTAGAGACACTTTGTAGTATATTTTAGATCTGGCAAAATGTGTGTGTGTGCGTGTGTGTGTGTGTGTGTGTGTGTGTGTGTAGATATAGATATATGTAATTGAGTCAGCTGCCTTCAACCCCAGTTCATTTTTTTCAAGGTGTTCCTAGCTCCAGTGGAAGGGAGCAACTTAGTCTTTTTGTATATACTAATTTGTTCTGGGGACCCTCACAGCCCTGTTGCTTTGTGATAGCTTTATGCCTAGCAATAGAAAGGCTTTCTTTGCACCCTCTGGAACCTTTGTACATGCTTTGCGCTTCTTTTCTTTGAATATTTGGCAAAAGGATCATTCCGATGACTGCTTTGTAGTCAGTGTGATGTTTGAAAGGTTTATGTGCTGTAGATCCAGGAAACCCTGATAGCGAGGCTGTGACAGAGTGTACTTAATTTGCATTCAACTTTCTTTTCTTTCCATTCCTTTGTGAGAAAGGGTCTAAAATGGATCTGTGATATCAAAGCCTGTGGATGGGCCATTGGGTGCAATTGCAGCATATGCGGTGGACTGTGCCCAGAGGAAATGTTTCCTAGGAACTAGCACAGTATTCCCTGTTCGATGCTCTAATTATATGCTAAATTGTGTGCCTCTGAGCAGCGGGAACCCTTGGAAGGTCAAGCACCCTCTCCGGGGCAACAGCACCTCTGCCTAGAGACCCAGAGGCAGAATCTGAGGGCAGAGGCAGCAGCAGGAGCAGGGTTGAGGCTGAGGCTGTTTACCTAACCCCATCATGAGATTAGGAAGAAAACGCCCTAGGAATCTCTCAAACCCGCTATTCATTATGACCCTCCCTCCCTCCCAAACCTGCAGTGGCTCCCTGCTGCCTGCAGAGACGAGTTATTCAGGGCCTCACCAGGAGTGGACTTGGAACCCCTGGGGTCCTGCTGAGCCAGGCCATTTAAACCACATACATTGAAACTTCCTGCTTTTCATCCTCTGCTCCCGGCTCCTCTCCATGACCCCACTTGTCCTGAGCCTCTCTCCATGGGCCACAGAGACTGGTTTACTCCCTCCCATCTATGAGTTCTCTTAGAATATTTTTGTGTAAACAAGGTCTCAGTAACTAAATCCTATTTCCATCTCCCTGCATCAGTGTTCTCTGGCTGGGTGGGCGGCGCTCCTTTGGCTCAGTCCTGCCGATGTCCTTAAAGGCCTCAGCCCGTGGAGTCAAAGCCTGGGGCCAGCGGCTGCAGGATTCTAAACACTGTGGGCGCTCAGTTTTGGGGCTGGCTGTGGGACTGTGTGAGGGCAAGAAGCATCCAGGGGTGGATGTGGCCAGGGATGGGAGGAGCCATCCGAGAGGTGGGCAGGACAGCCACCAGTTCCCCGGGAGAGGGGAGTCTTAGGAATTCAGAAATTCAGCCCCCATGACTGTGGTGAGTGAGGAGGAAGAATGTGGAATTGAGAGATGGAAGATGAGGAAGGAATTGGCCCCAGCCCTGGAAAGCCATCCCTCCTCTTGTCCTGAAAGCCCACTTCTCCCACCTGGACGCGCACCCCATCTCCCCAGGAGGCCCCGGAGCATGGCTGCACTCTGGCCTGCAACCTGCCCCATGCAGCATGTCCCTCTTGTCCTTGCCATAGTCTCTCTGTTGTTGGGCAGTGGCTTGTGATGTGTCTCATGCAATAGATGCCCATTCCATTAGGACGAGTACAGTGTCTGTAAATTCCTGCCCGGGTTCCCCTTCCTGTCATACATGCAGGAAGGAAAGTCACTCCGGGGACCCCGAAAGATTCTCTAATTCCAAGAGGGCGCCCAGGAGCCTGGGAACTTCTAGGCAGGGAGGGGAGGCCAGGAGGCTGATCATGGCCCAATCAAGTTATTGAAGAGTTTTGAGGGTTCTTTATATGTTCTGGATGTGAGACCTGGATCAGACTCCCAGTCTGTGTTTAGTCATTTCATCCTCTTAAGAGGGTCTTTCATAGAGCATGAGTTATTTTGATGACTTCCAATTTATCCACTTCTCTTTACAGATCGTGCTTTTGCGGTCAAGCCTTCAAAGATCTTTACCTAGCCCTAGATACCTAACTTTTCTCTTAGAATCCTTTTCCCTAAAGTTTTCCAGTTTTGCGTTTCACATTGAAGTGTGTGATCCACCTCGAGTGAATGTTTGTACACGGTGAGGCTTCAGAGTCTAGGTCAGGAGCTCTCTCTCTGCCTGCCTGCTTGCTGTGCCTGTGATGTGCGATTTCCCTACTTCCATGTGACAGAGCGGCCACCTTTCCCCCCATGAATTGCTTGAGCACATTTGTCAAAAATCATTTGGGCACTTTAATTTGGGTCTCCATTCTGTCCTGTTGATCGAAGTGTCTGTCCCTCTGCCTATGGGCACAGTCTTTATCCACTGTGTAATAAGTATTGAAATAGGGGCAACTTTATTCTTGTTTTCTTTCTTTTTTTTCTTTTTTTTTTTTTGGAGTCAGAGTCACGCTCTGTTGCCCAGGCTGGAGCACATAATCTTGGCTCGCTGCAATCTCTGCCTCCTGGGGTCAAGTGATGCAGCCTCCCGGGTAGCTGTGATTACAGGTGTGTGCCACCAGGCCCAGCTAATTTTTGTGTTTTTAGTAGAGACAGGGCTTCGCCATGTTGGCCAGGCCAGTCTCCAATTGCTGGCCTCAAGTGATCTGTCCACCTCACCCTTCCAAAGTGCTGGGATTACAGGCATGAGCCACCTCCCCTGGCCTTGTTTTTCAAAATTGCATTAGCTTTGCCAGGTCCTTTGCCTGTCCATATGAGCTTTTTTTTTAAGGTAAGTATGCCTACTTTCAGGCGGGGCTGTCTTGTGGTGGGGGGAAGGTGGTGGGCTGTGAGTTAATTTCCATGTCTCTAGCATGGCATCAGCTCCTTCCAGTGGCTGGAAAGCAAGCGAGTGCTACTTGAAGACCTGTGGGGCTCCCTGTGCTCTTTGCCCTGCCTGGTAACAGCTTCTCCTTCCACTGCCAGGTATGCCAGGGCTCTGCCCTTCCTGCCTGCCCCTCAGCCTCCCTCCCCACTGTCAAGACACAGGCTGGGCCAGGAGTGCTGGGTTCCCATACAGGGAGGGGCAGGGGAAGCTCGGGGTCAGCTGAGGCTAAGCTAAGAGTCAGGGAGCAGTGCTGGTGTCCCCAGCTTCCAACTGGGGTGGATGGGATCTCTGGGGACACATGAAAGCAATTCTCCTCCCAAGTATTCAGTCATGGCCATTGTTCCTCACCCTTCTGAACTTAGAGCCTCAAGACTCCCAAATCTTAGTTCCATGTTCAGGATATGTAAAGGTTCTGGTCTCTTTTTGCCCTGGAGACTGAACAATAGAACTGTGACTGTCTGGTTCCCGTGCAGCCCCGGCACCTTGGTGGCTATGCAGTTCAGTAGAACGAGGGCACGGAAGGACTGACAAGACCAGGTCCTGACGCTTGTTCTTTGATGAGTCTTCTCACTTTCTAAGTCCCTGAGTGCTTGGGTTTGTTTTTTGTTTTTTTGTTTGTTTGTTTGTTTTTTGTTTTTTGTATTGGTTTTCTAAAGGTAGTATTCACAGAAACAAGTGAAGAAACCTGGGATGACCATGGGTGTCCCACATGGCTTCAAACCTCCTGCCAGGTGCTGGTCAGTTTCCAGAAGTCCAAGCCGGCTCTCTGAAAGAGCTGAAGCCAACCTTTTCCCTCAGCTCCAGTTCCTGGGATATTCTAAACTTCCCCCAAACTCAGCACAGAGAGGAAAAAACACTGTCCTTCCTTGGTAAATAAATGTATCCATTCAGGAAGATTCAGCGTGGCTGGTAGTGAGAAGTAAGGCCATCATGTTGCTGGGATTGAGGATGGAGGAGGACTTTCTGGGTGACTCAAGGAAACTGCCATGTGTGAGCATGGCCCATGGCCCTGCTGCTCTGTTACGGGCTGTCAGGATCTGGCTGGGAAAACATTCCCTAGAAGCCTGGGAGTGGGTGACTGCAAGGTTGCTTGGTTTCTCAGACGCCACCTGTGACCTTCTTATTGTGTGGAGCTCTCTGACACTCAGGCGCACAGAGCTGCAGCCCTCCGCCCTCTGCTGTGCTCGCAGAGGTGGGTGCCCTGCAATCACAGGGTGGCTCTGCCTGGGCCTTGATCACCCCCTTGGGTGGACTTCTTTTCCTTGTGTTGGCTCCAGGCATGAGCCTGCCATCCTCTGGAGGCTCCAGGCAATGGCTCACTTGTCTCTTGGTGTCCATATGCCCTTTACCCAAGAGATGGCTCTGCTGCTCAGTAGGCCTGGGCTCTGCCCAAGGCTTCATGCCATGGCTAGGTTTACCCTTCCCTCTCTTCAGAAGAAGAAATCACTGACACTAAGTTCCTCTTATTGGACCCCATGGCAGGAACTGGGGTGCAGGACCTGCTCATCTTCCTGGGCAAGGGGTCTTGAGTCCCATACACCTATTTCTCCCTCCACTGCTAAGGGTCTCTGGCTGCTCTTGAGTCGAAGACAGATTCTTGTCCTGTTTGCTGCCCTCTGTAGCCTGTGAGCAGAACCAGAAGGGACACTCTCACAGCCTGTTCGCCACGGAATCCAGGAGGCAGGTCCATTTTGGTGAGTTTGAGATCCTGAGAGAGCATGATTAAGAATCATGTGATCAATAATCTTACATGGGTTTCATTGAGATCTGTCTCGTTTCCGTGTTATTCATTTTTAAAATTGATTGATCCTGTGTATAGTGTAGGTGCAAAACTAAGTAAAAAATAAATACATACTACATATATATACATTGATTTTAAAAATATGGTCTTCTGATCCTTCTCCACCAATCTCAAATAAAGAATTCTTTTCTACATGGATTTCTAAATTGTGGGGCATGGAATCTCAGCTGTTCAGGCACATGCAGGCTGCATTCTGCAGGGTCCAGCCCCTGAGACAGCTCCTGTGGGTCCCACCAGTCTGCCAGAGGCTAGCAGCACTATCCAGCCCAGCTCACCAAAAGGGAATGGCATGGCCCAGAGACTCCTGCATTGGGCAGGTGGCAGGGGGCAGGGAAACTGGTCCACAGCCTGCACTGCAGTGTGGGGCTTAGCCCTGGAAGCCTGCCCCATGCCTAGCAGGGGGTCGGTCCCTGCTCAACCTATTCTAGACTACTGCCCTGCTCAGCCTCTGCCCTGCCCAACCTATTCTAGACTACTGATGTTTAAATCTCCCAAGAGTCCCCATCCCTAGGTCTTTCCATCCCAATAATAGATTTAGAAAAATGGGAGTTGGGAAGGGAAGATGAAAGTCTACTGCTTCAGTGGGCAGCCCTTGGGTTTCATTACCTGATTTGGGTACATGTTTTTTCCAAACTGGCAAATGTGGACACCACAGAATGCAGTCAGATGGCAGAAAGATGATCCCAACTCCATACAAATGAAAAAATGGAACCAAAGTTCCAGGGCTCACTAAAATGCAGAAGAAACCAAACAAAATTCTTCATCATCTGAAGCTCACAGCCACCTCAGGCACCTGAGCAAAGAATGTGCTCTCCTGACTAGAGTTTAGGCCCACATCACAAAGCATCCTGAGCTCTGGGAGGGCACGAAGGAGGCAGGTGAACCCTTCCCACCATCCAGCCCAGTGAATCTCCAAGCCCACTGGGCCACCAGATTCTCACATCATTTGTCACTGGGGAAATGAAACTCAAAACCATAATGAGATAGCACTTCACACCTACTAGGATGCCTGTAATGTTTTTAATGGAAAATAACAAGTGTTGGCAAGGATGTGGAGAAATTGGAACTCTTGTATATTGCTGGTGGGAATGGAAAATGGTGCAGCCGCTGTGGCAAACGGCATGGAGTTTCCTCAAAAAGTTAAACATAGAATTACCATATGGCCCTGCATTTCCATGCCTAGGTATAATCCCGAAAGCATTGAAAATAGGGACTCAAACAGATACTTGCATGCCAGTGTTAATAGCAGTATTATTCATAACAGCCAAAAGGGGTAAACAACCCAAGTGTCCAGCAACAGATGAAGGAGTGGGGAGTGCATCAAATGTGGTGTATACATACAATGGATTGTTATTCAGCCATAAAAAGAATGAAGTCCTGATACACACAACCACATGGATGAATGCTGAAAAAATGATGCTAAGTGAAACAAGCTAGTCACAAAAGGCCACATGTTGTGTGATTCCATTTATACAAAACAGCAAATGCCTTAGTCTGTTATGTGTTGCTATAAAGGAATCCCTGAGGCTAGGTAATTTATAAAGAAAAGAGATTTGCTTGGCTCACAGTTCTGCAGCCTGTATAGGAAGCATGGCACCAACATCTGCTTCTGGTGAGGCCTCAAGGAGCTTCCACTCGTGGCAGAAGGGGAAGGGAAGCCAGTGTGCACAGAGGTCACAGGGCAAGACTGGAGGCAAGAGAGAGAGGGAGGAGGTGCCAGGCTCTTTTTAACAACCAGCTCTCCCAGGAACTAGTAGAACAAGAGCTCACTCACCCTGAGGGAAAGCACTAATCTATTCATGAGGAATCCACCCCCATAACCCAGATACCTCCCATTAGGCCCCATCGCCAACACTGGGGATAAATCTCAACGTGAGATTTTTAAGGGGTCAAACATGCAAACTACAGCATTCTCCCCTATTGAATGCTACCAAACATTTAAAGAAGGATTAAAGCCTATCCATTCCCCACCAGGTGGCTGTCTCCACAACATGGCTTTTTCCCCTTGAAGACCATCAGAAGAGCCTGTATCTCCGCATCTGCGGAAATCGTCTTTGCCATGTAATGTGCCATAACCATGGGAGTGACATCGCATCACATCCCAGGGCCACCGCTGAGGAGGAGGGTGAGGATCTTGACCCTTATCTTAGAATTCTGCCCTGCCTGGCTTCCACTTGTCCTCTTCTAAATCTATCTTAACTCATTCCTTTGGTGCCTGTTTTTACTGCCTTAATTTTGGCAATAAAGGGAGGAATAAAAACACATCTTTTTTTTCTTTTTTTGAATTCTCATTACATCCACACACAAGAAATGTGTCACATGAAGGAAGTGTATTTAGAATACCAGTTTTCCTATTTGGTTCATGATATTTTTCCAGGGTAAAATTGCCAACAGAATTTGGAAGCCCAAAGCAGGACATGATATAAATTAATGCTGGTGATCTGTAAATTATATTTTATTTCATAAAATGGTAAATTTTCCCCTTTAGTCTGGTCAATTTTATGCAATTTGGCATCACATTTTATAAACGTATTACCCTTTTGAACATTTACTGAACTGAATGCACAAAGAGAATTATAAAAGAAAATCTGGAAGCACTTGTTGGTTTTATTTTAAGGTTGGAAAAGAATATAAAATGGAATGCATGTATTAATTTTGGCATGGATATATTCATTTCCTGTGGCTGCTGTAACAAATTAGCACAAACTTGGTGGCTGAAGACAACAAATATTTATTCTGTCACAGTTCAGAGGCCAGGAGTCCTAAACCTGCCTCACTGGGCCGGAATCAAGGTGTCAGCAGGGCCGCGCTCCCTCTGCAGGCTCCGGGAGACCCCAATCCTCGCCTCCTCCAGTTTCTAGTGGCTGCTGGCCACCTCCACCCTCTGCCTCCGTGGTCACATGGCCACCTCCTCTTCTGTCTGTAGTAAAATCTCCCTCTGCCTCCCTCTGATAAAGACACATGTGATTGCATTTAGGACCACCTGGGTCATCTATCATAATCCCCCACTTCTCAAGACCTTAATTTAAATCACATCTGCAAAGATCCTTTCTCTGTGTCAGGGAACTGTCCTAGGTTCCAGGGGTGAGGGCCTGGATAATTCAGGGGCCGTGATTCCACCCACTGCAATGTGTCTTCTCTGACCCTGCTTGAGTGTGCTGGCAAGGACTGCTGCCTTGTCATCCATTCGTATTAGTGTCTGCAGCATTTGGCAATATGGTGTTTCTATTGAGAGAAAGTCATAATCAAGTAAAATTCTTTTTTTTTTCCTTTGCCTGAGAGAGAAAAATCTCCATTCCACTATTCTCCCAGATCAGCTGCTTTTGGAAGGCAGGGAACAAGGCAGCATCAGTGAATTCCACAAGCACTGACCCGTTGCCACATTCCTTTGATATAAAGTAGCTTCCTGAGTCAGAGCAATTCTGAGTGGGACACCATGATGGTGAAAAGGTCTGTGGTTAACAGATCATACTTCCATGGAAGGATTGCGGGCAGAGAAGATAAGCCCATATTCAGAGTAAGTGCCTCTTCCAGGGAGAACATCTTGCTGCCCTCTTCATCCTGGAAGTGATCAAATGCAATCAGTCTGCCACGGGGATCCTGGGAAAAGGTGTCACCTCAGGCTTTTCCTTGGCTTGTAGACAGCCATCTTCTCCCTGTGTCCTCACATGGTTGACCCTCTGTGCACACCTTCATTCTAATCTCTTCTTATAAGGACATCAGTCCGATTGAATTAGGACCACCCTCATCACCTCACTCAACTTTAATTACCTGTTTAAAGATCCCATCTTCAAATGCAGTCACATTCTGAGGCACCAGGGTTAGGGCTTCAACATATGAATTGCGGGGACACAGCCCATAGCATGAGGAAAACAGCTCCCTTGCATTTGGTGGGCGAGCACAGGAGGAGCCAGGGGTGGAAAAGTCCTTTGATAGGTGAGGGATGATTCGGATGAAAGGGACAGAAAATGCAATTTAGAAAGTGGAGTTTGGGTACAGCCTCATCACGGGAGCTGCTCTGCGTTCTCGGGTCATGCAGGCTGGCATCTAATGCCAACTTTCCCCTGTCCATCAGCGCCTGTAGCCTCCACGTCCTCCTCACCCATGGTGGCCTCCACGGACCCCACTCAGCCCCTTCCATCAGCACCACCTGCTCCCCATCTATCACTTCTTCCTGGGAGAGCCCCACTCTTGGTCTTTTCTAAGCCTGCTTCATAGTAAGTGGCTGAAACCTGTGGGATAAGCTCCCATTAGCTTGTAGATTCTGCTGCCATAAATGTATGGTCTGACCATTGGTCAACTCCAACACTGTGTGGGAACTGTCCATCCATCCGTGCGTCCATCCGCCCATCTGTCTGTCCATTCATCCATTACAGATAATTTGAAAAGTGCCTTCCTTATGAGCTAGAATGTCTGTGCACAAAACAGACAAAGTTGGCTGCTTCTTGGAGCTTACATCAGAGATCTCCAAACTTTTTCTATAAATGGTGAGATATTAAATATTTTAGGCTTTGTAGGCCATATGGTCTCTGTCACAACTACTCAATTCTGCCATGGTTTTGTAAAAGCAGCCATCAACAATTCATGAACAATTCATGAAATGAGTGTGGTTCTGTGCCAAAGGACATTGGGATTTCATTCCACGTTCATGCATCATGAATACTATGCTTCATTAATAGAGCACAAAGGAAGCCTTCCTTTGACCCTAAAGAACCATGTTATCTGCACAGTACAATTGCTTTGATTCCTCCTGTTTTTGTCTTCATGCTGCCATCGTGGGTACCTAGCACACTGTCAAATAAGGCTTTATTGCCTCTTAGCTCACGTAACAAAAATACTTCTGTTTTGTAAGTTCCCTCGTTTAAAGGGAAACATGCTTCATCTGATTTAGATATATCAGTCTATTCCAACTTAATTTGGAGTCTTAAAAATTAAGGATGGCCAGGCGTGGTGGCTCACGCCTATAATCCCAGCACTTTGGGAGGCCTAGGTGGGAGAATTGCTTGAGGTCAGGAGTTCAAGACCTGCCTGGGCAACACAGCGAGACCCTGTCTCTAAAAAAAAATTAAGGATGCATTGTTTGAACATATACCTTACTATTTTAGAGATGAATGTTTTATTTTTGTGTCGTAGATACTGATGAATAGATGTTTAATTGTTGCCAGAGTTCAATAAACAGCCCATGTTACTGGTGGTGGTGTCAGTTGTTGCAACTAGTTTAGACACTATTTAATCACTTATCTTCCAAATGTCATTCTCTTTGCTTAGCAAATGTATTTCTGTGAATGTACAATGAGTAAATAATGAAACACAAAGGAAAAAAGACAAGCTTAAAATTGGAATATCATTAAAATATTCATTCTGTATTGTTATTTACTACCTAACCTGACCCCACTGGGACTTTCGATAAACATGATTTTAAGTGAATTTTGGTGATTTTTCCACCCTAATTTGAATAACTTCACTGTGTCCTCTGATATCTCATTGCTGGAAAGGATATTTGGCCAACTGAGTGCTGGTAAAAACAAGACTTCACTGTATTCATCAAGGATGTGTGGGCCTGCTACAGATCCTGGAGTCATGTCAATTTAGCAAACGCACAAGAGCCAGACACCAGTGCCTGGAGTTGAGTCCCTTACGGTGTTCCCCAGATGAAGCAATACATCCTGATGACTAGTGTTTTCCTGGCCTCCACGGGTTCCAGTTGGAATCCCTTGCCTAGACACATTCCAGGAAAATGGCTTCAGGGTACAATTATCATGAAAGTTTCCCCTTAAACCCAAAACAAGCAAGAATAAAATAAATAAAAATATGGAAAGGTTGATGTATGTGCTTAGTCAAACAGTCAAAGAGCAGGAAGTATTCTATTCCCATATTAGTTTTGAGATTCACATTGTTTGGCCCTTTATATCACTTGAACATCATGAAAATGACAGTATTGAGCCCAGAATCTAAGACTTACAATTAATAGTGGGATTCACTAATGGCTCCTTTTGGGGGCATGACTTCCTGCCGCCATTTTCTGAGCAGAATGCCTTCATTGCAAGCCCTCGCAGAAAATCCCTTTTCAAAGGCAGACGATGCAACATGTGCCACATCCCAACATAGGTCAGCTGACTTAGGACTCGAAATGCTTTCATGGATTCTGTCCATGTCAGCACCAGGATTTTCACCGCTGAAACCAGTTCAGGCAAACACACACACACAGAGGCCACACAGGGAAAAACACATAGTGGAACACACATACACACATGACACAGGATGGCTTCGGGGCCAGTTAACCCAAACTCTCCCGGGACTCACTTGTGGCTCCAAGTTTTCTGTTACCCCAGGAAACAATAAAAGTGGCTCTAGCTCCCTTTTTCCAGTCACCCGCCCCATGTTCTCCAATGCGGACCCTGTTCCTCCCTTAGCATGAATGTTCTGGAAACAGATGTGACTCCACGCCCCAGCTCGCCTGCATGTCCCTGCACCTTCATTTCCCAGGCATGGCCATGGGAAAAAGTGCGGGCCACAGCTGGTTCAGAGCAAGGGGGATGGGACGCTGATGGGAGCTGCCCAGGCCTGGGACTGGGCTCTGATTTTTGTCCTTTTTAAATGGACAGTCCTGCTTCTTGTCCATAGCTCTTTGCTGGTCAATCTCCCCAACGCCCATTAGCAGAAAGGCAGGGGCTTTTGATTTGGGTCATTTCAGCCAAGGGCCAGCCAGTGTCTTCCAGGGGCTGGCGAGGGCGTGGGGTGCAGAATCACTACGGATGCGCCTGCTATGTAACTCAGGGTAAAGTGTAACTTGGAAATGAAAATATTCTGTAAGTCAGGAGTTATTTCCGGTCAGTAAAAAAATTCAGTAAATAGTTTTGCACATTTGAATGAAAATACAGTCAATATGAGCCATCCTTCATAATCCATGTGGATGGTCTTCCTCAGGCAAGCTCAAAGTTTCCTATTTTCTCTGTCCTCCTCCTCCCCGTTCCCCAGCACACACCCTACTCCAGATGATATGCACTGACAGGCCTTTTGAAACCCTTTACTGCCTTTACACGGCCCACACCACCTGGACAGCACCCTTTTCCCAACTCAGAAAATGGCCCGGGGTGCACAGCAGCCCAGCCTGCCTGCCTTAGTCCCTGCCAGGAGGGATTTCTGCAGCCACTTGTGCAGCAGTGGCCGGCCCAGCAGCAGGGAAGTGTGGAGCAGGGCACTGAGCGAGAGGAGTCGTCTCTGACTCCAAAGAGGGCGTAAGTCAATGCCAGCACCATAGATCCAAGATCTAGAAGAATGCCCCAGAAAATCAGGGCAGGCTGTTCATGTACTCGCAAGCCAAGACATCTGTCTGCATTTCTGTCTGTGTCCACCTGAGAGCTACCCTGAGCTCCATCCATCCACTTACACAACTTTCTATCTTTACAGCATCTTTCTGTCTACCTGTTGCTGTTAGTGGATATTTGTCTCTGTCTCCACTTTCTGCCTGTCTGTTAGTCCACGTCTGTCTCTCTGCCTGTCTTTCTGCCTCATCCAACCATCTCTTTTTATCTGTGTGTCAATCTTCCTACCAATTTGCCTCTGTCATTCCCAATGCCTTCCACCCCCGTGCCCTCTCCCAACCTCGCCTTGCCACATCCTCAGTGTCTAGGTGTCTGGTGTCTTTAATCTCTCAGTCACTTGACTCCATCCACAGCTGGTGACTCGCCAGTCTCAACCCACAGACCCAACCTCTCCTCCAATGTGTCTGAAATCCAGACAGGCTGGTGGCTCAACATACAAGGTTTTTGTGGCAACTTCTTTTTCTTTCCCCACTTTAAGAAAAATTTAAGGTGTAATGTACCTATACTCATCCTTTGCTGTGCACCGTCCTGTGAGTTTTGACAAAGTGCACATATCCGTGTAGCCATGATCAAGACACCAAGCCCCAAAACTGCCTCCTGTCCCTCGTGGTAACCACGCCTCCACCCTCAGCCCCTGGCAGCTACAGATGTGTTCTCCATCCCCTACTCTATTCACAGCTTCCATGGACACACGTGGGACCCACAGCAGGAAGTGGCGGGGCCTGGCTCCTTCCACTCAGCCGCTTCCTTTGGGACACATTTGTGGTGCCAGGTGTCAATATCCTCCTTTCTCCCTGCTCGGGACGCTTCCATCTCGGGGTGGGCCATGGCTTGCTTGTCCCCTCATCAGGTGAGGCACATGTAGGCCACTTCCTTGTTTGGGTGATTACTAGTAACACTGCTATAAACATCCACTTACAAGTTTTTGTGTGAACATGAGTCTCATTTCTCTTGAGTAGTACCTAGTTGACAAAAGGTGGGATCGTCTGACAAGTGTACGTTTAACTTTATCAAGAAACTGCAAACCAACCTCCAAAGTGGCTGTGCCTTTGTTTGCATTTTAAAGCATCCAGAGAGGCCATCACTCTCCGCAAGCTTCTCCTCCTTAGTCCTCCCCATCTGCCTGGCTGCTCCCACCCAAGTCCACAGACCAGCCTGGATGCCGCGATGTTTCCTCGGGCCCCTTTTTGGGCTGCACACTCAGCCCAGTCCCAGGGCCCTCCTCCCTGGCCTGCTTCCTACATGGCAACAGGAATGATCCTGAAAAGTCAAACATGTCAGGGGTCTTTCTTGCTTCTATCACACTTGGAGTCAGCAGATCCCAGCCCCAGCCCCAGCCTATTCCTCCTCCCCGGCTCTAACTGGCCCAGCCCCACTGGCCTTCCCTTTCTCCTCCAGCCACAGAGCACCAGTCCAGGGTTGCCCCACCTGGGATGCTTGTACCCCAGATCATGGCAGCTAGAGAGGAAAGCTGGTGCTCAGGCAGTGCCCATGTGCCAGGTGAAGCCACAGGCGTTTGCCTACTTCTTACCCGCGGCTTTATGATCATCAGCCCCATTTTACAGAGGAGAGAACAGGCACAGAGAAGTTAGTGCAGCCAAGGTCTTCAGAGTCCTCAGATGTCCTCTCTGGGTGGCTCCAGGACTGGCATAGGGTCATGCCTAAGAGGACCCCTAGCTTTCATTCCCTGCTATTCACTTGTCCATGGCATTCATAGTGTTTACGGCTTCTGGGCTAAGCGCAAAGGGAGTGCCCTCTAACAGCCATGAAGTGAAAGCCACGACCCACCATTGCAGCCTCCAAACAAGTGCAGGGCGAAGACCCTTGAACTGTCCTGGTGTTCCGTAGGGAGCACCCCATCCTCCCTCAGGTCGAGCAGACTTGGGGGCTGGGGGTTGGGGCGGGCAAGAGTGCTCTGACTCTGAGATTCAGCACTGGGTTCAAGAAATTACTCTGGCCCAGCCCAGCCCCTGTGGCCTGAACTCCCTCAGGGTCTGGGAATAAGCCTCAGGGCACGTGCACTGGGAAATGAGAAGCATTCAATCTCAACTTCATCTCACTCTCAGAGAAGTTTTGCGATTTCTTCCTTGACAGACAAGGGTGAGCAGTGCCCAGTGCCTACTATCCTGTCGCCCACAGATCAGGAGGCATTCCCATGCCCTGTGACATTGCTGGCCCCCTTGGGAGGGGCTGTGCTCACCAGCCAGGGAGGCAGAGGCCATTAGCAGGTCCGTGAGGAAATAGAGCCATTGGTATACCACCAATGTATCTGTTCATATTTTGATAACTGCATTTCCATAAAACAGATTTCCTTTGAAACTCAATGTGTTTTATTTTTTGCCTTTCGAAATGTTATTCTGACAGCACAGTGGATCCTGGTCGGTGGGTCCCTAATTTGAGGCTGGGGTTGCTTGTGTGGCCCACCCCCCAGCACCTCTGGCATTAGCTGTGCAGAGGAGCCCCTGGGACCCCTTGTGGACCCTATCCCTTCCTGCTCCTGGTCACTGGTGGTTACCACCCTACCCTGCCCTGCAGCAGGGTCCCAGGCACCCCAGGGACAGGCCCACACTGCACCAACTCTGGCTTGAAGGTCCTTTTACATCTTGAAGCAGCTAAGGATTTACTGAGTGCCTACTGGGTGCCAGTGCTTGCAGTTCTTGGGGCTGGGACCCAGCTATGAACAAAGCAGAACAAAAAGTCCTGCTCCCAAGGGCTGACATTCTGGGTTGGGCAATGCAGCCACGCTGTGGCTATGGTGGAGGCCGGGGAGGAGCTGGGAACAAGACTGAAGCTGGGCCCTGCACAGAGTCCTTGGGCTCTCGGTGACCCGCCTACCCCAGCCAAGCATCTTCCTTCTGCTGTCTCCCACTGCAAGGCCTTTGGTTGTGCCTGTCCCTCTCCCTGGGAAGCACTTCCCTGTGTGCCTGGCAAACACCCACTCATCCCGCAGATCCCAGAGGAGGTGTCACTTCCTGTGGGAGGTCCCCGGTCCCTCCAGCCAGGCCTCCGTGCCTCCGGACGCAGCCCCTGCATGTGTCCCGCTGGATCCCGGGACCACGCTGCTCTGTAGCTCCTTGCTGCAGTGGACATGGTTGGGGCCACCCAGATCCGGTTCCTGGGAGGAGTGCCCATCTCCCTGCCACCCTCCTCTGGAGAATAGTCCTGGATCCATAGGAGCCACCTCCTCTCCCAGGGTGGCTGCAGGCAAGGAGTGACTGATGAGCGCAACAGCCGCCACCGCAGCCCCACCCCCCTCACCTAAGGAGGACAACGCCTTGCCCCTCTTCACACTCCTAGGAGTGCCAGACAGTGATGGGCTCCAGTGGCACCCACATCCCTCCTCAGCTCCTTCCTGCTTGGGCTGCTCCCCTCTCCCCTATCCTTCCCTGCACCAGAATCCCCACTTGTAGAGGACTCAGGCCCAGACTCTTGTTCACCATCTGCTGGGCCTGGCTTCCTTCCCACCTGGCCCCTGATGCTCACAGTGGCAGCTCATAAACACTTGTTTGAAGGAATGAATGGAGCTCTTGTTCCATAGAAGGCAACTGAGGCCCAGAGTTGGCCAGTCATAAACACTTAAGGGCAGAGTCCAGAAGCCAGGCCATCCAGGTCCCAGTCCAGCTGTGGGTGAAAGGGGAGCCGCCTTCTATGTTTTCTTGGCAGCACCGAGGAGGAAAGCGGGTGGAGTACCCAGAGCCTTCCTTGGGCTCAAATCGCCTTCAGCACAAAAGCCCTTGTCCGCTCTGTTCCTGGTTCCCAGTTCCAGTTACCCCAGGCTGGGCTGCTCTCCCCTGGGTGTGGCCGGTGGCTGGGCCCCATCCTGTCTGGCTCAGCAAAAAGGGGGCCTCAGGTGGCAAGACCTGTAGAGCCCTCTGTGTGGGAGAGACGCCTGCAGGGCCCACACCCCCCATCCAAGCACACATGGAGCTCCTCCATGCCCTGCTCCTGGCGCTGGGCACCAGCGGGGACCGAGACGGCAGTCCCTGCCCCGCAGAGCTCGCAGCCTGGTGAGGACAGCAGACTGCAAGCCTGGGGGTGACCGCTGCCTCCAGAGGGAGCATCTGCCATCCCTCGCACTGGGTCCGGAAAGGCCTAGACTCGAAAATTGAGGAGCTGGGTCTGCTAAGACCTGAGGGGAAAGTGTCAGGCAGAGGGAAGGCACGCACAAAGGTCCTGGGGTGGGGGGACATGTGGAATGTCAGGGAAACCAAGGGACAGGGTGCCTGCAGCAGAGGGGCAGGAGCAGGAGTGAGAGCAGGGAAGGTTGGGCTGCACGGGGCGGGCTTGCAGAGGTGAAGCGGGCAAGGAGCAGCTGGGGTTTTATTGCCAGTGTTAAGGAGAAGCCAGGGAGGGTTTCAGGCAGGGAACTGCAAGGCCTGATTCTGGTTGTAAGAAGACCACTCTGGTGCCGGGTGGAGAGTGGGCTGAAGGGGGTCCGATGTGTCCTTGGGGCCCCCACTGCTGTTGGGGAGCACACAGGCAGCTCTGATCTGGGCTGTGATTCCTCCCAAGTTGTGGGGGTCCTCCCTGCAGACCGGTTTTAGGAAGGGAAAAGTGGAGATGAGTCCAGGGCAGGCCCCAGCTGGGGCACCCCTCCACTGGCAGAGACCGCAGCCCAGCCCTGGTCACCAGCAGGCAGAGGCCCTGAGGTGTCCAGTGCCCAGCAGGGTGGCAGCATCTGGGTCAACTGACTGAAGGGCCCAGGGCCTGGCTTAGATCCCAGCTTGAGGAACTACCCTGTGGGGGCCTCGAGCAAGTCCCTTAGCTTCCCTCGACCAACCTCCTCTAAAATAGGTTAGCAGTGCCTCTGAGGCCTGCTGACACGGGCCAGCCCAAGATCAAGGGTGGGGCCTGACAGACCTCAAACATCAAGCTCGCAGGCGCTCAGTGAACGCTCACAAGCTCTCCACCCCCATCCCAGCTCTACCTGTTTTAAAGCAGATTCTGGATTGGGCTCACATCATCCCTGGAGAGGCAGGGAAGTGCATGGAAGTCACGCAGACCTGGGGTTAGGCCTGGGCTATGTGTTCCTTGCTGTGACCTTGAGCCAGAGCAGCACCTCCGGGTGCCCCTCAGGAGGGCGGGCAGTGCCAGTGCAATCTGACTTAGCAGAAGGCAGGCACTGAGGAGCACTCACTATGTCAGGGTTCTTTCTCCTCCTTTCCAACAAACCTGTGAGCTGGCCATTCTTATGAACACCCCCTTTTTGCAGATCAGGAGACCGAGGCTGGAGGGGGAAAGGAATTCACAGGAGGTCCCCCAGCAAATGAGTGGCCTGCATTCTGACCCAGGGCCCTTTGCGGCATTAGTACAGCCAGGACAGCGCACCTGGAGACTCTACGATAAGCATTTGTTGAGCACCAACTGGGGCCAGGGCCTCATGCCTACCAGTCAGCGCCATGGGAATGGCCCGGAGGGCTTGAGTGAAGACAGATGCTACCGTGTTTTGGCCCCAGTTGGCCTTGATCCTGCTACTGGGGTCCCAGGAGGGCCCCAGAGTCAGAAAGGAGGTCCCCACCAAACCAAGCCACCTCCAGGGTCCCCGGGTCACCCCAAGTCCAACCCAAGGGAGCTCCCACTGGGAAGCCTTCATGACCCCCTAGGCCCTGGCACCCAAGCCCCTGCTCCACATTCTGCCATGCACGGCACCATCACCCAGGAATGACTCAGGCAGGGGATTCTTATCCGGGGTTGTCTGGAATCATCATCGAAATCCTGCAGAAAGAGGGTGCCCTGAGTCCTTTGCTGATGCAGAGGAGTGGAGAACTCTCCACTCACATAGTTTGGGAAGGGAAGGAATTCTCTCCCCACAAGTCCCTGCTGAAGACCTTGGAGATCTGGGGCTGAGCCTCAAGGTACAGATGAAAGTCTAGTTTCCCAAAACTGGGCCGTGTGTGTTCCCTCACCCCACTCCAGGCTTGTCTCGTCACCTCAGTGGAGACATTGGCACGCTCTGAAACTCCTCCTCAGCCCCTGCCTGCTACAAGCTGGAGCAGGGCTTCCCCTCCTGGGAAAGGAGTTGCCTGTCTCAGGTCAGCCTCCCCCAGCTGGGGAGGGCGCTGCTGCAACAGCAGGCACCCAGCACATCCTTGCAGAAGGAAGGGAAGGCAGGAGGCTCGGCCCTGCCGCCTGGGATGGGTGACATCATGGGACAAGCCCTGTGTGCTTGCTGGAGACCACTGGGAGCTGCAAGGAGGCTGAGTTCTGTTCCATCTCCCAACAGCTGCCACCATGCCCCACCCTCACCCATGAGGAAGCCCCAGGAAACCCCCACCCAAGGCGGAGGCTGAGGAAGCCGGGCGGACGCCCAGCACGCTGTGGAGCCATGCAGGGGAACTTCAGAAAACACATCTCAACACAGGGGACCTCAAAGAGATCAAAATGCATTTAATGTGGTCTAGTCTCATCGCCTACGTCTTTAGATACTGCTATGTATTGAAAATAACATGAAAACTCTCCAGTTTCACCATTTAAAATAATTTGACATTCTATGCCCTCACGCAGGGCAGACACCCCGTACAGGGGCCTCCCAACGGTGGCTCCTCCCCGCCCCCCAGGACCCTCTGGGTGGGGACCACGCAGCACAGCACCAGCAGAGGCTCAGGGGGTGGCCACCGTGCTCTGAGCAGCAGGCATAGGCTGCACACAGACACACACTCAAGTACACGGTTTCACATGGGCACACACACAGCCTCCTACACACGAGCCGGACGCACACGCTCACCTCCAGATGTCTCATCCTGGAACACAAGCTCCACTCAGGAGCAGACGTGCATAATCAGGGCAGAGGGTCGGGGACTGTGGGGTTCACCTGTGCCAGTGCCCAACCTGATGGGTGGGTGCCCTCCCTCACAGGAAACTTGTACACGGAAACACCTGGGGGTAGACAGACACATAACCGCCTGCATACACACACACACACACACACACACACACACACACGTATAGATCACGTATCTGTATTACTAACCCAGTCATACACATGAAGAGCCGAGTGTGCATGTGTGCACCACACATGTATGCATGCAGGCTCACACAGGCACACGCCTCCACACACACACTCCCCAGGGGCCAAGTCTTCCTCGCTCCTGGCTCATCCCATCCGCCCTCCCGCTTCAAGTGCACTAAAGAGGGAGACTATTTTGGTCTTTAGCACAAGCAATAAATAAATAAATAAATACGAGGGAAGGAAGAAAGAGGGCAGGAGAATCAAGCATCTGCCGCCTTTGGGGAGATGAGGCGCTGGGGCTGCTCTCCCGCAGGGTGGGGGCTGGGAGGTAAGAGCACAGACCTCCAAGAGGGCCAGGAGGTGGGCCTGGGGTCCTCGGACTCAGCTCTGGGTCGGGGGAGTAGAAGGCTGTCTCACTGGCCCTGGAAGGGCACAGGCCCCTACACCAGCACCAAGTGACCAGGGTCACCACTGTCCCTCAGCATGGCCATCAGGGAGGCGAAGTGTCAAGCTCTCCCCTGCCAACTTCACCCCAGTACCCAGGGCTAAGGCTGAGAAGGCCCCTAAGGCTTCGGGGCTAGGCCTGGGAGCAGGAACCAGCTGAGGCACCCCTGGCAGACCCCGAGAGGAAAGAGCTGCCTCGGCGGAATCTTCTATGCCAGAAATGAGTGTGGGGCTGAAGCTGGGACAGGATGCTGAGTCGGGCCTACCCCAGGATGTAGGGGTCGGGTGTCTTGACTTCCATTGCCCCAGACCTCAGGGCTGAGTCTTCAGCTGCTAAGGAGGGGAGGAGGTGGAGGGAAGAGGCAGACACCCCCACCCCACGCCCCCAGCCCCTCTCTGTCTCCTGCACCCCACCCACTCACTGCATGACCCCCTCTGCTCTCTGCCTCAGCTTCCCCACTTGGGCCAGAGTCCTCGGTGCCTTCTGGCTCTGAGCTGTCTCGGGGTGCCTTCTGGCTCTGAGCTGTCTCGGGGTGCCTTCTGGCTCTGAGCTGTCTCGGGGGCAGAGTTGGAGCAGGAGACACATCCTTTCTGATTACTGGCTTCTGGAGAAGCCCGACTAGAAGAGAGCAGGTTTTCTCCGCAGCCCTGGGAAGGGCCTGGCTCTACCATGGACCTGACCCAACCAGCTGCCATGAACAAGATGGGGTGGCAGAGCCAGCAGTGACAACAAGGGGACCCCAAACCTCTTCCTGATGAGGGTGCCATAGTGCCTCAACCTGGGGGAGGGTGGTGGAGGAGCGGCCCTGGAAGACTCGGCAGGAATTCTGTTCCACGGCTGGTTTCTGATTCAGCTTTGAATGAGCGTGGCCCTCCCCAGTCATCCCAGTTGGCAGGAGGGGGTGGCGATTCCTCTCCTTTCCTAAGATCTTTCCTCTGCCATTCAGCGCTGACCAGGGCCTGGCTGTGCCCTGCCTGAACTCTGCTGTGCTGCTCCAGGTGAGGGAGGGACAGGATGTGGTCCTATGTCAGGCAGACCTGGCCCCTGCCACCTTCACAAGGCAGACAGAGGGGCTGGAGGAACTTCAGCAGTGGAGGTATGGGAGGGGTGGGGTGGGACAGGGTTGGGGGGAGATGAGCAAGCCCAGAAAGAACAGGACAACCCGGAGTCTCTAAGGCACGACTCACACTGTGGGCCCAGTGGGGACGGGGCTGCCAGCTTCCTCCTAGCCTGGGATCCCGACTTCCCTTCCCAAGGAGCCATCCCGGCCTATAGCTCCTAACCACCCCTCACTGTGGAATTGGGCGGAGGCCTGGACAGAAATGGAGAGAGAAGCAAAACAGGAAAATCGAGGGTGCGGGGAGGAACCCTCGATGGCAGGTCCCATGCCTGGCCCTGAGACACATCTCTAAGGTACAAAGGCAAACTCTAAAAGCTCAAACCAGTTTCTTCCCAGCCCCACCCACCACCCCAACGACAGTAGAAAGCTTTTATTACGATCATTAACATGGTCTTGATTTTTCTATCACAAACAGAGCCTAGCTGGCTCGTGAGCTCGATGAAGTGCGGTCCCAGAGCACCCTGCTTGCCCAGGGACTGTGGTGCCCACACACACGGGGAGAGGCCAGTCCCACCTCGGGGAACCCTCTGGAGCCTTCAGCCAGCTGCTGCATCCTGGCAGACCCATGGAATTCTAATTGTTCTTTTTGCCCCCTGTGAATTAAAAAAAAATTTTTTCAATTGCATGGTAATTTTTTTTTTTTGTAAACAGTCTCACCCAAGCTAAGGTCAAGAAAGCTGAAACCCGGTGTTTCTCCCCAAGTTAAAAACCAGCAAGGAGCACCGCAGCTAGCCAGCCTTGGACAGCAGAGGCTGGGCCCACCATCGAGCTGAGCTGCTTCCCCGCAGGCTGCAGCTCCATCTTCAGGCAGAAGCCCTGGCCCTCGTGGCCTGGCCCCCCAGGAGGCCACTTCTTTGCCCTGAGCCTGTGATAGCCTCTGAGGCCGGGGGCTGCCGCTCTGGCTGCCCCCTCTCCGGCCAAACTTCTGAGGCCGTTGCAAAGAAACATAAAACGACTAAAACGCTACTGAGTCTGCAACCCAGGGCACTGGGCCCGTTCTGCTCAAACCCGGGGCCCCTGAGCGACCGCGGGGCCTCTCCCCAGCCGGGGGTGGATGCTGCATGTCGGCCAAGGTTGGCTCAGATCTCTGACTCCCGTCTGTAGGGCCGCTGCTCCAGGACCCCGCCGCCAGCCTGGAGTCTGTCAAAGTCATGCCTGGCCTGGGGGCTGAGGCCGTCCCGGCTTCGGCCGTCCTGGTCTCCGTCCGCCTCATCCTCCTCGTCACGGCTCAGGAAGGCCAGCTCGTTCTCGTAGCAGAAGGAGTTGGCGCTGGGCAGCAGGAACTTGTTCTCTACCAGATCCTTCGCACTGCAGCGGGGCGTAGAGGGCACCTCATAGGTCTTGTGGAAGTGCGAGTAGTCAATCTTGTACTGGTTCTTCTCCTCGAAGAGCACGGGCTCAAAGCGGTGACCCCACAGGATCTCATTGGCCAGGTAGGAGCTGCGGGCCTGGGTGGTCATGGCTGTGGCCTCCACCATGCCTTCCAGGATGACCACGATCTCAAAGTCGTCCGTCTCCAGGTCCTGCCGGCTGATGCCGAAGAGCGGGCTGGCCTCGTCAATCTCATGCAAGATGGTGATGGGCGACACCAGAAAGATGCGGTCCAGGCCCTTGTCGAAGCCCACATCGATGTCGATCTGGTCCAGCGGGATGTACTCGCCCTCCTCGGTGACCCGCGGCTTGATGAGCTGCGCGCGCACATGGGCCTCCACAATGTGGCTCTTGCGCAGGTTACCCACACGCCACATGAGGCAGAGCTTGCCGTCACGCAGGGCCACCACGGCGTTGTGGCTGAACAGCAGCGTCTGTGCCCGCTTCTTGGGCCTTGCCATCTTGGCCATGATGGCACCAATCATGAAGGAGTCGATGATGCAGCCCACGATGGACTGGGCCACCACCATGAAGACGGCCACCGGGCACTCCTCCGTCACACAGCGCAGCCCGTAGCCGATGGTGGTCTGCGTCTCGATGGAGAAGAGGAAGGCCGCCATGAAGCCGTGCACCTGCATCACACAGGGTGTGCGGCCCCGGCCCTCAGCCGGCTCCAGGTCACCGTGTGCCACCGCGATGACCCAGAAGATGATGCCGAACAGCAGCCAGGAGGCAAGGAAGGCCAGCGAGAAGATGAGCAGCATGTACCGCCAGCGGATGTCCACACAGGTGGTGAACATGTCAGCCAGGTAGCGCTGTGACTTCTCGTCCATGTTGGCGAACTCAATGTTGCACTGGCCATTCTTCTTGACGAAGCGGTTGCGGCACCTGCGCCGCGTGTGCACCTTGCCGTTGCCGAAGCCGTTGGCGCCCGACATGGTGACCAGGTGCAGCCCGTCCTCCTCCGATGACACGATGCTGTAGGGGTTGGCCCGGCTGGCCGCGGTCATCCCGGGGGTTGGGGGACCCTGGCTCGCCCCCAGGCTAGCTCCAGGCAGGGCGGCTCCTGCAACAGAGACGACAGCATGTCTGGCTGGGCTGGTGGCTCCGGGCTCCTCTACCCCCATCCCAGGGCCCCCAGACGTGACTGGAGGACGCTTCCACCCTGATTGACCCACGATCGTGCTCTGGTCTTGCCCAAGCCAGCTCCCCACTCCGCCTTCCCAGTGCGAATGGCCACCCCCTTCGGGCCCCCAGCAGCTCCAGCCAAAAACCTCAGCTCCACACCTCACTCCCACACTGAGGGCTCTGAAGAGTCTATTTAGGATCCGACCCCTTCTCCCACCCTCAAGGCCTGAATCTAACAGTGCCTGCCCAGCCAGTTCGGGGCACAACTTGCCAGCCTCTCTGCCTCTGCCCATGGCCCCCCAGTCTCCATGGCAGCCACAGAGGGCCTGTGGAAGCTGAGTCGGTGCCTATCCCTCCCCTGCTCAATGCCAGAGGCCCCCCAGGACATGCAGGACCTGCACAGGGAAGCTCCTGACCCCTCGGACCTCACCTCCCAGCCTCCTCCAGCGGACTCCCCTTCCGGCCACAGCCCCTGGCCCCAGGCTGTCCCTCAAACCCACCCTGGACACCCTCCCGCAAGACATCCTGCCACTGCCTCGCCACCTTGGCACCAGAGGCCTCCTTGTGCCCCAGGAAGACCCATGTCCCATCCCTGCTATATCCACAGCACTGCCCCTTCTAAGGGCACAATGGCGGCAGCAATAACAATAACGTAGCCAGGGGCACTCAACCATCAACCCCACCCTGAGACCACCACTCCCTAAGGGTAGCACATTTTCTTTTTTTCTTTTCTTTCTTTTTTTCTTTTTTAGACAGAATCTTCCTCTCGTCACCTAGGCTGGAATGCAATGGTGCGATTTCAGCTCACTGCCATCTCCGCCTCCTGGGTTCAAGCGATTCTCCTGCCTCAGCTTCCTGAGCAGCTGGGATTATAGGTGCCCGCCACCACATCCAGCTAACTTTTGTATTTTAAGTAGAGACGGGGTTTCACCATGTTGGCCAGGCTGGTCTCAAACTCTTGACCTCAGGTGATCCACCTGCCTCGGCCTCCTGAAGTGCTGGGATTACAGGCGTGAGACGTTTTCTCTTTTGCTTCTTGTTGTCCTTCCCAGGGCCTAGAATGCGGCCTGCCACCCCTGTCGCCACCCACTTTGAACACCCCAAGCTGGGTCCCACCACCCTCCTGACACCCACATGCCCCACTCTACAGTGTCCACCCACATGCCATGCTTGCAGCTTCTTGGTCACCAGCAGTGCCAAAGAGGGTAAGATCTGGCACCCAGACATGGGCTGCTCCCTGGCTGACCTCAGCCGAGGGCCCTCCCCAGCCCCTGCTTCCCGCATCTCTAAGGAAGATTGCAAGGCTGCTACCCTAGCACCTGGGCAGTGCTCAGGGGTGTCACCTGTTCCCAGCACCACCCTCAGCTCACTGCAGGCAGCACCTGGCTCCAGGCCAGCCTACTGCACATTCAGGCACCCCAGGACAGGCCCCGCAGCAGGGCATCCATGCCAGCCAGAACAAAGCCTGCTCTCAGCCACTGACGTGCCCACCCCCGGGACACACAGGCTGTGCTGCCCCCACTAAAGGCCCCACACTGGCCTGTCAGTGACAGGCTAGGGCATCTGCAAGCTAGGGGCTATGGCACCGCCTGGCCCACAGCCACATCTGGATGGCAGCCTGCCTTGGCTGGGCTAGGCTGGAAGCAGGGAGACCTGGGCCTTCCAGCATTAGCCCCGACGGAGGAGCTGGACAGGCCCACCCCTCCCCGCCCACAGGGACCCAGCACCCCCAGTCCCAGTCCAGTCACACCATAACCTCAGAGCTAGACAAAGCCTTCTCCCTTAGCACACCTGCAGCCACATTACTCAGTTACGAAGACACTGAGGCCCCAAGAGAACATCCTGGGGGGATGGCACCACTGTGAACCAGGCGCTGCACACAGCCTTCTGCAGGCCTCTCAAGCCCTCCAGGGAGGGGTGGGCCACCCTGCTTTACAAACAAGGACCTGGAGGCCCAGAAGCCAGAATGGACTTGTCCCAGTCCCATAGGCAGGAGGCAGCAATGCCAGGACTCAGCCCCGGTCTGTGTGACCCAGCTTCTGGCCACGTCCACACTAGTCTGGGCCTCGGAGCGGGTGCGGCCTCTGAGCTCTGCTCCAAACACCTGAGCAACAGGTGATGGTGGAGCCGCCTGCCCGGCCAGGCTGTGGAACACTCCCAGGGGCTGCCTGGTTGCTTAGCCCCGAGCCCGCTGGTCCGAGCAGCACACAGCAACTGCCGCCTGAGAGAGACACAGGGAGAGCAGGCGGGGTCCTGGGCGCCTTGGGGGACAGATCCATCAACAGCTGCCCTCAGATCGTCCTCTCAACAACCCGGGGGTGCAGCCACCATCCAGGTTCAGAGAAGTTAAGTGACTTCCCCCAGGCCACACAGCCATTAAGCAGGAGAGTTGAGTTTTAAACCACCTCTAGCGCCGTCCCCCACCATGGGCCCCCAAGCTCTGCAGGGATGCCTTTCCTTACTCTGCCGTCCTCCCCCAACACCGCTGTGGCTGACCACCTCACCATGACGCTGAGGAGCTGGGACGCAGGGCCGGAATGGTGGACACTGCTTCTGCCTGGGCCTGGAAGTAGGGAGCCGGCAGCAGGGGGGACCCCTGAGGCTGTGCTGGGAAGGGGGCTCAGCCCCAGATTCCTGGACCCTCCAGAAAGAGGCAGCCAGGGCCGGGGCACTCAGACGCCGGCGTGAGGCCACCAGCTGACAGGGGCTGGATTTGTGTGGCCCAGGGGCCTTGAGGGACTTCCAGCGGGTCATGGCTGCTCCAGCCCCTGCTCCGAGCAGCTCAAAGCCTGCAAGGAACAGAATCACAAGAATTAAAGGCCAGAGAGCCCGGTCTGCATGTGCTCCCAGCAGCTGGCGGCCTCGAAACTGGCCAACTACCAGACTGGTGAGGGTGCTGCCACAGCTCCTGGCATCTCTGCCAGGGCTGGGCACCGCAGACCTGCCCAGATGGTGTCATACAGGCTTGGAAACCCCCACTTCTGTCGACGTTCCTCTCTGCGTGGTTTTACCACACAGAGAGCATCAACAAGGTCAAGTTCATGCCCCACTCCCTCATTTCTCAGAGCCAAAAACTGACAAAGACACCTGTCCCAGGACCCCTGGAAACTGAGCAGAAGAGAGAGTTGGAGCCCAGAATGTCAGTCCTCAGCCTCACACAGCCCTGCTCTGCCGTGTGTGCGTGTGTGTGTGTGTGAGAGAGAGAGAGAGAGAAACCCTCCCCAGGGGTGCTGGGAGCCCCCTCACTGGGCACTTGGTGAATACAGCACCACAAAGACAGACCCAGAAGGGGACCCTGGCATAGAAACCCTAGCACCACAAGCTAGACAATGTCTCAAGAACACTCCTGCGTAAACACAGGTGTGGCAAGATGTTACACAACCATGCGGCCTTCAAGGTCGCAATATAAGAAATATAGGACAATATCCTCCACCAGGGACACACAGGCCTTTTTGGCTCTTGCTCAATGGGGTGCATACAGTGAAATCAGACAAGACATGAAATCAGAGAAACTGTTTTGCTGGAAGAGGCCTTAGCAAGCAAGAAGGCTGGCTCCCCATTTCACAGATGGGAGAACCAAGTCCAAAAAGAAAAAGAGACTTGTCCCAGGTCACAAAGCAATTCAAGGGCCAAGACAAGGTGCTCACTACTAAAGGTAGGACCGTTTTCCGCAGACACCCAGGTTGGCCTGCCAGGGTCCCAGGGTCGCCGGGAGGGGAATGGGAGAGGGGCGCTGGGGTACACTACCTGAGCTAGACAAGGCGGTTTCAACACCAAGGGGCAGTGAAGCAAACCCAGGAGGGAGAGAGCAGGCAGTGGGGAGAGAGCACGGGCCCGGCAGACCCCCGGAGATCCCTGCTTTCCTGCTGGCCACAGTGCCTACAGACGCAGCCTCCCAGCGACCAGTCCACTTGAAGAACAGACCAGGACCTGGGCTGGGAGCTTTTAGAGAGGATGCCAGACGGCAGCTGCCACGTGACCTAAGGGTGGGGTCCAGGAGTCACCGGGAGGTGCTTCCGGATGGAACTGGATGCCCCATGCCCACTGCCCTGAGGCCCTGGGCTTCTCAGGTTTCGGTGACATCCGGGAGGAGCTCAGGGCAAGGCCTGGACCCACATTCCCAGACACCAAGAAAGCACTGACCGGAAGGGAGAGTGCAGGCGCCTGCATCACCCAGGGTAAGACATAGGGACTCGGAGGGGGAGGCGCCAACAGCCCCCATCCCCCATGCAGAGACTGTTCAGCTAGCTGGGGCGCCTCACGAGGCACGAACACAGCACTCAGTATCTATCAAGTGCTTACTACCTGCCACGTGCTCTTCTAAGAGCTTTAATAAACTGATTCATTTAATCCCTTCCATCACACTGTGATTATTATCCCCATTTTCCAGATGAGCAGACGGAAGCCTAGGAAGATTGAGTCACTGTGATGGTTACACAGCCTTTCAGGAGTGAAGCTTCCAGGCTGGGCTGTAGGGGTGAAACCAGTGCCCCACAACACCAAGACCTGAGGCCTGACTGTGTGCGTGGCACTGCAATCCTTTTGGTCCCAAGCCCCTGCAGTCCCAGGTGGTGATGAGATGTAGACTGCTGCAAATCGGCACTCAAAAGCACAGGTTCAAGGGCCCTCACCAGCACTCCAACCCACGGCCACTCACCCTCATTCGGAGATGGGGCACTCTACCTCATGATCAAGCCTCACCGTTGGAAGACCCCTCAGAGATCACTCAATGCAGGGAAGGCTGGCGCACGCCTCCCCGCCCAAGGTGCCTGCTCCAGCCTCGCCCAGGCAAGCACCATTCCTCAGCCACAGAGCTTCATCCACTGCATCCAGAGCAGCTCAGAATCTTTCCTAATCCAGGCACCATTCATCAGATGCAGCACTGGGGCCTGGAAAGCCCAGCCCTTCCTTTGCAGATGGGGAGACTGAGGCTCTGAGCCGGTGCCCTTGCTCCGTCACATAGGGTGTGAGAGGCAGGGCTGGCTGCAGGGTTAGGGGCTCTCCCTCATGGCAGGCCCTGCCCAGGGTATAGGACCACATCAAGGCTAGGCTGGGCACAGGCAGCCAGGAGGGGCACTCCTGGGGGACACTGCCAGAGCCAGGAGTGGGAGGCAAAGACGTGTTGGGCACCCTGGGGGCAGTGAGGAAGCTTGGCTGGATGGGGGAGAACCCAGGCTGGTGTGGAGGGGAGAGGGAGAGTGGTGGGTGGCATTCCTATGTCTCATAATCTGGGAAGAAGATGATGACCTCTTACACCCAATCCCCTTTCCAGGCCAAACCTCCCCACCAGAGACTCAGCTGACCTCTGTCCACGAAGCTAACCCATGGCCCTCAAACATTTGGGTCCAATGCCATGACGGCTTCCTATGCCAAATGCAGGCTAGGCCTGAGGAGAGAGGCAGCAGCAACACATCACTGTGTGCAGGGCATGGGGTGGTGGGTGCCCCACTGATATCCTAGGCCCTTACCACCTCAGGCCCACCTGTCTCAATTCCTACACCAACCACAGTGTCTCTCTGCCCAAAAGCTCTCTCTAGCCATGGGCACGCTCTGCCATTCAGAGGGCAGGCTGAGGAGCTGATGCTGCCAGGACAGCTTTCAGTCAGTGACTGATGGGAGCAGGTGGCTGGGCCCCAGCAAGCTGCCCCTGGGAGGGGCACTGCTTCCCTGGCCTCCCCAGCGGGAGTCGGCTCCAGTGCCCCAGCAGTAACTGTATCAATGACATGCCCTTTATCACTTCCTTCTCTTTCTCACCTCATTTCCTTATTTCCTGGGATCACCTCCCAGGAAACTACTTGCGCTGGAACCTTTGTCTCCTGGGCCTTCCTCATAGGGTCTCCAGTAGCCTCTCCACAGCAAAGGCTCTTGAACCCTGGCCTCCCCTCCTGGATGCCCCACACCAAGTCTCCTCCTGCTCTTCCTCCTCCTCCTTCTGCCCCACAATACTGAGCCGCCTTCTCCTCTGCCTCCTCCACCTCCTCCTCCTCCCCTGGCCCCCTTTAGGATCCTCTAGCACTGGGCTTTTCCCGTTCAGGCCAGAAGCTACTTCCCACCTTGTGTGAGAGTTGATCTTGCCCAGGCCCCATCTCTGACCAAGCTCAGAGGCCTAGAGAGGCTGATGCAGGTATAGCAAAGAGGGGCACCCAGGAAATGCGCTCCAGCCAGATGAAGGGTGAAGGACTAAGCAGCTGAATGGGATGGATGAGGAGATGGGTGGAACAGTGATTGAATCAACAGGTGGGTGGTCAGGCAGATGGGTGGATAAATCGGGTTGACAGATGGGTGGGTGGACGATAGGGGTGACCAGATAGATGGACTGGCTAGGTGGGTGGAAGGATGGGTGGATGGATGGTTGAGCAGATGAATGGGTGGGGGAATGGGTGAGGAACGGATGGCATGGGCGAGGGGATGGATGGAGGGGTGGAGGCATGGGTGGGTGGATGGAAGGCTGAGCAGATAAATGGGTGGGGGAATGGGTGATGAAAGGATGGCATGGTGGGTGGAGGGGTGAAGGATGTACAGATGAGAGTCTGGTGGAAGGAATGCCTAGATGCACAAGAGCATGTCAATGACTTCACTCTTACCTCTTGAGTTCTATCTTCTATGTAATGGTGCTGAGTGGGCACGGTACTGTCTTCAAGGCTGAATTAGTAGTGGCTGCCATTTCCCAGGCACCAACTGGAAAGGATCCAGTCACTAGAACATCCTAAAGTTAAAAGAGTAAAGCCAAGTTACTGCAGGCGGTGCTGCTCTTCTCAGAGGGGCTCACAAGTAAGACATAACCACATGAAACCACATTTCTGCTCACTTCCCCAGGGCCCCACAGGAGGTGGAAGGGCCTCTGGCCTGCACCTTTGATGCCCCACACCTTCACAGCATAGCAACCATCCAGAACCAGAGAAGAGCAGAACAAGATGGGGTGTCAGAGAAAAATGACCGCTGACAATTATTGAGTGCCTATTGCATGCCAGACACTATAGTAGGCATTTTACATACATCATCTCACATAATCCTCACAATTACACAAGGTTGGAACTATTGTTGTTACTATTCCAGAGAAGTAGTTAATGTGGTAATTCTCCCACTGTCACAAAGGAATTCAGGCCCTCAGCCTGTACTCCCAGCCACCACCTGCAGAGCCTTCCCAACGCCAACCTTGGAGCCAGTTGTGAATAGCTGGGTGGGTGGATGAATGAATGGGTGGATGGATGGATGGATGGATGGATGGATGATGGATGGGTGGGTGGATAAATGAATGCAGGGATGAATGGGTAGGTGGATGGATAAATGGATGAGTGGGTAGATGGATGAATGAATACATGGGTGGGTGGATGGATGGATGGGTGAATGAGTGGTTGGGTGTGAGGGTGGATGGCTGTATGGAGGAAGGATGGATGAGTGGATGAATGGGTGAATGGATGAGTGGATGAATGGATAATAGGATGGATGGATGGATGGATGGATGGATGAATGGATGGATGGATGGATGGTTGGATAGATGGATGGATAAGTGTGAAAGTAGATGATTGGATGGATGGATGAACAGAAGGGTAGATGGGTGGGTGACTGAGTGGATGGGTAGATGAATGAATGGAGGGATAGGTGGGTGAATGGGTGGATGGATGGATGGATGGGTGGATGGATGGATGGGTAATGGGTGGGTGGATGGATGGATAGACGAATGGGATGGATGGATGGGCAGATGATTGGGTGGATGGATGGGTGAGTGAATGAGTGGATGGGTGAGTGAAGAAGTGAATGGATAGAGGGATGGCTGGGTGGATGGGTGGGTATATGGTTGAGTGGGTGGATGAACAGATTAATGGATGAATGGGTGATGGGTGCATGGATGGATGGATGGATGGAATGTTGGGTGATGGATGGGTGGAGTGAATGAGTGGATGAGTGGATGGGTGGATAGATGGACAGGTGGATGAGTGTATGGGTGGGTAGAGAAATGAATGGATAGAGGGATGGAAGGGTGGATGGATGGATAGATGGGTGAATGGATGGGTGGGTGGATGGGTGGGTAGATGGATAGATGGATGGGTGGATGGGTGTGAGGGTGGGTGATGAGTGGGTAGATGGATGGATAGGGTGTTTGGGCGAGTAGGATAGATGACTAGATGGATGAGCAGGTGGGCACATGGCTAACTACGTGGATGGGCACACATCAGTAATTTGCCAGAGATTTGCCTTGGGTACACATACATCCTACATGGTCCCTGCAATCCCAAAGATGCAATTTCCCCACCTGTCAAAGGGATCCCCCTGCCTTCCTATCCAGTGTGCCGTGAGAATCAGAGAAGAGGTTGGTGGGAAGGGGCTCTGAGGATCTCCACGGTGAGCCACCTGACATGCTTCTCACCTCCGCACCTCCCAGCCAGGGAGTTCATGGGGCCTGCCCTTTCCAAGGTTACAGCCAAGGCTGGTTTGTCACACTGGTTTTTCTGGCTGGAATTAAGGCAAATGTTGGTAAGTCACCCCCACCTCATTAGCCTCCTGGGACAGGTGACAGTGGTTTAGAGGCACACAGACCTAGATTCAAATCCCAGCTCTGCCCCTCATAAGCTGTGTGACCTTGAGTGAGTCACTTCCCCTCTCTCAGCTTGTTCTGAAATGGGATGGCCTGCCTGGTCTCTAGTGGCCCTTCAGTCCCTCTTCACCCTCCAAGTCCCCCAATCCCCAGCCCCTTCTTCCCCATCCCTCATCATTCTGGGAGCAGAAGCCACAGGCCTACACTTTGCCTCTCTCAGCCATTCCATCCTCAAAACTGATGGGGACACAGAGGTTCAGAGATGGATGGGTGGATGGATGGACAGGTGGATGAGCTGCAGAGGTTCAGAGAGGTTCTGTCACAAGCCAACATCACACAGCTGGGGACCTCCACGGCAGGGACTTGGGTCCACCCCCTTCCCCGAGTGGGCCAACACTGTGCAAGCCCTGCATGCTTGGCAGCTGGCTGCAGTCATCCCGATGCTCACAGCCCTGCCTTGGAGGAGGGACAATTCTCCCCTCTGGACAGATAGGAAAACTGAGGCTGAGAGAAGCTAAGTCACCTGCCCAGTCACCTGGAGCTGGAACTCTGAGCAGCGAAGGTCGGATATTGCCACAGGGCCATGGGAAGCCAAGCAGGGGTGGGGGCCAGAAGTGTGGGCAGCAGCCCCTATCCACGTCCTGCTGGTCACCTGGCTTGCAGCAGGCTCTCCCAACCTCGTCCCTCACTCCCTACTACCTGGAAGGGGCATTCCCCAGACCACAAATCCAGCTGGATTTGTTCTTATCTAGGAGGAAGGCAAAATTAGCTCTATTCTACACAGGGGTACTGAGACGTAGAGCAGAGAAGAGACTTTCCTGAAGTCACAGTGCAGGGCAGGACCCTGCAAACAGGAGCCAGCCTTCCACATGCCCTGGCCAGAGCTCCCGCCACCTGCAGGGGCCACAGCAGCCGCCATGTGAGCTCACCCCGCCAAGTCCCACAAATGCTTCCCGGGGTTATGGTCACAATCCTGGATGGGGAGGTGGGCTGCAGGGGCAGTGCTTCCCCATGACCACGACTGAGGGCCAACAGGCCGGGCTGGCCCACAGCGTCCCGCAGGGGAGGGCAGGGCCTGGGCTGAGGCTGGGGCTGAAATCCCCCACGGAACAGGGCAAGGCACTTCCCCTTCCTGAGGCTCAGCTTCCTCTGAAAAACGAGGCTGGTGTCGCCTGCCAGGCCTCTCAGAGGGTGTGCCATGAAATTGAAGGTGGTGACGAAGCTGCAGTCCGGGCACTGGGCCTCGCCCCAGCGGGTCTCTGGGAGGTGGCAGCTGTCACCCTCCCTGGAGAGGCCTGGCAGCCCCCCAGCTCACTGGGGCCTGAAACTCCCCATCTGCAAAATGAGGAGACCCCACACACCTCGGGAGACTGTCACAAGGGTAAGCCAAGCCCTGGCTTCAGTATCTGTCCCACAGAGACGATGCAGCAGTGTGGGTCCTGCAGGCGTTCACTGTGACCGGCGTTCCTGACACCACGTGGGCACTGAAAGCAGAAACAGGCTTCCCAACAGGACGGAAAGCTGGCTGTGCCCAAGCCTCCCTGTGGCCTGCTGGATGTCCTCAGAAGCCCCCCTGGCCCGCAAGGAGCCACAAAACGCACAAGGGCAGGATCTGCCTCGCTGTTCCATGCTCGGGATGCGCCCGGCCCACAGAGGATGCTCAGAAAGTGGAAGCTGCAGGAACCTTGAGTGACACTGACCCCTCACATTCCGTGGCGTAAAGATGGGGGCTGGACATATGGACCCCAGAAAGAGGCTGCACCAAGCGGCCAGAAAAGGCAAACGTCCACCCTTAAGCCCTGAGGTGAGGCCAGGTCAGAAGGTTCTGGCCCCACAGAGTGGACGACAGTCACACCAAACACCAGGGAATGTTTCTGACGGTATTTCTATCTTGAGAACATCCTTCTTCACAGAGGGTGGGGGCAGGAGGGAGAGAGGGTGTCCTTGGCCCCAGGCCCCTGGGAGAAGCAGAGAACAGAGGCCCTACAGTAGTGCCCTCTGCTGGGGTGGCCATCGCAGACACTGCCCCATCCCTGGGCTCCGTTAAGTCCTAGGAACAGGGGAGACCTGGAGGGTCTTGGGGCCCTTCTAGGACTCCTGGCTCTGCCCCAACTTGCTGTGTGACCTGGAGCAGGGCTCTGTCCCTCTCTGGGTCTCCCTCTTCAAGTCCTCACTGGGCACCGAGGACTTGAAGAGGAAGCATTGGGCGCCTGCCTTCATGGGGCACCCTGCCTCACAGGGCAGACGGTGAGAAGTCAGCAGTCACAACTCGCTGGGCCCTCGGGAGCCCAGGCGAGGTGTCTAACCCAGTGGCAGGAGGGGTGCTTCCTAGAGGAGTATCTGCCAGTGGGGAGGCAGCAGCGAGCAGCAGGGGAGAGAACCCCGCCTGAGACCAACCATAGCACAGTGACACAGCTAGGAGCACCAGAGTCCTGCAGTCTTGGTGCAGATTCCAGCTTCACTCTCCAGGCACTAGGCCTTGGGCAAGACCCACCCTGACTGTGTGCAAACCAGGGGGCTGGCCCAGCTACTCCACAGAAGCCCTGCCAGCCCTCCATTCCAGGATCTAAACTATTCGGGGTTTGTGGGGAAGGTGTGAAGAGATGGGCACAGCCTTGCCACCATCATATCAGGGAAGCTCAGCGTGTGCAGGCACAGAGGCCGAGGCATCACCCCAGGAGGCCTCGGATGTCATATTAATGAGCCTAGACTTGATCCCAAAGGCAATGGGGAGCCCAAGGGCCATAAGAGAGCTTGAAACTATAAGAGTTCTGGGGCAACAAGGCATGAATTCAAATCCTGTCTCCATCCCTTCCTGTGTGGCCTTGGGCAAGCCACATAACCTCTCTGAACCGCAGTTTTCTCACCTATAAAATGGAACTAATCATAGCACCTATCTCATGTGGTTGCAATGGGGTTTCCATGAGTGAATACATGGAGACTGGCCAGCTGGGAACTCCCTGTCCTCCCACCCTCTCCCTTCATCACAGCTATGAGCCTCTGCCTCACCCTGCAGAGAGTCACAGGCCCCTTTAGGGCCTCAGCTGGACCCCACTCCAAGCAAGAAGGAATGATGGGCAGGAACCCCAGCGGGAGGCACAGGTCAGCAAAGGCACCCTGGCTTCTGATTTTCATACAGCTGTAAATTTTCCAGCTTCAACTTAATTTGAGTCTCAGACATGTCCTGAGCAGCCAGCATGTGCACAGGAGAGCAAGGACACAAGGTAAGGACACAAGAAGCATCCTGGGACCAGAAAGACCACCAAAGGAAAGGCTGGGAAATTTGCCAACATAAAAATATGTATGATGTTGTCAAAACCAATCGTAAGTAAAATAAAAGAAAAATAATGTGTTTGTTTAAATCGGACCCATGTGCTTAATATATAAAGAGTTCTTATGAATCAATAAGAAAAAAGGACACAGTAGGAATGAGCAGAGAGCTAGGGTTGGGCTTCCAATGTCTCTGGAATGTCCCACACCTCAGAGCCTCAGCCAGAGCTCGCCCCTCACCATGAAATGCCTTTCTCTGCCTCTCAGAATGCAATGCATCCTCCAAGCTCAAAGGATGCCTCCTCCATGAAGTCTTCCATGATTTCCCCAAGTCCCTTGCTCCTCCGTGAGTACTCCTAGCATGTTTCTTGAGCCCCTAGGACCCAGTACTTGGCTTCTGCTCACTGCATCACAGAAGTCCCAGGTGGGGTGGCCCAAGCTTCTTTGAGAGGAGGAAATGAGGCACAGAGAGGAGCCATGCCCAAGGTCACCAGTCTGAGCCAGAGCTGGGCCTAGCACCCAGGTGTCCTGCCTCAGTCCCTCTGTAATCCAGCCACCAACCCCTCAGTGAGCCCTCCAGGCCTGCCTTGCTCCCAGCAAGGAAGTCCCCAGCTTGAGGGGTGCATTTATTTCTTCACAAAGGGCCAGCCAGGATTAGGGCCTCAGCCCCCCATAACCTGTCTGCTCTCTGTAGGGGAGCACGTTACAGTTGCTTTCTTAGCTTCCTTCTTTTATTTTGTAAATCTGGCCTTATTTCAGGTACAGAAGATTCCCTGGGAGGGCCTGACAGACTCTCAGGGCTCTGGGGTTCACCCTACCATGGGCAGGAGGCTGACCTCAGAGATGTAGAGTCCAGGAAAATAGGGTAGGCCTTCCAGAAAGCCTATCGCTCTGCCCCAGGCCCCATTTACAGTTCAGATCTGTGAGCGCGCCACGGCCTGGCACTGCTGCCAGAATCACACTCAGCATTGACTCACACGCTCAGCGGCGTCTGCCCAGCCTCTACTATGTGCTGACATCATGCCTGGGGGCCCACATGCTGCTGGGGCAAGACAGACCAAAAAAAAACAGGCTGAGGAAAAAAAAAGAACTTGAGTAAATCCAGAGACGGGTGGAGACTATTCCAGAGGTCAGGGAAGACTGCCTGAGTAGGTGACATCTGGAGAGCTAGTGAGAAGAGAATGAGGGAAGAGGGTACTCCTTCAAGTGGGAACTGTAGCCACAAAGGCCTTGAGGCTGAGGCCAGGGGAGGGCAGCGGGGCTGAAGTGAGTGTGCCAGGGAGGTGGGGGAAAGGGAGGCAGGGACAGCAGATGGATGGCGAGACAGAAGCACACAGCTCAGAAAGGGAGGGGACTTGGCCGAGGACGCGCAGCACGCTGGGCAGATGGGAGCACCTCTTCGTCGATGGCGCTCAGAGGAAGCTGCATGCCAGACACTACCCAAGGCCCTCTCTTCCCCATTCTCCCTCAAACTCCTATGCATCCTTCAACACCCCTTTCCAAGCCCCACCCCTTGTGCTTCCCTCTGTCCTGGACCAGACCATGCTGGGTGCAGCCGGTCTTTCTGAGTCCACCAGGCCAAGGGTCTCCTGAGGGTAGAACCTGGGTCTGACTGCGTTGAGGGGCCTCAGCACAGAACCAGGTCCCTGGGGGAAGTTAAGGGATTGGGAACTAGGATTCTGTCCCTGTGCCCCAAGAGTGCTCTAGAGTCCTTAAAGTCTGAATCACAAGACGGCAGGCAGCACTGCAGCCCACCCAAGGCCACTCCAGCTTCAGCTCACCATGGGACCACCCCTTCCCTGTCCCCTCTGGGCCTCAGTTTCCCCATTTGTCAAATGAGAGGCCCCATAGCTTGGGAACAGGGCGTCTCCACCTTCCTCCCTTATGAACTGCTCACAGCAGGGTGGCCCCTGCAGGAAGAAAGCATGGCTGTCACTCTCTGACCCCTGCTGAGCTCTGAGCTCGGCCCACAGGGCAGGAAATGTCAGCTTTCTGCCAGGCCAGCAGGAGGGTTCCAGCCGAGCCTGGGGGTGATGGGAAATCCTCTCTGCTCTATGGCCTTGCTTGGGGACTCACAATGCCTGGCCTGGGCATTTCACACACAACAGCCAGGTGTGAGGGCCTGGGGATGCAGCCAACCCCGACCACTTCTCCCCTACCATGGCTGGGAAACTAAAGCTCAGGTCACAGTCGGGATGCCCTTCCTTGGTCCCCAGACCCCCAGGAGGGCTGCCCAAGGACCCTGGGGGCAAGGCAAGGGGGCCGGGCAAAGCAGGGGCAGGCTTTGCAGTCCCCGAGACAGTGGAGCAGGTTCCCGGAGGTCCTGCCGCAGAGCCCAAGGACAGAAGCCAGGGCTTTGTGAACTTGATGGGGGAAAAATCATCAACTTCCCCGCCTTCAACCTCTCTGTGAAATGTATGCTGGACACACCGAGCCTGGGCTCACCCCAGGCCCTATAGCAATGCAGACCGCTGGAGCTGCACAGCTCTCCTCCCTGCTCCCATGGAGTCAGTAGGACGGCTGCCACCGGGTCTTGCTAGTTAGGGCGCTCATAAGCAACAGCATGCTAATTACTAGATCACACATTTTAAAAGAATGTTTTGATAAGTACTGCAACACTTATTTCTGGTTTCCTCTGTGGCCCTATATGGGTTCTCTCTTGCACTCAAAAGTGTTATTCTGAGAAGGAGGATGTCAAAGGCATCCCTAGCACACGAACAGCTCAGCACGCTGGATCAGAGGGAGAAGGGCTGAGCACCTGCCAGCTCAGGGCCAGGGCCTTGTCGGGAAAGGACAGGGCAGCCTGGCCCCTCGCCCACCCATCCAGCCACTTGTTCATTCCCCGTTCATTCCATAAACAAGTCTTTCCTGAGCACCAAACCCGTTTGAGGCTCTGTGCGGGGTGTAGCATGAAAAGGGTGGTCAGCCCTGTGCCCGGCTCCTCACAGATCGGGGGAGACAGACATTCCAGGAGAAACCGGAGAAACACAGGAGATTCCGGCTACAGGAGGGACTGTGTGACCACCCGGGAGGAGGGAGTCGAGGCCAGCTGAGGGTCAACAGGGCTGGAAACAAGAGCAGAGTCCCCAGCCCAGGACACAAGGCAGGGTGTGAGGAGACAGGAGGGAGGGGCAGGGAAATGAGCTCTGAAGGGGACAGGGTGGGGCAGGCCGCTCAGAGGCCAGGAGCTTGCTCCCCACCCCCAGGTGGCCTTTGCATGTGCAGCCCACCCAGGTGGGGTGGGGAGCCCTTCAGGCCACAGGGAAGGGTCTGGAAGCACTGGCTGCACTTTTTCCTGCACTCCCTCTAGTACTAGGTAGCAGGTGGCTCTGCATGGCCTGATTTCACAGTGAGGAGACTCAGGCACCCCACAGCTAGACGGTAGCGAGCGGGGCCCCACAGAGGCTGTTCTGACCCCATACCGCTTTGCACGGACCTCTTACTGCCACACACGCTTTCCAACCCCAGTAAACTGGGACTGCGCAACTGCTGTGCGTCAGGAACACTCGTCACTGTGACACATGCCACTTCCATTCACACCAGTTTCTTTTGATAGAGGCAAGAAACTGGGGCTCGGATAGGATGAGTGCTGTGCCTAGGGACACGCAGCCAGTCCATGGCAAAGCTGGGATAGAAATTCAGGACTTCCAGGGCTGTGGAAATAGAGACCTAGGATTTGACCACGCACGTTGGCCCTGGTGTCTCTAGGAGACACCACAGTCACTCCAAGTCTGGCTTGGACCACCTCCTCCAGGAAGCCTTCCCTGACTATGTGGCTCTTGCCTGCCTCTCTCCCATTCCTTTGGTGGCAGCTAATTGGTGCTGTGAGGAGGCAGGGGCTATGGGACCCAGGAGTGGTGGGGTAGGGCCCTGGTGTCTGGCCCCTGTTTGGCCCCTGCTGTGCTGTACTGACCTGGAGCTATGGTCTTTCTCTGAGCTGGGATCTAGCAGGACATTTGTCCCAGAGCAGAGGTGTGACCAGCAATGTCTGCTCAGAAAGCAGGTGGGTGGCCACTGAGATGGCCAGGAAATGCTTTCTCATGCCTGGAGCAGGAAGAAAGGACCTATTTTGTGCATCTCTTGACAACCCCAGGAGACACGCTGGGGACTATCCTTGCCCCAAGACGAAGAAATAAGCTCAGAGAGGGAATCCAGAGCCCAAAGGCCACATGATCGGCCAGCATCTGGGGGCCAGGCATCCTGGGAAGGGCGCATGCACACAGTCGCTGGGGTGCAAGGCCAGAAGCAGGCATGGGGGACGGCAGCTTCGCTCCATGGGGTCTGAAGATGAATGCAGCCGCTTCCACCTCCAGCCTCCTGCCAGCATCTGCAGGGCTTGGGGTGGGTAGTGCAGCAATGCTGAGGGGGTGCACAAATTCTCACCTCCTAGGGTGGGTCCCAGCTCCTGCCAGGGCTCCACCCCTAAGGCACACATTTATGGATTCATCCTTGCCTCAGTTTCCACATCTGTGGAATGGGCCTAATCATTCTGCCTCCCTGGTCCAGCAGATGTTAGTCTATGCACAGTACCCAGAACAGGTCCAGCATACAGTGCTATGTGCTATGCACACCACACACATGATACATGCTAGCACATGCCTGCTCTCACACCACAGCTCTGTAAACGCATCTTTGCTGGCAACATGTCACATGTGTACACCGATACACGACCTAGGATAAGGGTGTGTTCTATTCTAGTCCTTTCCCCAGAAACAGATCTTGAGTCAAGGATTTGGGAGTAGGGAGTTTACTTTGCAGGTGACAGCGGGAAGCACCAGGAAGGGAGTGGGGACATGAGATGGGGACAGGACGGCAGCCAAAAATGACTGCATAGATGAGCAGGTCACCGCTGAGGATACCTGGGCTCCAGCCTCCTGGGCATAGAACACGCCTCAGAGTTATCCCCAGCAAGGAAGCCCATTGGAGGGATGGCCCAGCATGCTGTGGGCAGTGGGGGCCGTAGAGGTCTGGCCTGGCCTCGGGATGCTGCTGGCCACGGGGGCTGCCAGGCAGGGGAGGACGCATTCATTCCCTCGGCTGCACATGCAGAAGGCTCCAGTGGCCAGAGGAGGCACTGGGCAGGGCCTCGGGTACCAGAGAAGTGTGGGGTATGACCAGGGAGCTCCTGCATGGGCACACATGGGTGTGTGCAGTCCACCTGCGTGTGCCTCCAGCATGCACACAGACTCGGGCCTGCGTTCTTCCTCAAACGATGAATCCATGCCCACATTTGTGTGGGGCTATCGACCTGGGGATCTCTGTGTGTCTGCTCTTGTACACATATGTACACAGGCATGGACACACACACACACACACACACACACACATACACACACGTCCAGGGCTATGTCCCTCACCCAGCCCTGGCAGTGGCTGCAGGGTGGCAGGGATGGTCTGGTCACCTTGGCAACGGGGCAAGAGAAGCTAAGTCTGGGACAGCCTTGGTTCAAAGGCAAAAAACAAAACCAAACCACTGAGCACAAAGAGGCTGAAAGAAGAAAAGGAGAAGGGAGGGGTGAGAGGGGGCAAGTCTCGGCCCCCAGGCTCTGCTCCTGGTCCACTTGCTAATCCCTGCTGTGCGCTGTCAGCCCCAGCTGAGGGCTGCCAGGGGAGCTGGAGGCCGCAGGGCAGAGTATGAGGCCCTGAGTCAGGCCGCACTGGCTGATTCTCCGGCTTGGGGTCCTTTCCCAGAGTCGTGGGGGCAGGCATCCCAGACATCAGGCACTCTGCAAACCAGTGGACTCTGGGCCACACCCTCACAAAGTCATCCTCTCTGGACAATTAACACACTAATTGCACACGCTGCCCGTGGCCAGTGCATTAGCCCAGCTCCCACGATGATTTATTCAGGAGCTCCCATCTCCTTCCCGTCCCCAGGCCAGCTCATCAGCCTCTGCCGGGCGGGAGGACGACCCACAGACGCTTCCCTAGCCTTGCTCGAAAACATCGCGTGCTATTTATATTTCATCAGACAAGAGTGCACGGGGATGAAACCGCCGGTGATCCGCTCCCCACAGGCAGCCGGGCGCTGAAGCCCCACACGGCAGCGATCTCAGGCAAGAGAAGCTGAGGCCTCCTGCGTTCTTTGGGGTGGCCCTTGCTCGAGAGCCTGCAGCAGGAGCTGTGATCGCAGCTACAGGGATGTTACCTTGACTGCCTCACTGCGCCCTGAGAAAGCTCTGCAGGGAAGAGTCTGCTATTATCCCCATTGGACGGATGAGGAAACTAAGCTCCAGAGAAATGAAGTTTCTTACCCAAGGCCAAACAGCCTATAAGAGGCAGAGCTGGGGAACAAGCCCATGCCTTTACTGCCAAGCATCTGCCCTCCCAAATTCAGTCCCCAAGCATCCCTATGAGGATCTCTGTTTCACATATGAGGAAACTGAGGCCCAGAGAGCTAAACACACTTGCCCAGGGTCACACAGCTAGGAATGGAGGCCAGGCAGATGACCTTGATGGACAGTGTGCTCCAATCTGTGCCCTGGGAGACCCCCTTGAACGATGACCCCCGGCCAGAGCCTCCCAAACACCTGCGTGCATCCAGGAAGCCTCCCTGGGAGGCTCTGCACAGTCCGTCCCCACGGCTACCTGAGGCCATAGCCACGGTGGGCCCCAAACCTGATGCCTTAGCCCCACCCCTGGATGCTGGGTGGAGGCCCAGCTTGGCCGGCTCTGGTGACTCCAGGGGTCCAGTGGTTAGGACAGTGACCACTGTGAAGAGCCCTTGAATCACATCCTCTTGTCGTCATCCTCACAGAGGAGGGGCCCCTCACCCCAACCAAGACGGCCCTCCCCATCAACACGGGGCTGATACCCACACCGGGCATCCCATAACCACTGGCTCCTGAGACCGGTGCGAACCAAGCTGGCTAGAACCCCGGCCAGGCACGGGGATGTCTCTCTGAGCCTCGGTGTCCTCATTTGTCAGATGGGCACTGACAGCCCCTTGGAGGACTGGGATGGGCATGCCAGGGCTTGCTGCCTGGCAGGACCTGTGCACAGCAAAGCACCAGGCAAGTAGAAGCTGTGGTGGTCATCAACGTCGTCTGCAAAGTGGGAAGCAGGGCTTTGCGGCGAGCTGGCTCGGTGACTTCCTGGCTGTGTCATCTCAGATTCCCGGCTGCCCTTCTCTGAGCCTCAGTTTCCCTGCCTGTTAGCTGAGGATTTCTCAAGGTTGTAGGAAAAGCAAGGAGTCCAGGTGCATGTAGCACTCAGCTCTAGCCTCAGCAAGTTCTCGAGAGCCCAGCCAGCCCCTCACCCCCATGCCAACCCCAAGGCCAGGGCAGCTGGCACCTTGGAATGACCCCTGGCCCCTGCCTGCGCCCGGGGGCCCAGGGCAGCCACCATAACAAGCCTGGCAGGGACCCAGGTACAGCAGGGCTGTGGCCCAGCCGAGAAGCCCGAGGACATCCTGGGCTGGCTGCAGAGGCTCAGAGCCCAGAGAGGGCAGGCCATGCCTGAGCCACACAGCAGGGCAGGCAGGGCACAGCAGGACATGCTCTGGAAATGGCCCTGCCCACCAAGTAGAGGGGCTCCAGCCACTCCTCTGCCTCAGCTGAACCCCAAATACTCTTCCCCTCTCCCCAGGCCAGTGCACAACCTCTACCTGACCTCTGCCACTCAGTCGTGGTAAGACCTTGGGCAGGTCATTTCACCTCTCTGGCATCAGTTTCCCTATCTGTAACATGGGGGCAATATGATGTGATTGTCATGAGGATTAATGACTTCATAAAGAGCTTAGAGCCATGCTTGGCATAGAGAAATATTATATCACTATCCCTGTTATCATCACGTCCATTATTTCCTTTTTTTCTTTTTTCTTTCTTTTTTTTTTTTTTTTTTTTTTTTTTGAGAAGAAGTCTCGCTCTGGAGTGTAGTGGTGCGATCTCGGCTCACTGCAACGTCCGCATCCCGGGTGCAAGCAACTCTCCTGCCTCAGCCTCCCAGAGGTGGGTTTCACTATGCCCGGCTAATTTTTGTATTTTTAGTAGAGACGAGGTTTTGCCATGTCAGCCAGGTTGCTCTCGAACTCCTGGCCTCGAGTGATCCACCTGCTTTGGCCTCCCAAAATGCTGGGATTACAGGCATGAGTCACTGTGCGCCGTTTTTTTTTTTTTTTTTTTTTCTTTAGGATCTTGCTGTGTCGCCTAGGCTGGAGTGCAGTGGCTTGATCAGAGCTCACTGTAGCCTTGAACTCCTGGGCTCAGGTGATCCTCCCTCCTCAGCCTCCCGGGTAGCTAGGACTACAGGCATGCTCCAGCAAACCCAGCTAATGTTTCATTTTTGTAGAGATGGGTCTCACTATATTGCCCCGGCTGGTCTTGAACTTCCGGCCTCAAGTAATCCTCCTGCCTCAGCCTCCCAAAGTGCTGGGATTACAGGTGTGAGCCACCTTGCCCAGGCATCATCAACACTTCTGTGCTAGGCACTGGGTTAAAGAAGGAAGCAGCCCATGGATCCCATGTGGTCATGGTCTGTGTCCAGGCCTGCCACCCTCAGGGGTCCCTCAGCACTTCCAGGGACCCGTTTGCTGTGGCCCCAGCAGGGCCTGGAAAGAATTTCTGGAACTAAGATGAACAATTTCTAATGGTTTACCCCTGGCAACACTGAACTCCCAGCAGCTCCCACCTCCAACGCCTTACGCCAGGCCGGTCCCCTCCCAGGGTGCCTATGCCAGGGTTTCTCTCTGCCACAGCCCTGACCACACCAGGCAGTCTCTGTCTTCACCTTCCCCACCCTCAGCCTCGAGTTGAGCCTCCAGTCCTAATTCCTCTCCAGAATCAGTGCATCACCCAGCACAGGGCAGGCACAGAGCAGGGGCCCTGTGTCTGTTTCCAGGACAGCAACAGTAATCTATAATGAGAGCTTAGGTTTATTGAGCACTTACTATGTGTCAGACTTAGCCCCTGAGTACCATACAGTCATGCCTCGATTAACGATGGAATACATGCTGAGAAATGTGTCATCAGGCAGTTTCATCACTGAGCAAACATCATAGAGAGACTTACACAAAGCTAGATGGTACAGCCTACTGCACACCCAGGTTGTGTGATGGAGCCTGTTGCTCCTAGGCAGCAAACCTGTACAGCAAGTACTGTACTGAACACTGTAGGCAGCTGAAACACAATGGTAAGCATTTGTGTATCTATACATAGTTAAACATTGAAAAAGTACAGCAAAAATACAGTATAAAAGATAAAAAGTGGTACACCTGTATAGGGCAGCCCCTTGATGATCTTATGGGATCACTCTCATACACACCCTCCATCACTGACTGAAATGTCATTGACACGTGACGAGATCCCCACGAGATAGATATTATAATTTTACAGATGAGTACACTGAGGCCAAGGGAGGTAGCCTTCACTGGAGACTTCAGGTAGACCACAGCCTAGACCAAACCCCTTATTACTCCAACCTGTCCTCCTTTGCCTGGGTCCTATGGGTGGGGCATAAGAGGCCAGCACTAGAGACCAGCAGTGCCCTCAGTGGCACCCTTGGCCCCAAACTTAGACAGGCCACACACTCCATGGGCTCAAATGAGTGGCCCTGGGAGGATGCACTCAGCCTCAGGCCACTGGCCAGGTGTTTGCCCTACTGCTCAGGGTGGAGGCGGGCGGTGAAGGCCTGGGGGCACGGGGCTGGTGTCAAACACATGGGATTGAATGGTGCCTTCCAGGCCCCTGTGGTTTCATCTGTAAAGCGGGCCATGAGGGGACTAAGTGAGACAATTCCAGCGCCTGGCATGGAACAGATGCTCAGCAACTGTGGAACCATGAGGTGGAGCCCCAGGACTCAGGGCCTGCCAGGTGTGCTGCCCTCCGGCCTCCACCATCTGCTGGCAGCTCAACCCGCACGGGGGGGTCTGAGGCTCCCAGAGGGGCATTACAGGGTTAGCTGGATAAATGGCCAGCAGGCAGTGCTGGCTTCGTAAGCAAGAGTGGAGACATACCAGAGGCAGAGGGGAGGGCGCACGCAGAAGCCAGGGGCTGTAGAGGCTCTAGCAGTGGGGCAGGGTGTGCAGGTCAGCCCCAGGGTGCAACCAGCCTCAGGGACAAACTCAGACTGTTTGAGGGCCTGAAGCAGGGCCTCTGAGGGCTGCCCCATCCGCCAGAGCCAGACCCCTCTACTGTGGCTCAAAAAAGCACCATGGGTCCCAGAAAATTCCCTCCACCTCTGAGCCTCAGCGTCCCCATCTGTAAAATGGGGACAAGCACAGAAAGCGATGAGGCAGCACCCAAAACTCCTAAGCAGCACAAGCTTCTGACAAACGTCCTTTCCAGTAGGGGAGGGCAGGGGAGGGCAAGGGAGAGCCGGTACGGCCGTGCAGGGAGGCACATGGACTTAAAATTCCAGCGCTGGCCTGGGAACAGCCTCGGCCCCTCCCCAGAGAGTAGGGGACTCGGAAAGAAGGGGCAGAAGTTAGGGGCCCATCCTGTTCCCAGACCCAGGGACACTATCCACATCTTCCTGCCCTAGCCTCCCTAACCCTCACCATCTGTGCATCTCCACACACACCCCACCTGCCCTGCCTATGAAATTCAGACACAGCTATATGGCCTATGCCTGCAGGCACACCATCAAGGTTGCCCCGACCGTGCTGCCCACACCCACCTTCAGGCCTTCCACCTGTCTCCACCATCCACCTCCCTGTCTATACTGCCCAAATGCTGTGGCCACCATCATGGACCACAAATGTCTGCCATTTAGACAACCCATCTACACAGCCAGTCTCAGGCCTCATTCTCTGAACCCACTCGAGGAGGATGGGGGTCCATGAAATCCCCCCACTACAGAACCAACACTCCCAGGCCAAGGGAGCCAGGTGGCTTGGAGCCCCTCCAAGGCCAGTGCCGGGTGCAGCCCTGGTGGGGCTCCTGCTGGTCCTAAGTGCCAACAAGATGATTAAGTAGTGGGGACCAGCTGGGCCCCTGCCCCCTGCCTTGAGCAGCTGCAGCCTCATGGGGCCAGAGGCAGAGGGCCCCTGTTGGGGGGCGTGTCCTTGTCTGCCTTTGCTCCTTGCTGCGGTGGCCAGACTCGTCCTTCCCTCGGGGCCCAGCCCACTGAACTGGGTTCTCTGAGCAAACACAGCCAGCTTCCATGACCCACAAGTGAGCACACACTGAGCGCCTACTATGTGCCTGGACCTCTGGAAGCCCTTCACACAGCACCTCCGGTAGGTCCAGTGGTCCAGTGGTCCAGTGGTGCTGTGTGCAGAGGGTAGGGCAGCTTCTTATTCCCACTCACACCTGGGGACACGAAGGCTCAGGAAGGCTCTGCCTATGTGACCACCTCCCTCGAAGTCACTGCAGCTCAGGAGAGAGGGAAGGAAGTTGTCCAGGAGCCCAAAGTCCCCACCACCACACTCAGCATAAGTCAGCCGGTTCTACCTCAACCACAGCCCTAGGAGGCAAGACGGATTCCTGTAGCCACTTTCAGATGAGGAGCCCCAGCCTGTAGCCTGGAGCCATGCAACGCCCCACAGCTGGGAGACCACCTTGCCAGACATGACCCCACACTTGGCCCTCCCACCCACTGGCCAAGGTAGGCCTGGTGGCAGGGGAGGTCCTCAGCCTGTCCCCCTTCTAGTGACGAGGAGACTGGGGTGGGGGGACCACAGGCTCGAGGTAGATGGGAGCCCAGTTCTGACCATGTAGGATCCAGGTGCCCACAGACCCCAAGGGAGATGTCACCTGGGCAGACCGGGGAAGAAAGGCCTGGGCTAGACATGAACCTGGGGCTGCAGGAGGCCAGATGTGCAGGGGAGCGAGTGTGCAGGGGAAGATGCCTGCCCTCCAAAGAAGAAGTGGAGGAGGAGGAGGAGGAAGAGGGCTGGGCGGAGCGCCGCAAGGCAGTTGTTCCCAGAGAGCACAGGTTCAGACAAACCAGGTGACTGGTAACCCTGTCCTAAACGTTTCCAAAGCATCACAGGGGATGGCCATGAGGAGAAGCTGGGGAGCAGCAGGACAGTCTTGTGAGGAGGTCTGTGGTCCGGGGGTACAGCAAGAACGCAGGCTGGAGGGGTACAGGAAGGGTGCCCTGGAGTCAGAGCCTCTTCCAAAGGTAACAGCCCCTCCAGAGTTTGGCGGGGCTGCCGCAGGCCCAGCCATTTCACCTCTAGGTACATGGAGAGATCTGGAAACCGGCATCCAAGGGAACCTGTGTTCCATGTCCACGGCAGCACCGTTCACAGGTGCCAAAGGCTGAGCAGCCATGACAAACGGGCAGGCAGAGTGTGTCCATCCATACCCAGGCATCCCTCAGCCCTGGCAAGGAAGGCGGTGCTGATGCACAGCACACCAGGGCCGAGCCTGGAGGACATGATGGAGATGGGGAAGCCAGCCACAGAAGGCTACCCGTGCAGGGCCCCACGCACACACGACATCCAGATTAGGAAGATCCACAGCTACAGCAAGCGGTTTAGTGGCTGCCAGGGGATGGTGCAGGGACTGGCAGTGACTACCAATGGGACAGGGCTTCCTTTCTGCATGGTGGAAGGCTTTGGAACTAGACAGAGGTGATGGCTGCACGACAGTGTGAATGCACTAAATACCACTGAATTGTTCACTTTTAAATGGTTAATTTCATCTTATGTGAATTTCACCTTCAAGAAAAAAGAACTGTATTTCACCTCCAAGAAAAAAACATTGGGAGGAGACACACAAAGGAGATTTGAAACCAACCACAGCCTGACAGATCCAACCCCAACTCCTCCCAGCAGCTCAGAGCCACAACCAAACTCTGGACCAGGGAGCTGGAAGAAATGCTTATTGTTACAAGAAAGGAGGGAAGGAAAGAAAGAAAACCAGAAATGCTGCTGCAGCCTCCAGACCCTGCAATTGCTCCCCCTCCCCATCCCTGTGCCCCCGCCCCTTGGTCAGGCTCCGTCCACCTCTGGCCACCGGCCCCGCTTCCCTTGGACATCCTCCCAGCTCCTGCCCTGACTCCACGCAGGTCTGGGCCCCTTCTCCAGAAGCGAGTCCCTCTCCCATGGAGTCTATGGTCAGTGGTCCACTGGCACAGAAGCTCCGTGGGGCAGGACTTTGTTTTGTGCCTTGGAGCGTCCTGGGGCCTGGGGAGCAGTGCCCATCCCAGTGGGCCCTCCATCGCCACCTTTGGAAGGATTCACTCCCAACCAGGGTGTAGTGCAGGGTCCAGCGGAGGGAGGGAGCCTTGAGACAGCGATAGCCTTGGGTGGGCAAGAGGGGTGGGCCCTGTGGGTGAGGGGTGACAGTCCATCATGGGGAGGGAAGCTGTGAGGGGCAGGAGTTGAAATTCTCTTCGATTTTCTCAGTGAAAGAGGTGGTTACCCTGCTGGTGGGGAGTCAGGGACCCTTGAGGGAGAAAGCCAAGAATGGGGCAGGAGTGGGGGCCTGGGAGCTGGGCCCGAGAAAGAGAGAGAAGGTTCTGGAATGAGGCAGGAGGAGGAGGGTCTGGGACCAGCACCCCAGCTCAGAAGCAGGACGTGCAGTGAGAGGCAGGGCAAGGCTGATGGGCAGCCCTGAGCAGCAAGGCCACAGCTGGACTCAGGGTTCATGCCCTTTAAGTCTTGCTCCCTGCATGTCACAGGGAGGGCTAGGAAGCAGGTGGCTGGGGACCTCCCTGCCTGGGGCCCAGGGATGGTTTTGAAAGGCTCTGTAAGAGCTCCCCTGAGCTGAACACTGGTGCTGGGGGACACAGGTGCCACAGCAGCCCCCAACCCCCACGTGGGGCCAGGATCCAGGGCCTCTTCCCCAGGAAACCGTCCCTGCCCCACCACACCCCCACCCTCTGCAGAGACCTCCACTCAGCCATGGGGCTCTGAGGGCACAGCTGCTTCCCCCTCAGGACTGGGGATCCCCAAAGTTAAGTGAATGAGTGAGTGGGTAAGTAAGTCATTGACTTACTCCCCAAGCAGCGAAGCTGCCGCCACCACAAACTGCGGTATCACACAGGGCCCACAGATTCGTGGGAAGCCTGAGCTCAGCCAGGGGGCCAGGGCTCCGGGATGTGGTACACATGGAGAGAGGCCATTTCACCTCTAGGGAACGGGTGAAGGGGCAGGCCTCACCCTGAGAGCAGGGTCTCTCCCTGCCCATGCCCCCAGCACACGACAGTGCTCAGGCAATGGCTTGTCCTCTTAGCTTGGTCTAGGGGCAAGAAAGAGGTGCCTGGACCAGCCATGCTCTGTGGCTGAGGTCACAGGTGGGAGGCAAGACTCTGGGCAGTCCCTCCCCTTCTCCCGGCCTCCATTTCTCCACCTGTGAATAGCAGGACTCAGACCCCGTCCTCTGGAATTCTGAAACAGCCTAACACCTGGCCAGGCAAGCTCCCCGCACAACTGCAGTTTAAATGGGGTAAATTTGGCTCCATTTCTCACAGTAGGGAAATGAGGTTCAGAGAGGTGATGCAGCTTACCTCAAGTCACACAGCAGATGGGGGTGGGAGAGCAGCCCGTGTCAATCCAGGCCCCAAGTTCATGCCCAGCGCTGCCATTCCAAGCCAGAGACATCTCAGTGGCAAAACGCCTCCTGGATCCCAGGCCCAGGATGTCTCTACCTTCCCTCGGGGGGGGCCCAGCGGGGCCTTCTTTAGAGAACCGAGGCTTCCCGATTGGGGTTCAAATCTGGCTTGGCCACCGCCTCCCCCAGTGGCCCCATCTCTCAAGCCCCACTCCTTGCCTGGCTGGGACATTTTGAGAATTCAGTGAGATAATGTTCGGGAAAGCACTGAGCACAGCGCCTGGCACCAGCCGCCGCTGGGTAAGCAGTCGTTTTCATTATTGTTTTGGGGTGCCAAGCCTCAGCACGACGTCACACTACTTCCTGAGAAATAAAGGCACCCGGTGACACCACAGGCTGCTGGATTCACCACCGGGCCATTTGTATTGCTGGGGATCCCAAATTTCCTGGCGGCAGTTGGGAGCCACAGGAGGGGGCCAAGGACACCCAAGCTCCCTTGGCCAAGGGGCATTATAGCAATCCCACCTACACCCACCTCCAGAGGGACTAGGGTGTGGCAAGGGGGTCACAGGTATGAGCCCAACCCCTCCCTCTGGGCAGTGAGGAGCCACACTCTCGGGCTCCACGCGCAGGCAAGAACGCTGGCACGGGATGGGGTATGGCAGGTCCTCCCAACGCCCCGCTCAGGCGTCTGAAGCGAGGCCGCTGCTCCCCATCCCTGGGTGAGCCATAGAGACCCAGGAGGATGACAGAGGGCTGGCATGTGGCCAGGGCATCCCACCCACTCCCTGAGGGCTTCTCTGCCGGGAAGGATAAGGTCAGGAAAACACCCTCCCTGCAGGAGCCGGCAGCTGCCAGAAATGGAACTACAACAAGAGGTTTTAACTTGAAAAGCCACTACACCTCTAAAACAAAGGAGACGCCAAGCAGAACGATGACAGCGGGGCTGCCATCTTCACGGCCAGAACTGGTGGCCTCAGCAGTGGGGGAGGAGTGGAAGGAAGGGACCCAGTGCACACAGACTCTGTCAAGGGGGCTACCAACCAGCACGACCCTCGGGGGGCACAGCAGTGACACCTCAAAACCACAAAGACACAGCCCCTCAAGCAAACAGGCCATTTCCAGAACTTTCTCTTGGACAGGTGGGGCAGGAGGACCTCCGTGTCCAGGAATTACAGCAGCATTACATCACTGACAGCTGAGGGTTGGAGGGAAACCTAAAAGTGAGCGCTTCAGTGAGGCCAGTTAACTAAACAGAAATACAGCCTCCTGTGGGAAATACCAGTTAGATGTTCACACCAGTTGCTGACAGACATAATAATAAAAGGTGTCATCTCCCACACCCTCCGACAGGGGAAGGACCATTCATAGCTCCACTTCCCAGGTGAGGAAACTGAGACACAGGGCAGCTGGGAAACCCACCCGAGGATGCACTGCTGGTAGCTGATGCCAAAACACCTCACCCCAGCGCTCGATGTCTCCAAAGTATGGTTCTAAAAAAGAGAACGTTTCTTTTTTTTTTTTTTTTTTTTTTTTTGAGATAGAGTCTCGCTCTGTCGCCAGGCTGGAGTGCTATGGCGCGATCTCGGCTCACTGCAAGCTCCGCCTCCCAGGTTCACGCCATTCTCCTGCCTCAGCCTCCCGAGTAGCTGGGACTACAGGCGCCTGCCACCACGCCCGGCTAATTTTTTGTATTTTCAGTAGAGATGGGGTTTCACCGTGTTAGCCAGGATGGTCTCGATCTCCTGACCTCGTGATCTGCCCACCTCGGCCTCCCAAAATGGAGAGCACGTTTCTTGTTTTTGTTTTTGTTTTTGTTTTTGAGACGGAGTCTCGCTCTGTCACCCAGGCTGGAATGCAGTGGCGCGATCTCCGCTCACTGCAGGCTCCGCCCCCCGGGTTCACGCCATTCTCCTGCCTCAGCCTCCTGAGTAGCTGGGACTACAGGGAGAGCACGTTTCTTAAAAGAGAAAAAGGATGCAGGGTGGCATATCTGGGTTGGCCATGAGTAGTGGCTGAATGGTGCCCTCCCCAAAGAGATGTCCACACAGAACCTGTGAATATGACTTTATTCAGATGAAAAGAGCCTTTGCAAATATAGAGTTTGGATATGAGATCATCCTGTATTAGGGTGGGCCCTGAATCCAATGACAAGCATCCTTAGAAGTAGAGGTCCTGGCGCGGTGATTCACACCTGTAATCCTAGCACTTTGGGAGGCCAAGGTAGACGGATCACAAGGTCAAGAGATCGAGACTATCCTGGCCAGCATGGTGAAACCCCATCTCTACTAAAAATATAAATATTAGCTGGGCGTGGTGGCGCATGCCTGTAGTCCTAGCAACTCAGGAGACTGAGGCAGGAGAATCTCTTGAACCTGGCAGGTGGAGGTTGCAGTGAGCCGAGATCACGCCACTGCACTCCAGCCTGGTGACAGAGCGAGACTCCATATCAAAAAAACATATAGTTAAAAAAAATAAATACAATAAAATTAAAAATTTGCCAGGCATAGTGGTGCACATCTGTAGTCCCAGCTACTTGGGAGATTAAGGCAGGAGGATCACTTGAGCCTGTGAGTTCCAGGTTGCAGTGAGCCATGGTTGACAGAGTGAGACTGTCTCATAACAGAAAGAGTGAGAGAGAGGAGAGGGAGAGGCAGCACAGGGAGAGGAGACCATGTGAAGACAAGAGGCAGAGACTGGAGATGCCCACAAGCCAAGGAATGCCAGGACCGCCAGAAGCCCCAGAAGTTGGGGGAAAGCCCCAGAATGGCTTCTCCCTCAGAGGCTCCGCGAGGAACCAGCCCTGCAGACACCGGTTTCAGACGTCTGGCCTCCAGAACGGATGCTGCATTTGTACTGTTTTAGGCCACCCAGTCTGTTATGGTGGCAGCAGCAGGAAACCAACACAGGGTCTCACTGGCTTGCCGCCCTCTGATCCCTGCCTCGGCTTTCTTTACTGGACCTGGTTGGTGGTGCTGCCAGACTCCTGCCCCAGTGCTCCTTCCACACCCCAGATGCAATGGTAGGCGTGTGGGTTTGCCCAACCCACTTTCTCTAGTGTTCCCATTTCACAGGGGAGGACACTGAGGCTCCCAGGGTTCCTGCTCCCCACCCACTGTCCTCCCAGTCTCCTCTCTATTACCTGCCTTTGATCTGGGGCATCCCCACCCAGCGGCAGCTGGTCCTAAGGCCACCAAGAGCCTGGTCATGAGCCCTGGTGCTGCAGAGTCAGGGCATCTACCGTGGGATGGAGGCCAGGACCCATGAGTGGCCTGGAGGCTGTGCTGGCAGGGCCCAGGCCAGCCTCCACCCTGCAGAGGAAAAGAGGAGGGCAGCGGGGTCTCCTCTGTTACACAACCCCCAGGGAGGGCCGGGGCCACTCCACGGCTACCTCCTGGGGCACTGCCTCCAGTGGTCTTCAAGGCTCCCAGGGCCTGGGGAGGGACCTGGCCGCTCTGACTGGGCAGGTGCTGCTGACAGCTTGCAGCCCAGCAGGCCGGGGTGATGGCAGGGCCGAGCCTCCGGCCACACAGCAGAATAGGGATCAAGGAGGCCAGGAAGCTGCCCTGTCTTGCCTGCAGTGCCCAAGCCCAGAGGGAAGGAGAGAACAGATGCCCAGACACGAGAATGGACTGCCTCCCCATTTCACAAACATGGAAAGTGAGGCTCATAAAAGAAGGGCACCAGGTATATCTGATCCCCACAGACACTGAGACAGATACTGAGAGTGACCACAGACTAGTCACTCTCCCAATCAGTGTAGCAGATCCTTTCTAATAAGGGGCCCTGGTGGAGTAAGGTGGGACCACCCTGATGCATCTCAGGCCAGGTTCCAAGGAATGACAAGGATGGGACAGGCACTGAGATGCGGAAGCTTGGAGACAGGTCAAAGTGACATTCCTGGGTCGGGCACGGTGGCTCACGCCTGTAATCCCAGCACTTTGGGAGGCTGAGGCGGGCGGATCACGAGGTCAGGAGATCGAGACCATCCTGGCTAACACGGTGAAACCCCGTCTCTACTAAAAATACAAAAAAAAATTAGCCGGGCGCGGTGGTGGGTGCCTATAGTCCCAGCTACTCGGGAGGCTGAGGCAGGAGAATGGCGTGAACCCGGGAGGCGGAGATTGCAGTGAGCTGAGATCGCGCCATTGCACTCCAGCCTGGGCGACAGAGTGAGACTCCGTCTCAAAACAAAAAAAAAAAAAAACAAACAAACAACAACAAAAAAAAAAACAAAGTGACATTCCCCACACAGAGGCCTGCCCCAGCCTGAAGACAGTGAGGGAACAAGTGATCCTGTTTCTAGGAGGTCAGGGCTAAGGGAAGAAGAGAGGCTAAAGGAAGAAGGACCCCAGTGGGAGCAGCAATGAGCGCCTCCCCTCCGAGCTCCAGCGTGTCTACTCTGCCCTGAGTGGGAGCCAGGTTCACCCAGAGGTCCCAAAGCCCCAGGCTGCGACTCTGAAGCCCCCCAGACCCTCTGAGCTCTGGGGATGGAGGCAGGGGATCTGGATTATCCCAACTCCCAGAGGGATGTGACGAAGGAGGCACCCAGGCGAGGACTCGGTACCTCTCCTGGTACTTAAACCAAATCCTGCAATCCAGGATCTCTGTCTCAACGCAGCTAAAATGACAACGAAAAGAACCCATGACTCACGGACTTCGGTGGCTCTGTGCATTCAGATGCCACAAAGATCCTACAGTCCCAAGACTCAGCCCTCAATCCATGCCCAGGACGACAGGATGAGACCCCCTGGGTCCAGTGGGCACGGGCACCACACAGCAGTGCGCATAGTGCAGGGGACGCCATGACATGTATGCAATGGTCCCATACGAATTTAAAAAAAGGCAACTTAGATATTAGCACGTTTCTATGCCTCCATTTACTTATTCACGTCTGCATAAGCACTGAGAAACCCAGAAGCCTCTCTAATGATGGTCACCCCAAGGACAAGAAACTCTGGGGGTGGGGGAGGCAGGGGGTGAGGAGGAGAAATTCACTTTTCCCCTTACAACTGTTTATCACTTTACTGTGAGCACATAACACTCTTATAATTAAAAACTGTTATATTCAACAAAATATGACAATGCCCGTGATGGCTCATGTGTTTTTTGTCTATTTCATCCTGCCCCACCCACTGAGATGTCAGCCCCCCAGGGCAGGGGTCTTGTGCAGGCCACATCCCCAGCCACCTGCTGAGCTCAGGAATGAGGCCAAAATCCTGCATCCTCAAAGCTCACCACGCAAATACCTGACCTCTAGGACCTCTAGGATTCTCTGAGAAGGGAAAGGAGGGGATGGAAAGAAAGGGACATCCAGGGGACAGGCTGGGGGTGGCTTGTGATTGGGGATCCCCAGGGCCAAACAGGTGGCTGTGACCCCTGAGTTTGCCCCTCCCAGGCCCTATTTCCACAAGACCCAAGACTGTCAGAAGCCCCACTTTTGAGCATCCCCAACCTGCCCCAGATCCCAGCACCCCTGGAAGCCCCAGGTCTCCATCTGCCTCTGCCCTCCCTGTGATCATGCCAGGACCCGCCCCCTCCGGCCACGCCAAGCTCCCCTGGACCCTCTCTGGCCTCGGCGCCCCCCAGCCCTGAATGGAAGCCTGGCTTGGCCCGGAACCAGGAGCCCCGAGGCAGAGGGTCGGGGCGGGGTTGGCTCGGCTGCTGCCACACAGAACGCCAGCTGCTGGCAGCGATTTATTTTTGCTTTAAGTGCTGGAGAATTGCAGGCCTGGAGCCGCCAGCTCGGGCCCGGCTGCAGCTGGAGCAAGCGGGGCGGGCAGGGGCAAGGGCACACCTCCGGCCACCAGGCCACTCCATCCCCCTTGACCTCTCCTGCCCCCGGCCTTTCATCCTCTCTATCATACACATCTCAGTCTCCACATGCTCCCTTCTCCCCGGCCCCTCCCCTGCCAAGTCCCCAAAAGCTGCCTGGAAGCATCAGGGACAGAGGGTCTGTGGCCTCAAGGCTGCGCCCCAGCCTTCCTCCGGGAACTGTGTGACCTCCGGCTGTGGGGACCCTCTCTGGCCTCAGGCTGCCCGCTCCCACAGTGGAGGTGTCACGTCGCACCCTCCTGTACACCCTTGGGGTGGAGGCAGGGAGGGCTGAGAAGTATCCCTGCTGCCAGTCCTCATGTTACCTGGTTTCCTTTTCTGCCCCCACTCCCCAGGTGAGCCCCAGGAGACAATCTCCCATCCTGGCACACCTGGCTGCACACCTGGCCAACCGGGCACACCTGGCTGAGGCCCAGGACCAGAACCTATCTGCTCCCCACAAAAGGGGCCACCAGCCCTGTCTTTTCTGAGGCAACATGGACATCCAGGGGAGGAGGGACGGGCAGTGCTCAGGCAAGCAGAAAGCATGCCAGTCTCTATAGTTGCAGAGGTGATCACTGCTGGCCACTAAAGCCGCTGGAGTTGATCATTGCAAATCATAAACATTTTTAAACATTTTATAACGTGGGTGTCATGTTCCAAAAAAAAGACTGGAAAGGAGAGGTGAAATGCATTGACATGAAACTCAATGACCGTGGGGAGTCTGGAATGCTTAACTGGGCAAGAAACAGAGACACTGTCCCCTCCCTGCCAGCCCCATCCCCTCAGCCGCCCTCCAAACATGTATGCTGAAGGCAGGAGAAAGGATTCAGCCATCAGCTGAGATATGAGAGGCCCCACGCCCCAGGCCTCAGTTTGCTGGGATCTGCAATGGGAACGGCTTGTGATCCTCAGAAGGAATCAGATGGGGACATCCTGAGCTGAAGCAGGCCAAGTGCTAGAGGACACAACAGGGCTTGGAGCTTGAAGCAGTGAGGGTACAGATATAAAGCACTCCACCCAGAGTAGGGGCCTGAAGGAAGCCCCAACTCCCTCCCACTCAGCCAGACAGACAGATGGCAGGCCAAAGGCTCAGAGAAAAGGTCAGAATCCAGCTCTGTCCACCAACAAGCGCCACAGTTCTTGGACAGTGACCTCTCTGAGGCTCAGTTTTCTCATCTGCAGAATGGGCTGACAATGCTGGCTACCATTGCTACCAAGCACTCACTGCATGTCAGGCACCAGGCCTGGCTGAAGCAGCCCATTCACTCTCTGTGTTTACTGGGCGCCTGCCATCTCCTGCCTACCGCTTAGGCACTGGGGACACAGCTGTGGTAGAATAGGTCCAAAAAGAGGAGATCCTATTCCAAGGGAAAGATAGACAGTAAACAAGATCAGCAAATAAAATATATTGTGGCAGATAGCATTAAGTTCTACAGAGAAAAATAAAGCAGGAAAAGGAACATGGGGGAAAGGGAGGCTGCAGTGTCCCACAGGGGAATCAGGGGAGGTCCTGGAGAGAGGGTGGCATCTGGGCAAGACATGAAAGCGGTAAGGGAGGGGCCGTGCAGAGATCTGGGAAAGAACATTCCAGGCAGAGATAGCAGCATGTGCAAAGGCCCTGAGGTAGGAGTGGGCCTGATCTGTTGGAAGCACAGCAAGGCAAGCAGGAGCGTGGCCCCGGGGAGGGAGCAAGAGTCCTGGAAGTGAGGCCAGACTGTGCAGGGCCCTGAGGGTCCCAGGGAGGAGTGTGGTGGGAATCGACAGAGGGCCCTGACACCCAGAGTGCACCAGGCACATAGAAAGTGCTCAAGGAACAATGGCCCAGAGTGGCTCTGGTAGAAGCCTCCACTCCATAAGCTTTATTGTTTGTTCCCTGGCCCCTCTCCAAGCCTGAGTCCTTCAAAGAGGCCTGGGCTGCAGGTGAGGGCAGGAGAGGGAGGCTTTGGCTGCCCAAGCAGGAGGGAGGGCTCAGTCCAGGTGGGCAGGGGGAGTCAGGCAGGATCCAGGAGGCTGTGCCCACTGACCCTAGGACAGCATTAATGCACAGCCAAGGCGGAACTGCTCCCTGGGGCAGCTGAGAAAGGGGTTCCCACTCCTATCTGGCCAAGCAAATGGAACCATGTCCAATGATGCATGGCTGAAGGCTAATTAGAGGGCTGGGCGGGGGTCCCCAAGGTCTCCACAGCCTCATGCTGCCACTTCAGCAGCCAGGCAGGAAGGAGTGAGCTGTGGAGCACCAGTGGTGGTGATTGGGGTTAGGGGACACTGAGGACACACCAGGAAACAGGAGGCCTGCACTGGGGCCCACTGCCATCTGGGGCCCACTGCCATCTGGGGCCCACTGCCATCTGGGGCCCACTGCCATCTGGGGCCCACTGCTACAGCAACTCGCTGCCCTGCCCTGGGCCTGCTTCCCTACATGTCCAAGGGAAGGTTGGATGGGGAAATGACGAGTTCCCCAGGCTCTGGCTCCACAAATGCTCACACCCCCTCCTTCCCAGATCCCCCTCTCCACACGTCCATTTCTACTGAGACCAGCCCCTCCCCACCCCCAACTCCCAGAGGCACGCTCCAAGTCTCACATTCCTACTGCCCCATCCTGAGCACTCTCCGGAGCCAGTCCCACTTCACAGATGATGAACTGAGGCCAGGAAGAGTGACCCCATCTTGGTGGCAACATCTGCCTCTCTTGCCCCCCTGAGTCTGTCCAAGAGTCTCCTCTGAGATAGTGAGATCCCTGAGGGCAGGGGCTGGGTCTCCCCGTATGCAATGCCCATTGATTAAGCACTTCTGTATGGCTACCCAGCACAGGGGCCACAGCTAGGCAACAGGGCCTGGGGTCTCCAGCCCCAGAACTCAGCCCCCACAGCTCTCACCAGCACAGCAAGGCCTCTGTGGCTGGAAGAAGCAGTCCAGACATGGAATCATCGAGCATTTACTGGGCACCTACTCTGTGCCAGGGCTTAACTAGGTCCTAGGAATACAGCTCCCGGGAGCTGGGATGGCATGCAGGCCTCAGGCCCTGTGTGGGACCTGCCTGGTGGTAAGGCAGGGAGAAAGCTAGCCTGGCAGTCAAATGCCCCTGAGGGGTGTGTCTGTGGAATGGGGGAAGGTGCAGTTCTGTCCCTGGGAAAGCACCAGGGCTCTGGGTCTGAGCCCCACAGGCTGGTGCCTCCAGTGCCTCCCTGGGCCTCCAATCCCTGTCTGCACAATAGAGCTAATGCCACCCTCTGCACTGGCAGGCCATTAGGAAATTAAGTCAGCTGACCCAGGGCTGGGTCCTTGGCCAGTGCCCAGCGGGGGCTCTGGTCCTGCCCCGAGCCCAGCACCTCAGAAAACCCACCTGCCTCTGCCAGGCCCCCCCCCACCCCCAACCCCATGGTGCCTCTGAAGCTCTGGCCAACCTGCACACGGCCCAGTTTCAGGCCAGCTCTCTTTCATCTTCAGCCTTTCCCTGCTGCCGTGTCCCCATCACGCTGCCAGTTCCCGGCACAGCCATCCCGTGGGGCTGAGCCCCCACCCACCGCACCTTCCATGTGGCCAGCCAAGCCTCCACCCCTCCTGCTGCCCGCAAGCTGCCCCCTCCCTGACTCTCCTCCACGCTAGCCGGTGGCAGGGCTCCAAGGGCAGGCCCGGGGAGGGGCAGGTGTACCCATGTGTCGCTCACAGTAAAGCCCTGGCCAGGGCCCAGCCACAGGCACCAGCTGCACCTGTTGGAGGAAGGGCCCAGCCCAGAGCTGGGCCTGGGAGCAGGGGGGGTGAGGGTGGCCACTGGGTGGGCACCGTGTGTACCAGTAGCCTTCTGCCTGGGGACCTGGCGAGGGCCACAGAGGTTGATGACAGTAATGATGCACTCACTTCCGCCCCAGCCATATGCCAAGGCCTCCGGGTGCCACGCTTGGTACTGCCAACTGTGGCCCAGGGTACCGGAGGCCTGGCTAGGCAGAGAAAACTGCCCATAGGCAGAACCGGCCCCAGTGCTGCAGAGCTGCAGGTGCTGCTGCTGCTGTTACTCCTGTTATCACTGCTGTCATTATTATTTTGCTGTTGCAGGGCCACTCAGTGTTACTTTGTCCTGCTTCAAGGAGACCCAGGGATGGGGACACCATGGCCCTGGGGCAGGAAGGCTGGTGGGGTAAGCGCCTGGCCTGGAAAGAGCTAGGTGAAGGCATCTGTCCAAACCCAACCCACTGCATGGTTTTAGGCAATACCCCTCCACCACTTCCCAGGCACCTCTTCCTTCCAGCACAGTTGAGGCACATTCCTGGAGGGGTCCCCTCCGGGGCAGCCTGGAAACCTTATGGGGTTTTGACGGGGTAGCTGCAGGGGGAGTGTCCAGAGATGGACTGACAGCTCAGGTCCTGCCCCTCCCAGAGAAGGCTCCACCCCCTTCAGTGCTGGGGATGAGGGGTGTCAGCCATGCCCTCCCCTGGGAGGGGAAAAAGGAGGTGATAGAGGACTTGGAGCCCCTACCTGCCAGCTCTGGGTCAACAGCCAGCATTTACAGACTGCCTACTGTATGCCTACAGCGGCCCTCCAGTGGAGAAGAGGGGTGTCCCTGTGGCCCAGCACACTGGAGCCACCCTCCTCGTCTCCAGGGTGCTCGAGTGAGTGCCCTCCGCCCTCACTCCCTGCTCTCTCTCAGGCGGCTTGGCCCCACCAAATGGCAGGCCCCCAGGGTCCCCCTCCTAGAGCTGCCAACCTCGGGTCCCCTGTCTGGTTGGAGGTGCCACCAGAGAACTGAGGGGCAGACTTCGCTGTGAAGTCTTTTGTTGGGGGGGGCGGTCCCAGCAGACACTGAGGGGCTCTTCTCAGAATACAGAAGGGAGTACCCCTCAAAAAGAGCGAAAGCCTCTGGTGGCGCCCAGGGCTGAGATGGACCTCCCCTCTCTGACCCTCGCCCGCCACAGGGCGGCGGTCCAGGGCGGAGCTGCGCGAGGAGGGGCCGCGGAGGTGCAGCGCAGCGCGAGGGAGGCTGGGGTCCAGCCGCGCGGCCAGGGACCGGCTCTCCTTTGGCATCTCAGAGGGGGCGAAGGCTAGGCCCAAGGCTAACGCCTTCCGGGTTCGCACCTTCCAAAGGCGGCTGCCGATTTCAGTGGCGTGTGGGCGCCTCGGCGCTCTCGGAGACGGAGCCTGTGAACCTGGGTTTGGGGCGCAGATGTGGGAGCCAGGAGGTCCCCAGCGCTTTATTGCAGGGCTCGAACCTGGGTATAGGGGAGCAAAAAAGAAACTAGAAATGGCCACAGGCAGCGCGGTACTCTAAGATGGGAACGCCCCCTGGGAAATGGGGAGGGGGAGGTCCCAGGTGCGGGCGAGTCCAGGCTGTGAGGAGGCAGGAAAACCTCCCAGAACAAGACCGTCCCCAAAGAAACACTTTGACCCCCATTCTGATCACAGGTTTTAAAATATTCACATGACATGGGCACGCTGGATCAAAACCGAGGCACAGACACTCGCTTGGGCCTCAACTCCCATCTGAACCCCCCAAGGAGCGCCCCACCCCAGCTGTCTCTGCCCATGAGCCCCTGATTCCCGCCCCGCTCCCCCAGGGCACCCGGAGAGGCCGTGCGCGCGCAGGGTGGACCCTGGCCCTGAAACCCTGGGAGCTTCTCAGCCAGCGGCCATCCCCTCGGAGATCAAGGCCGACTTCTAAAAGCAAAAGGGAGCCTCTGGACTTGGCTGACTTGCTGGCATGGAATCATTTCCAGAATATTTTTACTCCATTACAGCACGGGAGGTGAGAAAGAGACACGACTCCAAGAACCCGCAGGTCTCTGACGGGAGGCATTCTCGGGGCGGCTCATATAGCCCGGGCGCCCACCTCCGAACCCCACCTCGATCGCGGGGTCTCCGGGAAGGTCACGCGTAGGACCCGTGCCGCGCGCCAGAGTGCTTCCGCACGCTCCCTCCCGAGCCCCCTAGTGCAAACCAGTCAGAGGGGGGCCGAGGGCTCCTCAAAGTTTCCCGGAGCGCCCCCCAGGACGAAGGTTAGCCAGGAGCAAAGTTCCTTGTGGTGGTAGCCGGAGACATGGCAGGAAAAGAAAAGCTCGCAGTCAGCATTTCCTCCGATGTCTCACCAAGGGAGGGAAAAAAATAAAACGAGAGGAAGAAAACACCCTCCCGCTCCACCTTCCCTGTTGCTGCACAACCTCGTGCTAGCTCCGGGCCGGGCTAGTGGCGAGGCGCGGCCTGCGGGGAACTGGGGCCGGGCCCGGGAGGGACCATGCGCCCGCGGCCGCGCACTTACCTCGGTCAGTGGCCCGGGCGCGGCGCGCTCGGCGTCCTCCAAGCTCCGGGCGGCCGTTCCTGGCCCCGGCAGCTGCCGCGCTGGCTGCATCGCCGCCGCTGCCGCCACCGCCTCAGGGCAGCTCCCGGGGGCGCTCCATGCCGAGGGGCGCGTCTTCTCTGCAAAGCGGATCGCCCTGGTCCAGCCACGGGTCGGGGGCGCGCGCCTGGACGGCGCCCCCGGCCGCTGGGCGCTCGCTTGGGCCGGGGCGGCTGGCGTCGGTCCCTCGGTCCGGCTGTGAGCACGGCCGGCCCACCCCCTCCCCCGCCGGCTGTTATCTGATCTCGGGCAGGGCCCGGCGCGCTCCCCTACGCCCCGGCGCCCCGCACCTCCTCGCAGGCTCTGACCGCGCCAGTCCCCCTCCCCCGGCTACTGTTCCCAGGGAGGCGGCAGCAGTGGCGGTGTGGCCGGGAGAAGACGGGGAGCGAGGAATGGAGGGCGAGGAGGCGGCGGGAGGCAGAGGCTCGGCGCGCACCCAGCTCCGCGCCTCGCTCCACCGGAGCTCAGCTCGGCAACTCCTCTAACTCTCCGCGGAGAGCACGCCCGCCCCGCGCCGCGCCGCGCCGCGCAGCCGCTGCACCAGCCTACCACGGCTCCGGCCTGGCCCCGAGCCCCTCCTAGTCCCGGGCCGCCCCCTACACACACACCGCCAGCCACTTGCGCACTGGGACGCGCGCGCGCACACACACATATATATATACACACACACACACACACACACACACACACACACAGGCACGACTTCCCGGGGACATGCGCGCACACACACATACACACACATGCAGGCACGTCCGCCGGGGACACGCGCGCACGCACAGGTGCATGGCGAGCACACACACAGGCATAAACATGCAGGATACATGCCCCCACATGCATGATGTTCGCAGGGGCACATGTGCACACTCGCTCATATGTGCACATGCAGGATGGCATCTGCACGTGTGCATACGCACACACAGGTCTAAGCTTGTGCATTCCCACAGAGCCCTTTTCCCCTGCACACCAGGCACGCACCCTCTACACACACCATCCCACCCTAATAGCATTTTTCTCCTCTCCATCTTGAGCTGCTTGGCTTCTCCCATCTCCTGCCTTCTCTGTGCTCCTCCCTGGACCTCTCTCTGCCGACCGGATCCCCATGTGACCCCCTTCTCTTTCGAGCCCCTGTCTCTGGAGGCTCAGGCTTTCTTCCCAACCTGTCCCCAAATGCCCTGCCCTCCCAGCTTTCTGAGGCCTATTGTCTGGGCCTCATATCTCTGAGCCTCCCGCAGGGGCCAAGTCTTTCATCCTGGCAGACAGACCTGCTCGCCTGGACACTGACCCAGGGGAACTCCATTTTGTCACCAGTCTGACCCCCAGCTCGGCCCTAGGGCCTCAGAATTGGGCCGAGGAGGCCAGTCTGTGCCCAGAGCATGAGCCTCAAAGGGCTCCTTGGCCCCCTTGGCCTCCAGCTTCCCCTTTAATGTGAAATATAATTATGTGTCTGCACAGCAGGGAGACTGGCTGCAGGATTCTAACCGAGGAGGACGGCTCTCTGGCCCGCACCCAGATTGCTGGCGGCTCAGAGCAGAGTGATCTGCAGGCCCCACCAGCCCTAGGATCCTGGCCCCAGGCAGCTGGTGGGTGAAATCCAGCCCAGCACTCACCGACATCAGTCTGCCCTGGGTTTGAATCCCACCTCAACTGACTAGCTGTGGGACAGGTCACTTCACCACTCAGTGCCTCTGTTTCCCTGTTGTCAGTAGAAATCACTACACTCATGGGGCTGTAGCAAGGATTAAATGAGATGAGTCTACCTAAAGTGCTTAGCACTTGACTTGGCTGGTAAAACAGCCAGGCGGAGCACTCAATATGTTCTGAGCTCTGTGCTATGGACCCAGCTAGAATTATTTCATTACCACTGCGGCCATCTGTGGTGGATAAGCTCATTGGCTCCATTTTACAGATGAAGGAACTGAGGCACAGAGGGGTGGTCACTTGCTTAATTACAGAACTACCAGATGGTGGAGCCAGTACGCAGAATCAGGTGTGTCCTCAACTTAGGGCTGCAGTGGAGAAAGAAGGGGCATCGCAGAAGTCTGCAGCCCCCACCCTGCCCTGCCTGGCACACTGTGTCCTGGTTTCCTCCTCCTCCTGGGAGAAACAGCCTCCCAGGGGACCAAAAGCTCTCAGGAAACTTCCTTCTTCTCCCTCCGAGTGACCAAGGAGGGAAATGACTCAGCTCCCCACCTGCCCCTGCTCCATTTCCCAGATGGGGAAGCCCAAGCCAGCTGCGGAAGAAGCCTCAAACCAGCTCCCACCCTCAGAGACCACTCAGCTGTCCCAAGAGGAATGGGGCCTGAGACATCCCTCCCTCGAGGCCTTACTCTGGTGGCCTAGAAAGGGGCAAGGGAATGGACGGGAACACCTCAGGGCTCCTCTGGGTCTAAGATTCTGACAGCTCCTGGGACAAGTGGCTGTGCCCAGGGCATCCTCACGCCTGGAACACCACCCCCCCCTTCCCACACACACACACACAGGGCCCCTGCCCAGGGGCTCGACACCCAAGATGACTACTGTGAGTCAGGCCAGGTCTCCGCCCCTCCCTATCCCCACTCCCAGAGCCATTATCAGACCCATTTCACAAAGAGGGCAAGCGTCTTGCCCAAGGTCACCCAGCAGAGACGCAAGCCTGACTCCCTGGGCCACTCCCTTGGGCTCCACGTCCCACCCTCCCAACCCACGTGCAGGGTCAGAGTTCAATTCTTAATTGTAATTGCAACCCATGAGCAGCCATTAAGGGCCCCTCAAAGCAAATCCCCTCTGCCACGCCACTGGGCACCAGCCTCCCTCCAGGAGGGGCTGGGACACAAAGAGGCAGGGATGTGGGCAGATCTCTCCCTAAGCAGCTCACACATCTGCCCCAGGGATCCCCACGTGGGCAGAGGGGCTCACGGCCCTCCCGGGGTGCTGCGTGAAGCCTGAGCAGAGGACATCCTGCCCCTACAGTGTGGAGGGGGCAGTGTCGAGAGTGGCTGGGTGAGGCCAAATGGACTGAGCCCAGTACCAACGCTGCCCAGCAGGAGACCTGGGACACGTCCCCTGCTAAGGCCCCACTTCCCTCTCTGTAAAATGGGGGTGATCGTGACAGCCGAGGCCATGAGAGTAGTAACTTTCCTGGCACAGCCATGGGAGAAGCCAGGGAGATGAACAGCAGTCAGCTGTCCCACCACGCACACACCTTCCCAACACCCTGAATTTTGTGCCCTGCACCTGGCTTTCCCTTGATCCCAGATTCTTTCTTCCCCTCCAGGATGGGAGCTTCTCCAAGACAGGGGTGAGACTGAGGCTTGTTTGCAGCCCAGTCTCTCCCAGCTTTGGGTGGGCGTGTTGGCTGTTCAAGACGCCTTTGCATATCTGAGTGTCCCTGGAGCCACAGGCCCAGGAGACAGAAGAGCTCCTCGGCTCATTTGGAATCATGGCTTTGTTTTGAGGAAAGCAAGGCCCAGAGAGGGAAGGTTGCTACGATGACCACTGAGCTGTCCAGGGCAGGTGTCCCGAAGGCTGGTTTCGCTGCCCTGTGTGTAGGAGCCCCAGAGCTGCAGCCTCTCGACAGCAGCTGCCAGCTCTTGTGGTAATCACATCTTGATGCCACAATGCCGATGCGCTTGTGGGAGGCATAAGTCCATCACCGAGTGAGATGTGAAACCAGACGGCCCTTCCCCAGCGGCTTTGCTCGCCCTGCAGGCAGCTGCAACCAGTGCTCCCCAGAGTCCCAGCATCTCCTCCCCTCCAAGATGCCTCCTCCCAAGAGCCCACTGAGACTTCCCCTGCCCACCCTAGACCTTGGCCCGGCTTTGGCCCTCACGTCTTCCCACCATCAAAATGTAAAATGAGCTCTCAGCATGCCCAGTTTAACCTTTCTAGGAGTGATAGCCAAAGTCCCTGAGGCCCCAGACACCCTCCCCCTCTCAGCCACTCTTTTCTGAACACACTGGCCATTCAGGCCCTTGGGCACCAGTAGCCTGATTCTGTCACTGGACCTTGGGGCCTGCCTCCCCCTCAGTCAGGAACGCTGTCTCTCTGAACTGCCTCACGTGCAAGGGTAGCTGTGACGGCACATCCGTGAGGGGCCTGCCGACCACCAGGACGCACCTGCTGTGCTCAGCTTGCTTTCTTCCCTAGCTGGCCACTCTCTGAGGTGTCTGGCTCACTGTGGTCCCCCCACCAGCATGGCACCTCCATGAGGGCAGAAGCATGTCCTTCAGGCGTGTCTGCAGCCCAGGACCTCACATGCTGAGGGCATGCAGTGAGTGCAAAACGAGTGCTCACAGACCCGACTCAGGAACGTCTCATCCATGAGGGATTCTCTCACCCTGCTCTGCGCAGCTTGGCTCTCACAGCCACTCCCAACTCCACCTGCACCATCACCGAGCCGCGCTGGCCCCTGCAATCACAGGCTGTCTGTCAGCACAAGCCTTGCCCCCTCCTCCAGGCAGGCGGCCAGGGTCTGGGTCTCACCTGGCCTCCCACCCCCACCCACCATAAGGCCAGCAGGAGGACCTGTGCTGGTCGGTTCCAGGATATGCTCTTCTGGTGGGGTTGCTTTCCACCTGAGCCAGATCCACACCCTGGCTGGACAAGGTGGAAAGAGGCTCTGTCCCTCAGGCAGTGAGCCACAGAGCAGAGACCAGTTCTAGCAGCCCTGCCCTCAGCCCAGTCTCTTCCCTAAACACCTTTTGTCACTAGACACTTTGATGATACTAACAACAGCAAAAGTGACAAGGGCCAATGCCCACCACGCACTTGCCATGCATTAGGCTCCAGGCTAAATGCCAACCTGCGCCACAGGCCACAGGCAGATGGACGGAGAAATGACGCCCAGGTGGGTAGAAGCACTTGCCCAAGAGGACGTGGCTGCCCCCAGGAGCATTGTGGGGACATGGCCCAGACCCAGGACACAGTCACACCCACACGCGCACGTGCATGCACACACGCCCCTCCCCCTGCCCAGGTGCCCTTGGGCCCCTGGCTGACCCTGCAGCATTGATCTGAGGCACACAGAACTTCAGGAACGGTTGGCGGCCCTGGAAACAGGACACTGAGTCCCTCCTGCCCCATCAGGAGGCAGGCATTGATCAGCTGGGCCTGGAGCTGACCGGTTGACTTATTTCCCGTGTGCAGGCTCCGGCACTCCCGTGGCCCCGCCCTCTGCGGGAGGAGCAGCTGGGAGGAGGATGCACTAACTGTGGCCAGGAGGGCAGCCACCAGGGCCAAGGTTGAGGCCAGGACGTTTAGCCATGCTCCATCTGGCATCTCCTGGGCAGACCTAGGTGTCAGGGTTTCTGTCTGGCTGAGAGACTTAGAGGCATGCTGGACACTGGTCCAAGTCCTCCCATGTCCAAGCTGCTCTTCTGAGAGCCTTGTTCTTGGGGTCTCCCTACTCCTATACCATACCCTCCACCATATGTTTCCTGTGGGCCTGGGGCACCCCCAGGGCCCAGGGGTGGGTGAGCGACCCAGGTCTGGCTGTGAGCATCACAGCAATGGTACAGAGATGGACACATGATTGAAGCCAGCCAATGAGAATCAGCCCTAGGACTTTTGCTGGGTCTGCAGGAAAGCAGGAGCTGTATTTCCCAGGGCTTTGGGGCTGGCCAGGGGCCCCGGGGACACCTTTGCCCCCAGGTAGGGTGAGCCTGCATGAAATGAGACCCACCCAGAGAAAGCAAAGCTGAGATATTGAGAGAAACAAGGTTCTGGGCTGGTCTTTTGAGCCCCTTAGATCCACCCATGGGCTTTTTATTGTAAGCCAAAACCACCCCTTTGTTAATTTAGGAAATTTCTAACAGCCTCAAGGGGCTGCCGGGAAGGCAATAGACGTAAAAAGACCAGCAAGTCCTCCAAAATGCCCCTCAAGCTTTCTGAAGCTCTCTCTCCTTCTCTAAAAAGGGGCGCATGAGAACCCTGCCAGAACCATGTGGGGACCACACTCTATGGTATGTGAGGGGAGCGTTTCATCCCTCCCTGCCTCTAAAGGGACAGAGCTTCCAGGAAGGCGGGCAAAGCCTGCAGGCCCCAGGAATAAAGGGCAATAAAGAGAGGGAGGGAAGTGGCTGCAGCATCTCTCAGAGTTAAAAATAGCTTCCCCAAGGAGGCCTCCCCGCCGGGATAATCCAGCCAATTATCAGCCCCTCTCTACCCTGGTGGGCACTGCCTGCCTCCTCCCTGTCCCCACGTGGGGCCATCACTCCACAGATAGGGCCTCTGCCCCAGCACCAGCCCCATGACCCTCCTTCCTCATGGGGGCAGGGCTCCAGTCCTTGGCCCGGGGCCCCTCTGAGTTGGGCCTGACTGAAATAGAAAGGTCGATCTGCCAGTTCTGACAGCAGTGTGAACTGTCCAAAACACACTGTCCCCCCAACACACACAGAGAAAAAAAGAATCAAAAGGCAGCGTGGGGCCTGTTGCACGACTCTGTTTATGTTAAGAAAAACGACAGATATATTTGCATTAGCAAAGAGAAAAATCTGGAAGTTTGGAGGCAAATTGTTGGTGGTTGTGTCCTCCTGGGACCTTTTCCTCATTCACTGTGGCACGGAGGAAAGTGTCTAAACCTGTTTCCCCAGGGCTCTGGGCTCGGACCCACCTGGTGGGATCCCAGGCCACCCATTGCAGGCGGGAGACGTGGGCAAGCACTCAGCCCAGCCTCACTGGGCCCTGAGGAAGGAGAGTCGCTTGCACTCTGGGTACGTGGGCACATTGTACGCTTTCAGGGCTGTTTGTTTGCATTTTGTATAGCAAGCATTTATTGTTTCAGCAATTTTTTTTTAAGTCAAGTTATTTGTAAATGGAATAAAGCCTGATGACCGGGCATTGGGGCCGGGAAAGGCTTCCGAGAGCTGGGAAGGCTAGAAGCCAGCCTCGAGGACCTGCCCCACAGCAAAGCCCCTGGCTCTGGGGTCTCTCGAGGCCTCCATTTCCCCACTGTCCCCTACCCTTGTGGTCAGGCTGAACTCAGAGAGCCTGAGCCCCTTCTAGCTGCACCCCCGGTGTGTCTGGTCTAGGCTTCCCGAGAAGTTTGCTGTTCTGTGCCTGGAACTGAGCAGACCCCGGGAGTGACCCTCTCGGGGCCTCTGTCTGTGAAACAGGCTTGCACTTCTGAGGGCTCAAGCCAGTCCTGTGCCCTGGACCTCAGTGTGCCAGGGTCTGGTCTTCCAAGCGGGTGGCGCCGGGGGCCCAGTGTGGGCTGGGGATGAGCCAGGGCCAAACTGGAGCAACCACCCAGGTCACCTTGGTCCTAGGAGGCCAGAGTCACAGGAGCAGGGTTCAAAGGCTTGTCAGGCCAGGGCAGCTTCCATGGGTGTCTGGCAGCTGGCCTCTGGCCCTCTGGGGCAGGGCTAGAGGGCTGGCTTGGCCTGGCCACCTGGGGTTCATTCTCAGGAACCAGCTGGGGCCAGAACTGCTCTTTATAGGAGAACCCACAGTCTAAGCAGCTCTCAGGGACAAGGACCAGGAAGGAAGGACTGCTCTTTATAGGAGAACCCACAGTCTAAGCAGCTCTCAGGGACAAGGACCAGGAAGGAAGGAGATGATTCATAGGACCCAAGCGTTTGCCTTCTCCCTCAAAGCCTCAGTCTCCTCAGCTGTAGGATGGGCGTGATGTCCCGCTGAGAGGCTCCTGCTTCACACCCAGTGCTATTTACAGTGCCCAGCGCCAGGTAGGCACTCAGATTATCCACTGGAGGAGTGAATCAGTGATGCAACCCTCCCAGGAAATGACACATGGGAGGCGACCCAGCACAGGGCTGGCGCACACTGGGTGCTCCGTGGAGAGGCCTCCTCCCAGCCTCCCCGGATGCCCCACCCTCCCAAGCCAGCCACTCGCCTCCCCTGGGCACCCACAGCCTCCTGGGCTTCCCCACCACAGCTCCCTGGGGACGCTCTTCCTCTCCGCTTCTGCTCCTTCCTCACAATGGGGGCTCCTCAAGGGCAGAGGGAGGCTCTTCCCAGCCACATGCCACCTCTGGCCCCTGCACCTTCTTTTCCACCCATGCCAGCACCATCTTCAGCCTCCGTACCAGCCTGGGGGAACCTCCCTGCCCACAACCTAAACCCTGACGTTTCAACCGCAATCTGGGAACAGCTGGTCAAGCTAAGAAGAGTCATCGCCTTTTTTTTAATCCTAGGAGTTCCACATCTAGGAATTTATCCCACGACACCTGGGGACTCATCTTTGAAACAGCAGCCACCTGCCCAGCATCCCCAAGAAGGCAACCATGACAGGGCACATGGGTGCATGGGAGCAGCCCCCAGCTGTGAAGGAGCCATGCCTAGGCTCCATGGGCCAGGGCAGCTGCCTCTGGCCTCGAGAAAGCAGCACCCAGCCCTTGGTAGGTGCTCAAGAAATATTTGTTGAGTGACTCTAATAGGAAAAGTGCTCTAAGACAAAGTAAAAGGCGCAGTACAGAAGAGAGAGTATAGTTCACTGAATGCTTAAAAGGTGGCATATGTATACACACACGCACGCGCACACACACACACACGTGTGTGTTGGTAGAATATTCTGGAAAGAGATGCCAGAAACTGGCCACCAGGAGGGCAACTGGGAGGTTAGAGGGAGGACGAGGGGCCAAGCTGTTCTCTGTAGGGCCACTGTATCTCTAGACCATCTTCAAGGATTTCATGTCCCCTCAAATTAATTAAAAAGCTGAGAGAAGAGGGAGGCTCCCCCTCCTGTGGGAGGCTGGACCGGACATCCCACCCTTCACACCTGTCCTGAACTCCTTTCTCGCAGGGTTCCTTCCCACTCCCAACTCCCCTTGGAGCTGCTGAGCAGGCCCAACCCCATCCTGTCTGTGGTGATTAATAAACACGCCATGATGGCCTGAATCTTGCAGAAGCTCCAGGGAGCCGGGTGCCTCTCCTGGGACAGCCTAGCCCTGTGTCCCTAGACCAGGAGGACTTGCTGCTGGTATGAGGGACACGTGCAAGGCTCCTCAGCAGGTCCCTAGGACCCACCTCCACACTCTTGCCCGTGCTGTCCCCTGGGTCCCGAGTGCCCATGCTACTCCCGTCTTGGCCCATTCAAATCCTCACCCTGGGTTTGGTGCAGGTCCGTGCTAAGGAATTCAGTCCCAGGGCTGGAGCAAGCCCTCTCCCAGGCTGGCCCATCCACAGTACAGGGGCAATTAGTATCTACTCCATTTAAAATCCATTAACCTACCTAGAAATGGGGATGATAAATATAGAACCCATTGTAAATCTGCAGAGCCCAGCTCAGCCCCAGGGAATGTCCCTCTGTGAACACAGAAATTGAGCAATGACCCTTTAAATGGGTCAAACATCCATTAAACCCCACTTGTGGGCCAGGCATTCTAAGGGGAACAGCACAGCCTCTGGAGTCAGACCAGCTTGGGTTCAAACCCTGACACCATCGCTCACGAGCTGTGTCACTTTGGGCAAGTCACTTAGCCTCTCTGTGCCTCAGCTTCTTCCTCTGCAAAATGAGGACCACAACAGTGGCTGCCTTGCAGGGCTGGGTGAAGGTTGCATGAGGGATGCCCTCAGCCCAGTGTCCGGTGGCTGTTGCTCATCGCTGTCATTTACTGTGTGTGGCGCTGCTGAGGCTGCTGCTGCCACTGTTCCCGGCAGAAAGCTCTAGAGCTGGGGAACACCAGGACGGAATCAGGGGTCCGTGCGTGGGAACGGGGAAGAAGTGTGGGTCAGCATCCAGCTGAAATGTGGCCTTTTCTTCCACTGTGGACTGAGATGGCAAACCCCAGCAGCATCAGCACACCTGAGGCTGTCACCAGCAGAGGCCACAGATATGTCCGCATCCCACTCTGGACTGGCAGACGCCTCCAGAGGTCTTTCACATTTGTCTCTGGGTCAAAGTTACAGGTGGGCTTAAACCTGCCATGCAATCCTATCATCAGCGCATCCGTAAGGGAAGGGAGCACACAGTTCACCCTATCGCAATCGTGCTATTTAACCATTCTAATAACTGGCTTCCTTTGGAATCTTGGGTGTTGTTGGATGCATTAAGACTCGGATTCTGCAGAGGGGTCAGGAAAGGGCCAGACCCCTCAGAAGGATGGCAGCAGGCGGCGCTGGCCACTGACCCTCTGCTCGCTCCAGCCAGTCCTGACCCTGTCACCATGGGCAGTGGGGCTTCCTCTCTCACAGCCTTGCACATCCTTCTGCACAAACTCCAGCATCTCTACCACCCTTCTAGGAGGTCAGACCAAGAAGAGGATGTCTGAGCCCTAAGCCGGGAGCCAAGTCATGGTTGGGGGTACCTCTGTCCACCTCATGTCCTTGGGAGGCCTCATGCTTTCACCACCAGAACCTCGATTTCCAAGTCTACCTTAAGAGCCCTCCCACCCCCGGCTGCAGGGGTCACTCCCTGCCCAGCCTCCTGGCTGGGTCTTGGAAGCCCTTGGCCACCCCAAAATCTCCTCCAAGCCCACCATCTCCAGCCCCCTGGAGCTGGTGTTCAGAAGTTGAGGAAGGCAAGAAGTGAAAACAAGAGCTGGGGTGGGGCCAGCCCCTCCCAGCCAGGCTCCCCAGGCCTAAGTAGAGGGAGGCAAGAGGGTAAAGAGGGTAGGGGTTGTCCACAGCAAGGGGGTCTCGAATGCCGGAGGTGGGGGGCATGGAGAAAGCAACTCCTCCTCCCATCCCCAAATTTGGCAGCTCAGCTGAATGCAGGTTCCAACACCCCCTGCCTCTTAGGGAGGCCCCCAAATCTTAGGTGTTTCAGCTCATCCCTGGGACCAGCATGCTCCATTCTCCAGGCAGCCTTTCCACCCAGATCCCCATTCCCCCAATTAGAGCACTTTTTGTCAATTTACAAATGAGGGAAACCAAGGCACGGAGCCATTAAGTCCAAGGTCACATAACTGTGAAGTGGCCAGCTACAGAGAAGATGCCCAGAGTGCCTCACTGCATTCCCTGCTGGAGGAAAGCACTGCAGGGTCCAAGTTCCCCGGCTCTCTCGTGTCTAAAAGGCCCAGCAGCACAGCCAGAATGGGAACACAGAGTCCTGGGGAGGAGAGAACAGCAAGAACAGAGAGACAGTGGCAGGAGCCAGGGAGCTGTGCTCAGTGGAACCAAGGCCTCTTGGAGGCCAAAGCTCAGCCTCTTTTCAGCACTGGTGCAGAAGAAAGAAAAATCGTCCTACAATCCCAGCAGGTCAGAGTGAGACACACTGCAGAAGAGGCCTGGCCCACGTGTGCTCCTGGGCTTCTAATGCCAACTCTTGTCTAGATCTGGCGGAGGCAGCCATCAGCTCCCTGAAGCCTCCACAGGGGAATCCAGGGGTGGATGGAAGTGGGGAGGCAGGGCTGAGTCCCCAAAGCACCCAGGAGAGGGGCTGCTATTTCCTTGCACATGGCAGCCTTGGGGAGCCAGTTAAAACTGGATCCCACAAAACGAGGAAGGTAGTGAGCACTCCATCACAGGAGGTGTACAAGTAGCCAGGACCCTCTGTCCCTGAGCAGCAGCCTTGGGTGTCTGGGTGGGGTGCTCTGGTCAGCTTGTCCTGTGTGGGCTGGGGTAGGGCGTTGGACAGCAGAGATCAGGCCCATCTAGGCGGGGCCACGAGGTCAGTCCCAGAGTTGGGCGCCATTGTCCTGGGATCTCTCCTGGGCCTTCGGCCGAGCCAGGGCTTAGACAGAAAATGGGTGCAGTGAGGGAAGCAAGATGGGGAATTTGGGGCTTTGTGTCAGCACATAGCTCCCACTGGGAGAGGCAGGCTCCCCCTCCCCCAGGCCCCCATTCCTAGGCAGGGCCCTTGCAGCCTCCCCAGTCATAGCCCCCACCCCCAGCATTGTCTGGGGAGGGCATTGGCAGCTTGAGAAAAGATTTCTATCGTTTTGCTTTTGAAACAATTTCAGTTTCCACCTGGTTGTGCCATGCAAACCCTAGGGATTCCTGCCTAGAGAAAAACTTGGATCAACAAACTGTTTCCAAATGGAAAGACAAAGTTTCAAAAGGCAGCCTGGACAGTGGCACAAGCTGGGCGGAGCCTCTGAGTGCAGCCCCTTCCTGGCTCATGCCTCTGTGTCCATCCTAGTCTCCTTGCATTTTGGAGCCTGAAGCTCAAGTCTGGGTGCTCAGGGCCCAAACGGGCCCTATCTTGTCTGCCTGGGCCGTATGTGCTCCTGGGCACCTAATGCCAGCCTTTGTCTAGATCTGATTGAGGCAGCCACCAGCTCCCTGAAGCCTCCACAGGGGGAAACCAGGGATGGATGGAAGTGGGAAGGCAGGGCTGAGTCCCCAAAGCACCCAGGAGAGGGGCTGCTGCTTGCTTGCACATGACACCCTTGGGGAGCCAGTTAAAACCCTCTGCGCTAACCCTCCCATGACCCCAGCTCAGCCGCAGTCTCCAGGCTGCCATTACCTTGAGATCTTATCTCCTGTCCGTCTTCCTCTCATACCTCCTTGTTATTCCTGAACACATCAAGTCCTGCCTACCCCAGGGCCTTTGCACTTGCTGCTCCCTCGCCTTTGCACTTGCTGCTCCCTCTGCCAAATACTCTGCCCCCAGATCTCTGCATGGCTCACTCTTCCACCACCCTCAGGTCTCTGTTCAAATGTCTCTTCTCAGGGAGATGCCTTTTCTGGAAATCTTATTTAAAATTTGCCCTCCCCACCCTCTCATCCTTTCCCCAGCACCTACCCTGTGGCTAGCACTTTCCATCCACTATCTCACCATGCGGCCCCAGCTTCCTGTGAGCCAGTTCAGATTAGGTCACCAGTTTTACCTGCAGGCCCCAGGCTGAGGCAGCAAGGCCTGCATCTGCAGGGCTGGCCTCTGCGCCACTGCCCTTGTCTGGAGCACAGGCCCTGGGAACCATGGGGCCAGCTGGAAAGGGCTCCCCTCGTCTCTGGTGAATCATGCCAGCTGCCCTCCTGCCCACATTGTCTTCCCTGTGGATGGTGCCACCAGCTGCCAGTGTAGTATGAAGGACTGTGGGCGCGTGGCTCCCCCATCTCATTCCTCTGGGGCCAAATGTAGCTGTAAACATTATATTGAAGCCCAGAGATCTTCCCAGAGGCCTCCTCCCCAAAAGGCAAGCCAGTGGGTGCTTCACAGATGCCCACACAGGGTGCCTGTCCTCAGGATATGCCTATCTATGTGGGGGAGACCCCATACTGAACAGCAAGACAGCTAAGGGCTAAGCTCACCTGAGTACAAATCTAGCCTCAACCTCTCATAAGCTATGAAACCTTGTTAAGCCATTCCATCACATTAAGACTCAGTTTTTCCATCTGTAAAATGAGAAAAGAAATATCTCCCTCAAAATGTTGTAATGAGAATTTTAAATGAGATTGATTACATAAAGCACAGACAAGGACCACAGAAAGTACTCAATAAATGATTTATTAGTATTATTATCATAATAATCCTAACCATCTGTACACCCATCCAATCATTGATTGATCCTTCCATCCATTCTTTCACCCATACACACATCCACTCATCTAGCAACACATTTGTCCATCCATCCGCTCATCCAATCATTCATTCACTCATTCATCCATCTGCACATCCATCTATCTACTTATCCATTCATTCATCCAATCATCCATCCATCCACCCATCTATTTATTCATCCATTCATCCAACCATCTGTCCACCCATCCATCTATCCATCCACTCATCCTTTCATCTATCCATCCATTGAACCACTCCTCCATCTGTTCACTCATCTATCAACCCATTCACTCATCCGTCCATCTGTCCACTCATCCATCCATCCACTCGTCCATTCATCCATCCACTTTTATCCATTCATTCATTTATACATCCACCTGTCCACTCATGCATTCATTCACTCATCCATCCACCCACCCATCCATTTATCTATCTATCTATCCATCCACTCATTCATCTGTTCACCCATTAATCCACCTACTTTTTTAGCCATTCATCTATCACCCATCCATCCCTCTAACTAACCATTCATTCACTCATCCATCCACCCACTGATCTATTCCTCCATCCACCCATCTATCCATTCATCCACTCATCCATCCATCCACCCATCCATCCATTCATCCTCTGTTCATCCACTCCTCCATCCATCTGCACATCCATCCATCCACTCATTCATTCATTCATCCAGCCATCTAACAATTCTTCCATCTATCTGTTCATCTATTCATCCATCCACCCATCTATCCATTCATCATCCATCAGTCCACTCATCCATCTACTCATCCATCTACCCATCTATCTATTCATCCATTCATCTCACCATCTGTTCACTCATCCATCTATCCATCCATTCATCCATCCACTGATTCATCTGTCCTCTCACCTTTCATCCATCCATTCACTCATACATACATCCATTCATCCATCCATCCATCCATCCATTTATCCATCCATCATCCATCCATCCATGCATCTTTTCATGCATTTGTCCACTCATCCATCCATCTTCTCCTTTATCTGTCCACTAATCTATCCATCCACTCATTCATCTATTCACCCATTCATCCATCCACTCATTTATTCATTCATCCATCATCCATCCATCCATTCATCCATTCATTCACCTATTGATCCATCCACCCATTTCTCCATCACCCACTTATCCATTTATCCACTCATCCATCCATCCATCTCTTTATTCATCTATCTACTCATGTACCTCTCCACTCATCCATCTGTCTGCTCATCCATCTGCCTATAAGTTTCCTTTCTTCGTCATTTACAGCATGGGCTTTCTCACTCATCTCTCACTTCCAGAGACTTTTCTAGCATCTGATCCCAACCCTTCTAGTACAGCTCCCCTCTCTGCCCCCCACTGCTGACACAGTCAAACTAAATGTCAAACTTAGCTGGATATTCACCTTCTACACTGGACCCAGAAGAGGCCTCAAGGCTCACATGGTAGAAGAAGAAAGAGGAGGGAGTAGGGCAGCCATCCACCCCTCAGCCCTTACTCTCCACTCCAGGCTAGCAACCTTGGAGTAGGCAGCCTGCCCTGCAGGTAATTAATCAATAAGTCAATCACTGAAGTGATATTTGTTAGGCACTCACTGGATGCCAGGCACTGTGCCCACTACTGGGGACAAGACAGTGAACAAAACAGAATCCCCACCCTTGTGCAGGTGGAGTTCTAGTTCATGAGAGAGAGAACAAACAAGCTGAGTGAGGAATTAGAGCATAATGTGTTATGGAGAAAAACAGGGGGAGGGGTTGCACTGTTAAGTTGAACCAGTTGTTTCACTGAGAAAGACCTGAAGGAGGTAGGGAGGAGCATGGGGGAACAGCACCAGGTAGAGGAAACAGCATGTGCGAAGGCCCTGAGATGGGACTGGTGTGGGGAGCTCCAGGGAAAGCCTATGTGGCTGAACAGAGGGAGCGGGGGCCAGGGGGGTGGGAGCTAGGGTGGGGTTCGGGGGGCCTCAAGGCCTTGGGGAGCCATTGCTTTTGTTTCTGGAGAGAGTGGATCCATGGGAAAGTTTGACAGAAGGGTGACCTGAGCCGATTTGGGTGTCAAAAGGCAGAGGAGAGGCCTCTGGAGCCCCCTTGGCTCCCCTGCAAGCCCTCAGGGTAGCTGGTGCTGCACTTGCACTTTTGGATGGTTCCTGGAACATGTCTGCCTCTCCCAACAACTGGAGGTGCCTAAGGCCAGAGACTGTGTCTGCATCCCCAGCACTCAGCAGGGGCTTGGCTATGAAAGGCAATGGGAAACATTTGCTGAGATGAAGGTGGGGGAGGAACAGATGATAAGAACAAGAGAATCAGTGAGCAAAGAAAAGAATGGCTAGTGAGTGACTGAGGTCACAGGCCGGGGGCTCCCTCCTTATCCTCTTCCCAGGCCTCTGGGAGCCCCACTCTCCAGCTTGTTAAATTGTATAATGCTCCCCACCCAGAGCTCTGAGGCCCCGACAGCCTCAAGCTGCAGCCCCCAGCCTCTACGGGCCTCGGGTGACAGCGCTGGAGACCTCCGCTCCTGCTGGAGGTCAGGAAGTCCTTCCATCCACTCCAGCAGCTGCATCTAGATACCTGGTCCCTAAGGCTGGGGAGGGCAGTGGGAAGGACTCCAAGGGGCCCCCAACCCTGTCTAGAGACACTGAGCTGCTGCCCCTGCCACCCCCGCAATGCCATTACAGCCACTCTCAGGAACTGCTGAGCCTCAGTAATGAGAGCTTCTCCCTCCCTGGAGGCCTCATCTTGGCCTGGGGACCAGGAAGACAATCATCATTAGAGTCTCCATTTCACAGATGGGGAAGTGGAGGACCCTGGGGCCAGTTCCCAAGCCCCTTTCAGCAATGCTTCTCTGTCCACTTCCCATTTCCCAGCCACTGTTTCATTCCTATCTGTAGCAGTGAAGACAAAAATCATGTTTTCAAAAGTTAGTTTGAAATTTAACCTTTTCAATGTGAAATAGAAACACTAATGTCCTGTTCTGCTTTGCCTCAGCTCAGGGTCACTATGTTGGGGGGCTGAGCTCTCCCCAAAGCACCTAGGGGAAAGAGTCTGATCTCTACCCCACTGCTGTGGAAACCTTCATTTCAGAATTCCTCAAGTTTAGCCCAGCCTCCGTTAACGAGATGCGCTGACCAAGTGGCCTGGCAGGAGCTGATTTACGCAGGGACCGTGCTGGGGACTCCCTGCTGGGGTGAGGTTAAACACAAGGGCTTTGCTAAAGAGGAAGAAGCAGTTGAACCAGGCCACGAAGGAAGAGACAGAAGGCTTTTCAGCCCTGAACAGAGACAAGGTGGTGGCAAAGCATAGGCAAAGGCCTGGAGGCAGGAATCTGGCTGGATGAGCATGGGGCAGGGTCATCATGGGGCAGCAGGCAGGTCACAGAAGTTCCCCCGGTGAGCTGGGGCGTCATCAGGAGGGCTGTGGGGAACTGTGGCAGGGTGGTCAGCTGGGTCCTGGCCCCGATGGAGCTGAGTGTGGGTCCTTCCTTCCCAGCACAGCCCTCTCCCTGTGCTCAGCATGATGCTCACAACCAGTCCCCTTTCTACTCAGCAAAGAGAAAGGTCTTGAAGCTTAGTGGAAATTCCCCAAGGTCTCCCCTTCCTGGAGGGCCTGTTGAGGCTCCAGCATCCTCCTGCCCAGCAAAACCTGAAGTTCTCTCACTGGTGGCTCATTGTGGGAGCGACTTGGTGGGCGGGGGCACCACAAGAGGCTTGAGGGGCAGAAGGCAGCACAAGTGAGGGGCCCACTGCTCAAAATCAGGAGAAAGAGCCCGTCCCACCCTGCCACAGTCCCGCTTCAGCACCATACACCTGTGGGCACATGCACGTGCACACATGCACACACACACATATGCACACACATACACACACACATGCAGGCGCACACTTCAGCTTCGAAAATGTCTGTGGCTCTCCCTGCACACCGCAGGCTCATTATAAAATAATTGAGCGCTTGTAACACTGTTTTTCTCCTTGAGGATCCCAATTAAGACATCACTTCATGCTCTTCCTGCCCTGAAAGCCATCTCTAATTCCCCTCCCCTCGCACGCAGGGCAGGCAGCGCTAAAAATACTGTTCCAGGCACACTCTCTTTCTGCCACGCCTTCCCCCTTCCCACGCTGACCCCACCCAGAGGTCAGGCGCCCCTGGGGAAGGAGGACCCTATCCCTCCCTTAGTGACCTGGAACAAGTGACTTCATCTAGGAAATGGGGAGAAGAATGGCATCTGTCTCATCAGGTCCTCATGAGGAACAAATAGTACATGTGTGAAGCACTTAGCACGAGTCAGGCTGGATCCAGCCCTTCACAGCCTGGAATGTTTTCCGGGTGAGATAGCTGGCTTTAGGGTGTGGCTCAGCCCAGATTGTGCGGTCCCCACTGAGCTTCCCGCCAGCCTCAAATGTCAGGGCTAAGAGCTCCTAATTCTAATTCTAATGCTGAGAGTCTGATTCTGAGGTTCACAAGATTCTGACTCCTGGCTGCTCAGACCTCAGCAGATGCAAGTCCCTCCTTTGCTACCTCCACCAGGTCGGAGCCCCCATGGTTGCTCACCAGGACTCAGGCAGTGGCCACCCCCTGCAGGCCTCCCTGCTGCCCCTGTGAGCCCCATGCACAGCCAAGGAAGTTCTGGGAGACTGGAATCAGACCTGAGCCCTCAAGGCTTGGCATAGCAGTGAGAATCTATGACCTCCCTCTGCCACCTCCCACCTCCCTCCCCCTCCCCCAGCCTCCAGGGCTTGCTAGCTTCTGTCCCCATCTCGGGGACCCTTGCACTTGCTGTCCCACTGCCTGTGACCTTCAGTCCTTGCCCTCCACTTGGTAGGCTCCTTCTCACCACCCAGGCTCAGCTCAAAGGTCTCCTGTAAGAGGCCTCCCCAAACCCTCAGACTACAACAGCCACCCCATGCCTGTCTCATGATGCCTGCTTCATCTCCTGCACAGCCCTTTCCTTCCAGAAATCGTCCCACTGATTGTTTTCTGTGTTTACTGTCCTCTCCTCTACTGGAGTGTCTCTTGCTGCTGTGCTCCAGGGCCTGGCATACAGTGAGCACTCACTGAATATCTGCTAGTGAATGAATGGATTATGTAACCAGGAGAGCCTAAGGTCTTGGCTCTCCCTCTCGAGGTCCAATACTTTGTTAGCTCAGCAAGCAAAAGTGTGTTGATTGATTGACTGAGGGGGCACAGCTCCTCCGTAAAAAGCAACTCACATACACTAGGGGAGTCAGAAATCAGCAATGCAACCCCTTCTTGGCAAAGACGACAGAGGCACCTGACTCGCTGGCCCCATGGCTTACACACCTCTCCACTAGCCATTACCACCTGCCTCAGAGATGGATGAAGCCCTTTCAGAGGGTCCAGCCACTTACACCTGCAGGGGTTCCCTTTCCTTTGTCCTCCCCAGCTCTGCAAGGGTCAGCTGCAGCCCTGCCCAGGCTGACCGGAACTTGACACGTTGACCTCGGAGGGGGCCTCTGAGGCCTGCAGGGGTTGGTGAAGGGGCAGAAGCTCTGCCGTGAAGGGCAGGTCCTGAATGGAGCCAGAGTGGGGACTGGGAAGGAGGGGCAGGGCTAATGGGCTGCTAATGGCCCTGCAGCTGGGCTCTGGTGACCCCTGGCTCCCTAGGGGCCAGAAACAGTGCTAATGGGGCTGCCCCTCCCACAGCAGGCCCTTCCCTTCTGTTCCAGATCGGCTAGGCTGTTAAGGGGTAAGTGGCAGGAGAGAGGGAAGAGTGATCAGCCCCCTCCATTATCCCCACCACCTTGGCCCTCAAGGCAGCTCAGTGAGCCCAGAAACCAGCCTAGAATGTGGGGGAGGACATCGGCACTCCATCCCCTCATTACAGGCGGGGAGCTGAGGCTGGTGCATTAATCTGGTCCTGTTCACCTTTTCCCCTCTTGTTCCCAAGTTCATGGTTCACTTCTCCTCTCTGGACTCAAGCCCATAGGCACAGGCCGCAGCTGGCAGGGAAAGCCAGGGAGGGCACAGTAGGCACAGTGCCCAGGGCCCACACAACTTCCAGGATCCGTGGTGGGAGCAGTGAGAGGAGAGACAAAATAGTTTCAGGGCCTTGAAAGCCAGCTAAGTCTGAAGTTTGGATTTGTATCTGTGAGCAATGGGAAGTGAAGAGAGGGCTTATGATGGGAAGGTCGGGATCAGATGCTAGAGAAATCTCCAGAGAAAAGAGATGACTGCAGAGGCTGATATAGTAAATAATGGAGAATGGAAACAGAGGGAATATGAGTAGATGGATGAGTGGGCAGACGGGTGAGTATATTTACAGGGAAACAGACAATTGAATGGGGTGAGCAGGAGTGCTAAGAGGGATGTAAAGATGGATGGATGGATGAGTGGATGGGTGGGTGTATAGATAGATGGATGAATTGATGGATGAATGGATGGGTGGGGGATTGGTGAGAAGGTGCATGGTTGAGTGGATGGGTAGATGAATGGTGGGTGGATGAATGAATGGATAGATAGATGAATGGATAAGTGGATGGGTGGGTGGGTAAGATGGATGGATGTGTGAGTGAGTGGACAGATAGATGAATGGGTGAATGGATGGGTGGGTGGGTAGATGGATAAATTGATGGATGAATAAATGAGTGGGTGAATGGATGGATTGGTGAATTGGTGAAAGGGTGGGTGGATGAATGAATGGGTGGATGCATGGGTGGGTAAGTGGCTGGATGAATGGATGAATGGATGGATGAATGGATGGATGGATGAATGGATGAATGGATGGATGGATGGATGAATGGAGGGATGGATGGATGGATAAGTGGGTGAGTGGGTAAATGAATAAATGGAACGTAGCTGAATAGATGGATGGATGGATGGATGGGTGGGTGGTTGGCGAGGTGAGTGAATGGAGTCAAAGGGATAGATAGATGGGCAGGGCATGAATGGGTGAGTGGATGACTAACGGAAAGATGGACAGGGGATGAATGGGTGAGTGGATGACTAACGAATTATATTTCTCTCTATTCCAGTGAAGACGTAGAATATATTTTTAGTGTTTTTGTTTTGTTTTGTTTTGTTGTGTTTTGTTTGAGATGGAGTCTCACTCTGCCGCCCAGGCTGGAGTGCAGTGGCGCAATCTCAGCTCACTGCAAGCTCCGCCCCCTGGGTTCACACCATTCTCCTGCCTCAGCCTCCCGAGTAGCTGGGACTACAGGTGCCCGCCACCACGCCCGGCTAATTTTTTGTATTTAGTGTTTTTATTTTTTATGGATAAATGGACTCATTTAGGCCAAAGTGCCCTGGGTGCTTGAAAGTCATAATGTGGCCCTGGGGAAGGCCTAGCTGCCCTCACCTGATGGCTGGTTAAGGCCCTTTGTTCTCCTCCCTCCCTCCAGCCTTCCTCAGCCTCCAGGAGGTCTCAATTTCCCCACCTCCAGGCTTTTGCCCAGGCTGTTTCTTCTGCCTTGGATACTCTTGTCAAAACTCTTCTCCCCCAGGAAGCCCTCTGGAGCTGGCTTAGGGTCTGGTCTGGATTCCCGCAGATGCTTGGTCTTCTGTTTGAAACAGCCTCTACCCAGACTGTGAGCCCGGGGAGCGGGAGACGTGGGTGGGCAGGGGTGTGGGGGAGGTGGCAGTGGTGGGGAGCCATCATCTCTCCACACAGGCAGGAGCCCTGAGAAAAGGAAAGGACGGCCTGTTACGGCCGTTTCCCAGATCCCGTCCACGTGTCAGGTCCCTCATTACCGCCTCTCACCATCCCGCTTTCCAGATGAGGACCAGCCCCAGGTCAGTAAATGGCTAGACCCTTATTCAGCAAGAGTGGCCTGAGGCTCTGGAGGGGTGGGAGGGGCCGAGGGGAAAGGCTCCTGGAGATGGAGCCCAGGACCCAGCAGCAGCAACAGGAATAATAAGGCTATTACCATAAGGGAAGTGCAGCAGCCATTGCAGCTCGTCCCTTCCCTGCTCTGTGACCTTGGAGCACAATCTTAACTTTCCTGAGCCTCAATTTTGTCATCTGAAAAATAAGGTCAGTTATCACCCAACCAGGGGTCAAGAGGGATAATAGTGAAGGACATGCAGGTCCTCGTGGCAACATCCATGACTGCGGTTGTCATGCCTCCCAAGCTGGCTTCTTGGCTCCCCTCAAATCCTGCCGGCAAGGTCAGTCTCACCACATGCCTCACAGTGGCCTCAGGTAGGCACAGGGCCTGGAAGTGGGACCTGTCTGTGGTGGGCGCAAGCACCGGCATTGGTGATGGGGGTTGAGGGTGGTGGGAATTGACAGCTGGGCCGGCTGGGGAAGGGAAAGAACTGGGAAACCAGGCCAGACACTGCAGCATTAACGCAAGGGCAACAGGACACGGCCATAACTTCACCAAATGCCCGCGAGGGGCCCTGGGCTCGGCTTGGGGGTGGGAATCCACTGTGAGAAGAGGAACCACAGTCTCGCTGGAGGTGTTGGAGGCAGGGCTGGAAAGATGGGAGCCAACTTCCATTCATTCATTCATTCATTCATTCATTCCTTTGCTGAACACCTGCTCTGGGCCAGTCCCCGATCTGGGCATTGGAGACATAACAGGGCACAAAAGAGACAAAAGCCCCTGTTCTTGTGCAGCTGATCTTCTTGTGCAGGAGACAGACAACAAAAATGGAGATGCGTAAACTTCAGAGGAGGCAGTTTCAGGCAGAGGTCAAGGTATGAAGGTCAGGGTAGCAGGGTGGCGAATGAGGCGTGAGCGGCTACTTAGCCAGGGAGGTCAGTGAGGGCCTCTCCAAAGAGGGATGTTTGACAGGAGACGTGAAAACTGGTGCAGAGATGGAAAAAGAGTGTTCCATTCTGAGTGGGGGTGGTCAGCAGGCACAAGGCTTGGAGGCAGGACAGAGCATGGCCACTCACACAGAGAGCCCAGAGAAACAGAGCGCTGGCCCCGAGTCAGGGAGAGGCTAAGCCAGATCACGGGACCCTGAGAGCCACAGCACAAGACTTGAACTTTATATTTTTGTTCTATGGGGAACAGCTGGAAGGTTTTAAGCAGGGGCAAGATGGTCTCTCTGATGGGTTTATTTTTGTTGTTGTTTTGTTTGTTTGTTTGTTTTTGAGATGGAGTCTCGCTCTGTCGCCAGGCTGGAGTGCAGTGGTGCAATCTTGGCTCACTGCAGCCTCTGCCTACCGAGTTCAAGCGATTCTTCTGCCTCAGCCTCCCAAGTAGCTGGGACTACAGGCGTGTGCCACCACAACCAGCTAATTTTTGTATTTTCAGTAGAGACAGGGTTTCACCATATTGGCTAGGCTGATCTCGAACTCCAGACCTTGTGATCTGCCCACCTCAGCCTCCCAAAGTGCTGGGATTACAGGCGTGAGCCACCGTGCCGGGCAGGTTTATTTTTTTTAATTAAGGTACTATTTACATAATGTAAAATTAACCATTTCAAAGTGAACAGGCCAGGTGCAGTGGCTCATGCCTATAATCTCAGTACTTCAGGAGGCCGAGGCAGGAGGATTGCTTGAAGCCAGGAGTTCGGGACCAGCCTAAGCAACATAACAATATTCTGTCTCTATTTTTAAAATGTATTTTTTAAAATGAATCATTTAGTGGAATTTATTATACTCATAATGTTGTGCAACCACCACCTTTATCTAGTTCCAACACATTTTCATCACCGCAACAGAAAACCCTGTCCCCATTTCCCCTCCCTTCAGCCCCTGGCAACCACCAATCTGCTTTCTGTCTCTGTGAATTTCTCTGCGAACACGCTGGCACTTTTGCCTTTGTCTTCTCCACTAGAATGTTGCTCCCCTGGGACACGGATGTTCTGGGACCTGCTTACCCCCAGTGCCCAGCACAGTGCCTGGCACACAGTAGGCACTCAGTGACCTGGTGGAATGAATGAATTTGAGAATAGTTGTCCACTGGTGTTTCCTGTGAATGAAATCCTGCATGCACGCTCTTGCGCCTGGCTGCTTTCACTCAACATGATGCTGTGAGGCTCATCCGTGTTGCAACATAGACCAGCATGTCCTTCCTTGTGATGATTGCATGATGCTCTGCTGTGTGGACAGACCGTGTTTCACTTTGCGTCCATCAGGTGACGGATGTTAGGATATCTCCACCTTTGGCGACAGTGAGCAGCCCTGTGTGAACATGGCTGTGGTGGTGCTTGTTTAGACGCCTGTCTTCATTTCTCTTGGGTGTACACACCTGTGTATGCGATCACTGGGCCATGTGGTGGCACAAATGTGCCAGTGCGTACGTGGAAAATGGGATGGAGGGAAATCAAATTGGATGCAGGGCTGAGGTGACCACACGAGCCGGGCATGCTCTTCCCACACCAGCTCTAGGACATGTTCCTCTCACAGTGGGGAGACTCGGGGCTGGAGTCTGATGCCAGGAACGGCTTGCTGGAGAGCCCCAGAGTTTGGAGCATGGTGGGCGCTCAGCCACCCCAGGAGCCAGAGAATCCCCGCTTTGAGAAGCCTGCAGGCCCCAGAAACAGATGGCTGTGTGGACTCCTGCTGCCCTCAGGTTTGTCTCACCCCCTGCAGAGGCCAAACAGGGAGAGGGACACTGGGCGGCAGAGCTGGTGGGCTTGTCCTTGGCGAGAATGAGCCAGGCCCAGCAACTCAGCAGCCTAGATGTCACAAGCACAGTCACAATAAATCAACTCTTGCTCATCCCACCGCCTCTCCCCTCCCCGCCAGGGCCATGCTGTGAGCCTCAGGTGAATTTCCTCCCCCTCTCTGAGGACCCCTGAGGTTCTGGGGTTCGAGGTAGCTCACCCTGCCGGAAATCCAGGAAGGCTGCCACCATTTCCCAGAGGCTGCTCTGTGGGCACAAAGATCTGGGGCCCGTCCTCTGACACCTGAGGTCCTCCACATCCCCTTCTGTGAAATGGGAACAAGAATCCTCCCCCGACCACCGGCCTAGGGGCTGCACTGGGGGAAATGAAAGCCCAGTTCCCCGAAACCGTGGGAGCCTGTCACATCATTGCACCTCGCTGAGCCTCAGTTTACCCAAATACTCAGTGAGATTGGACCCGTGGCTTCTCTGCCCCTCTGGCCTGTCACCCTGAGCCAGGATGAGCGCACCCCGCCCAGGCGGGGAGAAGGCCTGGATGACAGGGGAGGCGAGGCCCAGCCCAAGCCCAAAATAGCGCAGGATGGCAGGATGATGGAGGCAGTGCCGGGCAGCGGCTGGGTGGGTAATTGATTGCCCTGTGCCGGCCATGAATAAAACATCGGCCTCTGCTCCATCCGGGTTCATTATTTGCTGGGGGGACAGGCCTCGTTTATTAGGGTTGCCTCTGCTTGTCTCTTCCTCCCCCGGATGAAGAAGACCCTGCCCTTGGCCCTCCCTCCTCCCTCTCCTGACTTGGCTCCCCAGTGCCCAGAAGACAAACTGGGGCTCTGGGCAAGATGGCCTGTCCATGTCCCCTCCCACCAAGTTGGCAACCCTCTGCTCCCTAAACCCACCCTGACTTTCAGGCAGACTTTCAGGGAGCCCTGCCTTTGCCTGTGCTGTTCCATTGCCTGGAACCCTCTCTCTCTTCCTCCCCTGAGGAAATCCTTCACCCGCCCCATGGCCCAGTGAAGAAGCTCTTTCAGGAAGCTTTGCCTGTCCTCAACACCAACCTGGGGGGCAAGGGGCCCCACCCACCCTGGGCGTGGTTAGTGCTGTCCCACCCCCTGCAACAACTGACCACTGGCCTGGGGGCCCTGCTCTCCACCCCCCAAAACCATACTGCTCACTCTTAAAAGTGTAAACCAAATTCAATCTAACTGGAGGTGCCATTTTTCACCCATCAGGTTGTCAAAGACCCCAGAGTGGCATGGGGAGTGTCCCCAGACCTACTGATGACTTTGACTCACAGATAACCAGGTCCCTGAGCAAGGGTGCTGACTGCAGCCTCTCTGCATAACCAGGATGCCACCATGGGGCGGGGTGCATAATGTGTGGGGACATCCACACTGTTGAAGGGGAGACAGCCAGGAAAAAAGAAGAGGCAGCTCCATTGTCACCACATGAGACACTTCCCCAATGCATCAGGTTTGCAAAACCAAGGGTGCAGAGCAGTGTCCACACAGGCTACCTTTTCTGTTCAAAATAAGAACCACAAAAAAGGGCCCAGTCACAGAGGCTCAAGCCTGTAATCCCAAGCACTACAGGAGGCCAAGGCAGGAGGATTGATTGAGCCCAGGAGTTCGAGACCAGCATGGGTAATATAGGAAGACCCTGTCTATACAAAAAAAAAAAAAATTTAATTAGCTGGACGTGGTGGCTAATGCTTGTAGTCCTAGCAACTTAGGAGGCTGAGTCGGGAGGATCCCTTGAGCCCTGGAGTTTGAGGCTGCAGTGAGCTGTGATGGCACCACTGCACTCCAGCCTGGGTATCAAAGTGAGACTCTGTCTCAAAAAAACCAAAACCAAAAAACCAACAAAACAAAAAAGAACCACAAAAAAGATGTCATAGCAATGCTGTGTGTACGGGAGTCTCCAGCAGGACACACAAACAATCCAGCGCTGACCTCTGGAGAGAACCGAGAGGCTGGGGATGCGGCAGGGAGGGGACGTCCACTCCGTGCCTGGATTCCTGTGAACATGGGGCCGTGCACAGTGCCCACGAAAATGAAAATGAAACGTGCCAGCCTGCTGGCCAGGGACTTGTAGTGAAGCACAAACACCACGGACGTGACTGTTGCTGGTGGAGGTTGCAGCCTCTGGATGCCTCAGTGGCGCTGTTCTTGCAGCTGAGCGGAAATGCCCACAGCGTCCGCATCTGGCACGTGCCTGGGGGCCTGCAGCCTCAACAGCCTCAACCCGGAGATACTGATGGTGTGGAAAGGCGGAGACACTGATGGTGCGAAAAGGAAAGGGCGTCTGGGAGGGCCTGTGAGCTGCAGGGCAGCCATCGGGGAGGTGGAGGAGAACCGTGAGGCGTGTTTCTCCGTATGACAGATGTCACCTGAAACCACCCGGATGCTGGCCAAGGCTTTGGCCTCTTCTTGCTGCCTCTGTATTTCTGAAAATGCATCGCTAATGGGGTGAAGGGACTCACCCTCAGGCCTGCCGCCCCACCAGGCTGGGCCAGGACACCAGGCACCCGGCATTACCCCATCACAGCCCCAGGCTGCGTGTGTGTGTCTGGGCGTATCTGTATTTGCATGTCTGTGTCTCTGTATCTATGCAGGTATAGATATGTATGTCTCTATTATCTATATTTGTGTGTCCATGTATATGTGTGTGTGCCTATGCAGATGTGTCTGTATGTGTGTGCCTGTGTGTCCATGTGTGTCTGTGTGTACTGATGTGTGATTGTATGTCCCTGTGTGTCTGTATGTGATCATGTGTGTCCATGTGTGCACATGTGTCCGCGTCTGTGTGTACTCATGTGTGACTGTATGTGTCCCTGTGTGTCTGTGTTGTGCATACCCATGTGTGTCTGTGCGCACATGTACATATCTGTGTGTAGTTGTGTCTGTGTCCCTGTGCACCCTTGTGTAGCTGGGTCTGTGTCCAGCTGTGTAAGAGGCTTCAGTAGGGGAAGCTGGGCTCTGCCACAGGCCCTGATGAGAGTCAAGGCCATAAAACAAACCCTCTGAGCTCCAAACACCTGGTCCTAGGAACGGGCTGGACTTGAGAGTAAGTCAGCCCAGAGCGACTGTGAGGGCCCCAAGCCTGTGGGAACAAGAAGGAAGAGGAGTCCTGGGTCTGGGGTCCAGGCCCCTCCTCAGCCAGTACTGAGAGGGCAAGAGAGAGATCATAGCAGGCCCTGCTGACTGGGCTGATTCTCTGCCCTGGAGACTGCAGGCCAGGGGTCTCCCTCTTGGCCTCCCCTGCCACTAGGTGATGCTCAGGGCTGGGGGTAGGGACTGACCCTTCATGCCCTGGAGCTGCCTGACTGGCCCTGGCTGTGCCTGCTGCAGAAGTGGTATCAGCTGACATCATGAGGTGTGACATCACTGAGGCCTCCTCGAAGCTGAGTCTGTTACTGTGGAAGAAGCCCATCAGTCCTCGTCCTCAGGAAGCTCATGATTCAGGCAAGGAAAGAGGCCCACAGCCAGACCACTCTGATCTGTGCAGTCAGGACATGGCCACGGAATCAGGCAGGATCCAGCCAGGAAAAAGAAGCCCTCCAGTTCTCTCCAACAGAGAGAATTGCGTCTAGGGAGCTGGTCACACTGTGATAAAGGCTCTGAGAGCTAAACGGGATGAGGAGGAATCCAGGATTGAAATCAGCAGGAAGCCGCCATCCCAGGCTGGAGGCAGGGAAGAAAGCAACAGGGTCACCAGTCCCAGGGGCTGTGTTCATGCGAAGGGAGCTGGAGCCTCGGCAGGGGTGTCTGGAGCCATGGGGCTGGTGGGGGCAGGTGGCCGCTGCTAGGAGGCCATCCGAGGAGAGACATAAGGAGAGACGTGCCCCCTTCCCCCACCACCACCAAGCGCAGAAGCCTGAGGGCAAAGGATACTGGGAAATGACCTGAGGGTCAGAGCAGGGGCCCATGGGGGTGGGATGGGGCCCACCTGACAGGCTAGGATGGGAGCACAGCTAGGCCTGCAGCAGGCCCGTCCCCAGGGGCCTGCTCAAACCACAGCCTGCCACTCATCCTAGCAGGGGCCTGGTCTACAACAGGTGCTCAAAAGCATGAGTCGCACAGTGAGTGGGTGCAGAGTGGGAGATAAAGCCAGGTGGCTGGGGCCCCAGAGGGGAAGGAGAAGGAAGGGATGGACACTGGGTGTGTCCATGCCGAGACCTCAGAGGCTCTGAATGCCAGCTTGGGTTTGGCTGAAATCTGAGGGCTGGCACGTCCCCAAACATTCTCTCTCTTACCATAACTTGAAAATGAGTAAGATGTTTAGCCCTAAAGCATCAAAGCCCCTGACTGCTCTTGTTTCTGTCCTAAGCTAGACAGCCCAGTGTTCATTTCCCCCATTCTCCAGACAAGGAAACTGAGGCACAGAAACATGGAGGACCTTGACCAAGTGACGAAGTGACCTGCCCGAGATTTCAGTTAGGGGTGGCACAGCTACAGCAAGGGGCGGTGGACGCCCCCCGACCCCCGACTTTCCAAAGGTGGAGAGATTGCTGCAAACTGCCAGCAACTGGTGACAACCAGGAGAATGTGGTCAAGACCGTTCAGTGACCTTTCAGTTCTGCCTCGTTGGGTGGCAACCGTGCTTCAATCACCAGTGTTTTTCTCCAGACAGAATATAAAGAAGCAGAAACCTGTGATAACGCATGTGCCATCTGTGCCCCAACCACATCCTCTTGCCAGGGCCACAAGCCCTTGCAGGACTCAAGCAAGAGGGTGGATAAGGCAGGCCAAAGGGGTGGACACTCCTGACTCTAGGTTTCAATTTCTTAAGAAAGGCTGGAAATCAGGACTTTTTATGGAAACAAATCTTAGATTTGAAAATGCTGGCCCCTAGTTGGAATGTTTAAAGTATGTGGAATGAATCCATGGAGGCCAGGCTGAGTGCCTACAGTAGGGGCCAGGCCTGTGAGCTCTGCCAGCTCTGAAGCAACTTTCTCAAGTGCCAAGCACATGCCAACCACAGGGCATTTGCACTGCTGCTCCCTGCCTGGAAAGCTCTTCCTGCTGGCATCTTGTGACTCATCCCGCACTGTCTTCAGGCATCTGCTCAAATGTCTCCTCCAGGAGGTCTTCCCTGACCTTTTCCTTCCCATTTCGCTGGTTTATTGTGCTCACTACCACCTGACATCTCAGTGTTGTCCCGCTCCCGATGAGAACATCAGCTCCGTCGTGAGGGCAGGGTCCTTGTCTTAGGCATCCCTGGATGCACAGGGCCTGCCCAACCCAGAGCAGACACTCAGTCAACATTTGATGAATTCATGGTTTAGCACTTCAGGACCCCTGAGGCATGGCCACGGGGACACAGGGCACCCAGGACCATATGCATCACAGACGTGATGTCTGAAAGAGAAGCCAGCTGAGCAGGTTCCAGCCCTTCCCACCCCACAGACTTGCTGGGAACTTTGGGAAGCCCTGACCCTCTGGAGGCCTCAATTTCCCCACCTGTGCAGTGAGGAGGTGATACATGCCACAGTCTCAGGAGCACTCATGGGGTCCCAAGGTGGCCATCATTGCTGGCTTCCTCAGCCAAGCAGAGGGACAGATAGATTGATCAGCTCCATATTGATCGCAGGGACGCAGCTGCTCTGGAGGGGGCAGGAGGAGTGGGAAGCTGAGTGGAGCCAGGACCCCTGGAGGAAGGAAAAGCAAATGCCACAGCCCCATCAATGCCTGGGACCAGGGGGCGGGAAGGGCCGTGATCACCCATCTGAGGGTTTCTTCCCCTGTCACCTAGGGGTTCAGAGAAGCTCAAGGGAGCTCCAGGGGAGTCCAGGCCAGGGCGAGTTCTGAACATGGCAAAGAGACCTCCCCAGCGCACCCTGAGGAGGCCATCTCAAAGCTTCCCCGCTTCTAAGTCATGGAGCAGCTGAGGCCGAGGGCTGGGCCAAGGGAGTCCCAGGGGGTCCCTGCCCATTCAAGCCATGACATTTCTTGGATGCCGTTCACTGAGTCTGGAAGTGTATGCAAGGCTGGCATTCTGCTGCAGAGTCCACTTGAGGCTTGTTTTCATACAAGAGCCTCACGTCCTGCCCTGGATCTTCCAGGAAAGCCAACGCCCAACAGATAAGATGCTGGGAATGTGGCCAGCTCTCTCTGGGAGTGATATCCCCATGTGGGACATGCAGCTACAGCACAAAGAACCAGGACCTAGGGGTCCGGGGTGGGGGGAGGGGGCCTAAGGTTAAATCCCAGCTCCACTCCAACTTGTGGGGTGAAACCCTTTTCCCCTGAGAACCTTGATTTCCTCATCTGGAGCCTGTCCCTTGGGGTCCTGGGTCCCTGGCTGGAGCTCCTGGTTTTTAGGGAGGGAGGAGTAAAAAGCAGCCTTGGATTGGACCGATGGGCAGGTAGGGAGCCCAGAGGGAAGACACAGACAGGATGAGACCATGAGGACTGTTGTTAAGGCCTTGGACAGCAAGAAAACAAACCATTAAACACCAGGGACAGCAACTCAGCCATTCCGCTTCTGGGCCTCTACCCAAAAGCATCAAAACAGGTGTTCAGACAAAGCTTGTACATGAATGCTGATAACAATGCTGTTCACAGTAGCCAAGAGGTGGAAACAGCCCTGAGTCCACCCACAGATGAATGAACACACCAAGTGTGTCCACACAATGGAATGTCTTTCATCCATGACATGAAGAGGGTGGCATTCCGGCACTGGTACAACATGCACAGACTTTGAGGGCACAGAAGGACAAATGCTTAGGGTTCCATTCATATGAAATGCCCAGAACTGGCAAACCCATACAGACAGAAAGCAGCTCAGAGGCTTCCAGGGGCTCGGGGGAGGGCACACGGGGAGTGAGTGTGCCGCATTTTCACGGGATCTTCTTTTGGAGCCATGGAAACGTTTTGGAACTAGAGAGTTGTGATGACGGCAAAACATCGTGAGCAGAATGCCACTTAATTTGTACACTTTAAGAAGTGCAATTTCTGGCTGGGCGCGGTGGCTCACGCCTGTAATCCCAGCACTTTGGGAGGCCAAGGCAGGTGGATCACCTGAGGTCAGGAGTTCAAGACTAGCCTGGGCAACATGGTGAAACCCTGTCTCTACTAAAAATACAAAAATTAGCCGGGGGTGGTGGAGCTTGCCTGTAATCCCAGCTACTCGGGAGGCTGAGGCAGGAGAATCGCTTGAGCCCAGGAGGCAGAGGTTGCAGACAGCTGAGACTGCGCCACTGCACTCCAGCTTGTGCAACAGAGCAAGACTCTGTCTCAAAAAAAAAAAAAAAAAAAAAAGAAGGGCCATTTTACCTTACATGAATTTTACCTCAATAAAAACGGGGGAATCCCCAACCAGGGACACAGGAGAAACAGCAGCCCACGCAGAGACAAGGCTGAGAGGCAGGGCTCTGGATCCGGACCTGCTGGGGAGGAAAAGGACACCCATGCCCCCGGGGCTGCTGTGAGGGAGGAGCGCTGAGCACGGGGGCCCAGAAGCAGAGCAAGTGAAACATTTGCTGTGTTCATTACCATCCCCAGACCATGCTTCTGCAGGGCGGCCCATGCGGCTCAGGCTGGCTGCCCTGCCAGGGGAGGTGCCGGGCCAACCCAGGCCATGCCTGTGGCCACAGCCCCAGCAGTGGCCAAGAGCAGAGCCAGAGTGGGGAGTCAGGTGGGGTCGGCCCTCCCTCCCTGGCTAGTTCATGTCTCCTCCCTGGTCCTCACCTACCTCTGGGAAGGGGATAGAGACCAGTCCTCTAGGAAGCTTCCAGCACCAGAATCTTTCTGCACCTGGAGTCTCTGGGGAAGACAATCAATCAATCAATCTATGGATCTACCCACAGGACCAATGGAGAGGGAGGCAGAATGGTGCATTGGGTAAGCAGTGGTGATTAAGCTGACAGACAGGGGTTCAAATCCCAGCTCTTCCACCTCCCAGCCCTCCACCCTCAGGCCCCAGCTGCCCTAGCCAGCCTTTCCGTGCCTCAGTTTACCCACCTGTAAAATTCAGGTAGTAATCGCCACTACCCCGTAGGGTATTGTGAAGATGGAATGAGTCTGTGAGAACAACGCCTGGCTCATGGTGTGGGCTCCAGAGGTATGACCACTGTTGTGTCTAATTCTCACTGTTGAGAATTAGAACAACAAACTGTTATCCAGGTAAGGGGAGAAAGAAGCCCTGCCCAGAATTGGCCAGAACGTGAAGAGTACATGGGCTAATGCCACCAGCTCTGCTCCCTCCTAAGAAGCTGTGCTGAGCTCGGTGTCCGGAGTGGAGACCCAGAGGAGAGGCCAGGAGAGAGGCAGCTCGGGAGAGGACCGAGGAGGTGCCCCCACACTCGCTCGCACACTCACAAACTCACTCACACACACTGAGAGTCACACACTCACACAGAGACACAGAATCACACACAGAGTCACACATACTCATAGTTACACAATCACAGTTACACACTTACACACACTCACATTCTCACAAAGAGTCACACACTCACTCGCACCTGCTGAGGAAGAGTGCTGAGTGGTCGGGGTGCGCTGGCCACGCACAGGGGCAGCCTCAGCCCCAGCAGCCACACTTGATGAATTTTGCATCACCTTGGCTATGAATAGCTTCCTCCTCGGCAGCGAGACAGACAGACAGTTCAAAGGGAGGAAAAGGGCCCGAGGAGGGAGAGGGAGGGCAGAATGCACCCCGAATCCCTAACTCAGCTCGGGAGGACAGCAGGGCGAGGCGAGGACGCAGAGGGTGGGCAGGGCCTCCCACTCCCACAGGGCTGCGTGCATTTCCAGAGGCGGCAGGTGAGGCTGCAAGGGGCCTCCCGCAGGGCCCTGGCAGCCCCGTTATGCTTCCAAGATCAGGCCCAGAAGGATGCAGCTGAGACAGGAGGGCATCAGGGAGCCCAGGCAGCACGTGGGCCACCTGCAGACCCCCATTCCCCAAGACTGGGGCTTCAAGGCCATTTCTTAGATGGGCACCCTGAGGCCTGGGAAGATCATTGTCCCATCAGAGACTGCACACAGCAGCCTGGGCCTGGGGTGAATGCTGAAGGACCAGGTGAGCCGACAGGCAGGGCCACAGGGGGGTCTGGGGGCATGGCTACGCTGAGGGTGGCAAGGGGACCTCTGCAGCCTCTGGCTGGGGAACCTGGCTTCCAACCCCAGCTCTACCCCTTCCCATCTGAGCAGCCCTGGGCAAGACACTTCACCTCTCTGTGCCTGTTTCCCCAGTAATTAACTCATAATAATGAAAGTACCCCACTTACTAGGTGGTGGTCAAGGTGCAGCCTCTGGGTCCCTGTGGCTCACCAGCTGTGGAACTTTGCCTCTCAGCTCAGTTTTGCCATCTGCAGAATGGGCTGCTGCTGTTCCCTGCCCTGTCAGTTAGGCATAAAGCATTGAGAACAAGCCCTGCACAGCATGAGGACCACACGAGATTTGTCAGCACTGCCAGCTTCTTGGCCAGTGACACCCATAAACAGAGAGTCCCTTCTGGGCAGGCCCTCCCTGCCACCAAGGGGGCATCCCCAAGGGTTCGAGCCACATGCCTCATCCTGCCAGGCTGGCCAGCCTTGGCTGAGGCCCACGCAATGAGCAACCAGGCCAGGGAGCTCAGTGAGGGGACACCAGGTTGGTGTGTGGGTAGACGCCGAGCAGTCAGTCATGTAAGCCTGGCTGTCCTCTCTGCCGGACTTGGGTGAGCGGGTCCTACCTCAAGGCTATCTCTTGTAAACTGTGGGGATGTCCCAGCTGCCCACTGCCTCGCCAGAGACCCAGTGCCAGCACTACAGCCCCAGGGCCCCAGCAGAGTGGTGACAGCGGCTGCACCAGGCACCTACTGCATGCAGGCTGTCTCCTAAGTGCTTTGTGTGCATTAACAATTAATCTTCAAACCCATTATCTGGGGCAGGTGCCGTTAGCATCTCTACTTTACAGACAGAGAAACAGAGGCCCAGGGAGCTAAGGGAACATGCACGGGACGTGGGACCCCACCTTCATTCCTCTGTCCTCGGTGGCACCTGGCATTTCTGATCCTGGCTCTTCTATTCCAGTGCTGGGGCATCAGGGTGGGCCCTTTCCTCTCTCTGGCCTTGGTTTCCCTAGCAGTGAAGGGTCCAGGTGCATAGAGTCTAATCCCTGGCCCTTCTACTTGCTGGCCTAGAAAGTGAGTCTTTCACCCTCTCTGTGCTTCTGTTTTCTCCCCTGTAAAATGGAAATGGGAACGGCCCCTGCCTCCCAGGAGTAAGCTCCTAGGGCAGTGCCTGGCACTTAGTAAGTGCTCAGGAAGTGGCAGCCACGCTGTTATTATTGCTATTGCTGTTGCTGCTGTAAAGTGAGTACTCCCTAAGACCCCTGACCAGAGGATGGGGGTGTCCAAACATCCAGGTTCCCAGAGAGGCCCAGGAGGTGGCCTGTGCCCAGAGCCCAAGGCAGCTGCAGGAGCTCAAGGCCTCCCAGAGTGGAGAGAGCTGCATCCCGGTCAGCCTCCCTCTGTTCCTCCCCACAGCCTTCCACCTGCCGAGCCTACCTCCATGGCGTCTCTGCTCTTCCCTCTGGCCACATCAGAAGAGACCACAAGGAAGCAAAGATTCAGAGAGTGAACTTTCTCACAGGGACCATCCCAAAGATGCCCACACTGGCCTCTTACAGCCCCGCTCTCCCGGCAGGGCCTGGAGCCCAGAGGGTTCCCAGCCCAGCAGCTAAGAACGAGGACTCTTCAGAGTCCCAACTGCTGTGACCCATTCCTGGCTCTGCTGCCTACCTGCTGTGTGACCTTGGGCAGGTTGCTTTGCCTCTCTGTGCCCTAGTTTCCCCATCTCCAAGACCTTAGGTGATAGCAGCCGTAGGTGGGGTGGTTGTGGAGATTCAGGGCCATGACATAGACAAAGCAGTTAGCCTGGTACCCACTGGGCTCCTGAGCCTGGTACCCACTGGCTCCTGAGGCTGCCAACTTGCTGAAGACAGCAGGGCTGCTGGCATCGGACATTCCCAGGGCTGCATCTTTACTCATTGTGTGATCTGGGCAATCCACTTCACCTTTCCATGCCTTGATTTCCTCATCTGTGAAACAGGCTTAATAACACCTATTTGGGGACATGATGAGGATTCAAAGAGGCAAGGCCAGGACAGTGCCTGGCAAACGTTGCTGTCCCTGTGACTGCTGCTGCTGCCATTGTCACTCCTGCCATCCAGAAGACACCCACAGTGTCTGTGGCTTCCTCTGGGGCAGGCCCCACCCTGGAAGACATTGGAGGCTTCCTCTCCAGGTGACAAGGAAAAGCTGAAGGCTGCATCTCCTTTGTTTTCTTCCCAGCAAGACTGACATGCGACAAACACATCAGAAGGGAAAGAAAGGTCGTGAGCCCTGGGCGGCAAAGCCAGGGCAGAACAGGGGCTAGGGAACAAGTGGTTCCCACAAAGTAGGTCCTGACTCTGGATCCCAGAATGTATCCCCTGGAAACCCTTTAGGCATTTGTGTCTGGTCCAGCCTCTGTGCCCAAGCCTCAGCCACCTGCCTCCCCAAGCTCACCTGCACACACACACCTCCGTGTTGGGGCCTGAGCCTCATTGGCTCACTTGGGAGTGTCTCACTTACTGAGTCCATCAGGGTCAAAGCCAGTTGGCTCAAGACAGATGCCAAAGGCCAGGTATACTTGGATCCCAATCTGAGAGCTTGTTAGGCTGCATAACCTCACCAACTCTGAGCCTTAGCAAACAACACAAAGCTGACAAGACCATCATGAACACCACTGGGAAAGAATCAGTGCAGAATCAAGGGTAGCTCCAGTCCCCTGCAGCCACAGGACACTTCACAACCCCTTTAGAGTTTATTCCCCACATACATACCACCCCGTGACCCCCATGACCTCTTTTTTTTTTTGGAGATGGAGTCTCACTCTTGTCGCCCAGGCTGGAGTGCAGTGGCGCGATCTTGGCTCACTGCAATCTCTGCCTTCTGTGTTCAGCGATTCTCCTGCCTCAGCCTCTTAAGTAGCTGGGATTACAGGCAGCCACCACCACACCCGGCTAATTTTTGTATTTTTAGTAAAGACAGTGTTTCACCATCTTGGCCAGGCTGGTCTGGACCTCCTGACCTCAGGTGATCTGCCCATTTTGGCCTCCCAAAGTGCTGGGATTACAGGCATGAGCCACTGCGCCCGGCCAACCCTTTTGTCTGTTAAGCCAAACTTTCCATTGGCTTCTAGCACCTTGTATGTGCTCCTGTCTGACTGTGTCTGTGTCCTCCATCAGAGCTCCTGGGAAGGAGACACCAAGTCAGATTTCTCCCTGTGGTCCCAGCACTACCCAGCATAAGGCCTGCATATCAGAGCCAGGGGAAGGGGCGGTGCTCAGAAAACGTTATTGATATAACTCAAGATTGATTTCACTACATCTAAATTGCAAATACGGCTGCAAATTATTTGCAGCAACTTCCACGAAGAAAGGACTCTGTCTCCCCTCCCTCAAGTCATGTGATTGCCATGCCAGTAGAAGGCAGAGCAATGCTGTGCCAGTTCTGAGACTAGGTGTCAAGGGGCCTTGCCCCTTCCACTCTTGTGCTGGGGACTCCTCTGCCACCTATGACCCAGCCAGGACTAGCCCACTGGGGAGTGAGAGGGCCCCTAAATCACCAGGCCCACATGTCCCAGCTGAGGCCACAGACAGTGACCAAGTGGCTGAGAGCAGCTGAGCCCAACAAACAACCGTGAGCTAATTAAAATTGTTGTTGTTTTCTACCCCTGAGTTTAGGAGCTGTTTGTTATGGCACAATACCTAACTGATACACACCATAACCCCATTTCACAGGGAGGAGATTGAGCTTTCAAGGGGGCAGAACTCAAGGCCTCATCTCCATCAGGGGCTGCAGCAGTGAATTAAAAGTACACACCCAGCTGGGCGCAGTGGCTCACGCCTGTAATCCCAGCACTTTGGGAGGCTGAGGCGGGCGGATCACGAGGTCAGAAGTTCAAGACCATCCTGGCCAACATGGTGAAACCCCATCTCTACTGAAAATACAAAAATTAGCTGGGCGTGGTGATGGGTGCCTATAATCCCAGCTACTCGGGTGGCTGAGGGAGGAGAATGGCTTGAATCCGGGAGCCGGAGGTGGCAGTAAGCCGAGATCATGCTACTGCACTCCAGCCTGGTAACAGAGCAAGACATTGCCCCCACCCCACACACACACACACAAAAAAGTACGTGCCCAGGCCGGGCACAGTGGCTCACGCCTGTAACCCCAGCACTTTGGGAGGCCGATGTGGGTGGATCACCTGAAGTCAGGAGTTTGAGACCAGCCTGGCCAACATGGTGAAAACCCGTCTCTACTAAAAATACAAAAATATTAGCTTGGTGTGGTGGCGCATGCCTGTAATCCCAGCTACTCAGGAGGCTGAGGCAGGAGAATCACTTGAACATGGGAGGCGGGGGTTGCAGTGAGCCGAGATTGCGCCACTGCACTCCAGCCTGGGCAACAGAGGGAGACTCCGTCTCAAAAAAAAAAAAGCGCAACCCCAGAGGATGGGTAGCTGTGACCGTTTCTGCCAGCACTCTTGGTTGCATCATTAAAAGCCTCATTAATAAAGACGTATTGTTGCAGATAAAGCTCAGACCACGGGTACCTTCTAATTGCTCCTGACATTTTTGCACTGGCTGTTCGTTGATCCAGCTGGCAGCCTGGCCCCCACCAGAAAGTGTAAAAGGGCCAGCCAGCATCAGCCTCTTCCCCGAGACGGAGCCACAGGGAGGGAGGCTTCTCCTTTGCCCAGGAAGCCAGCTGTGCCCTGGATGGTGGCAGAGGGGAGGGAGCAGAGGGGAGGTCGGAGCTAGTTTGGCTTCCCCTGTGCACCCTGCAGCCCCAGCCACACCAGGCTCGGCATTTTCCACTCATGCCTCTGCAACTGCTATTCTTTCTGCCTGGTGCACCATTCCCTCTTTCCTTGCTAGACCAGGTCCAACTCATATGCAGCCTCAAGGCCCCTCCAAGTAAATTGCTTTGTTGCCCCCACTGTCTGTCCCCTAGTTCCAGAAAAAACCCACCTCCTCTGCAAGGCTTCCCAAACCACTCAGCCCAAGACTGAAAGCTCCCCATTTCTCTCCACGAGTGCCCCTTGACTGTCATTGTGGCTGCTTGTTTCTTTGATGTCTGTTGGCTCCACCAGACTGAGTTTGGTGAGGGCGGGCTGTGGGCACGGTGGCATCTACAGAGCAGAGTCCGCCCACCAAGGGGCTCTGTGGACACGGGTGGGATGAGTGCGTGAGTAAATGAATAAACAGCCGAACAAGCGAACTCACTCACTCACCATCCTGAGGCTCACAAGCAGGAGTGGAGGCAGAGATCAGTAGATAAGCGACGAGGGGCCTGAGGCCCCCACAGGCAGTGGGACCCAGCATCCCAGGAACACAGAAGCCAATGACCCAGCCGTGGCGCCAGAGGCCAGCCTTGCTGGAAGAGGGCTCCTGGGCTCAGATCTGTGCTCCCTGCTAGCCCCACTTGTGAGCCTCGCACTGGTTACTTTCCTCTCTGTGCCTTGGTTTCCCAACCACAAGGTGAAGGTGATGGTAGCTGCTTAGGCAATAATTGTGGAGCTCATTGTGGGTTGGTATAGAAAGTTGGTGGACCGGAGCTGGCTGTGCCAATGTTGGTCATTGTTTTTGAGTATTTGCCATGAGCAGATGCTGGGCTCACACTGGCCCCAGGAGACAGTGCTAGGATGCCCATTTTGTAGGTGAGGAAACTGAGGCACAGAGAAGTAAAGTAACTGGCCCAAGGTTACACAGCTGGTAAGAGGCAGAGCCAGGGTTCGAACTGAACCCTCTCTCCACAGCCCAGGTGCTGGAGGGAGAGACAGGAGGGGCATTGGCAGGAGGGGTACTGGCTTCCTGCCCATTGCCCCTCTCCCCCTCCCATATGAACCATCAGTGACAAGGGGGATGGTGGGCAAGAGGCCTGCTCAACCGGGATGCTGAACACTGCTGCCCAGCAGCCCAGCCATTCATCTTCACTGACCACACAGATGCCAGAGCCAGCCTCTTAGCTCACAGCCAGCAAGGTTAAAAATACACCCAAACCATGTTTCCATTGACTTGGCCCTGAGTTACGGCCTAGGGCCTGTGGCTGCCTCCAGCTCAGATTCCGGAGGCTGGGCGTGCCAGGCTGGCCGAGGCCACCTCCCGGCCAGAGGGACCAGCTCACCTTCCTGGCCTATGAAAGGGGCTGACCCGCCCCTCCCTGCAGGCTCATGGGAGCATTTCCCAGACACCAGGCCTACAAGAGGCTCCTCCAGCCCTGACCCTGTGGCCAGCAGGGAGCTGGCCAGGCCGAGTGTGATTCAGGAGAGGAAGAACGGACTTTGGAATTTGCTGTCGTGTCAGTTCCTCCTCCTCAGCTGGGAAGACCTAAAGAGGGGCCCGGATGCGGAGACAAAATCAGAGCCAGAGGGGCCCAGGAGACCCCAGAGAGGGCACCGAGCTTTCTGAAGCCCTCAGGGTGGGACTGAAGAGCCCGCGTGCTGGTGGGTGCATGGGTGAGTTCTCTCCCATTCCCCCTCCCGGTGAAGAAAGTGGAGGTGCTGCGGTCACCCAGGCCTCCTCTAATGCCTCTCCCCCTCCACACACACACACACACACACACACACACACACACACACACACACACACACTGGTTCCTTATCTACTTGCAGGTGCTGCCCTGGGCAGATGCCTTTGTCACCTCCTCAACTGACATCTCCCTTCTCCCCATTAACAGAAGCCAGACCTCATCCAGCGAGGGGTCAGTGGCGCAACCTCCAGAACTGGGCTGTCCTCTGCAGCAGCCTCTCACCACACATTCACACTTAAACAAATGAAAATGACCTTTAGTAAGAATTCCACTCCTCCATCAAATGAGTCACATTCTGGGTGCTCAATGGCCACCTGTGGCTGGTGGCTGTCATTTGGACAGCACAGATCTGGAACATTCCCATCAACACAGAGAGCTCTGTTGCACAGCTCAGCTCTGGAGGATGAATCCTGACTGGGCCAAACCAGTCAGGGAATCCCACTCCCCATGGCAAGTGGGGGGTCTGTGGCTGCCTCCTGATGTACTTCTGAACAACGATGAAACATAAGGGAAGGCTGGGAGAGATGGACCTCCTGGTATAAAGAGATAGACGTGAGAGGAGCAGACTCTTAACACATTGGCTGACCCCCTTGCCTCCAGCCTTTGAAAGCTGTGAGATGATGCAATGACTGGAGATGAGGCAGCCATCTTGCAACTATGAGGCAAAAAGCCTAAGAACAAAAACCAACACACACAGGATGGAAGGAACCTGGAGCTCCACCAAGCTATGGAACTAACTGCCTCTGCAGTTTTCTTTCTATGAATCCAATGACTTTATTACTAAGCCACTGTAGTTGAGGAATTCTGTCACCTGCTGCTGAATACTCTCTGATAAAACTACAAACCAATACCCACATTTGGCTCTTAGGCCTTTAGGTGAACTTTTCCCTCTTAGTGAAATTCTCCCCTTCTCATTTCTGTTCAGTCTATCCATGTGTTAGGGCCCAGATCAAAGGCTGCCTCCCCCAGGAAGCCTTCCTTGAACATCTCCCACAAATCTGGAAGCGATCACTCCCTCCTCTGCCTTAGAATTGGTCTCTGTCTTCCAACCCGCAGCACCAGTGAGGGCAGGGTTTACACCTGTCTTCATGGAGAGTGCCCCAGGCCCTTAGAAACATGCACACCAAGTAACAGGGGCTCAACTGATATTTGGTGAATAAAAGAATAGCTTTATTTCAGCCTCCTCACCATGCCCTGTACGATAGGGTTTATACAAAAGCTTGTGAAATGGAGCAAGTTTCTCATGGCTCTCAGAAGTGGGGAAATCAAAGCAGACCACCTGCCCAGACCTCACACCACACACCCATGTACCTTCCTGGACAATTGAGGAGTCAAATGGAGATGCAAGGGGGAAAATTTTAATTCTATGCAAAGCCCATTGACAGATGAATGAATAAGATGTGGTTGATACCCACGGTGGAATAAGATTCAGCCTTAAAAAGGAAGAACACTCTGATACGTGCTGCCACATGGTGAATCTTGAGGACATTACGCTAAGGCATGAAAGGACAAACATGACTCCACTTATATGAGGTCCTCAACTTGTCAAATTCAGAGAGACAGAGAGTAGAATGGTGGTTGCCCGGGGATGGGGGAGAGATGAGAAGTTGTTTAATGAGGACAGAGTTTCAGTTTTGCAAGATGAAAAGAATTCTGGAGATGGATGGTGGTGATGACTGCATGCACAACAATGTGAACGCGCTTAATGCCGCTGAACTGTGCACTTAAAAATGGTTAAGATGGTAGATTTTATATTATGTGAATCTTACCACAATTAAAAATTTGCTTAAATGCTATGTGGAACTGTGATATTGTTAAATATACGTTTGGTCTTCTTCCCTTTTCCTGGCATACAACTCCTGAAATCCTTGGAATCTCCAAAGTGATGTCTTCTTGCATGTGAATGATTCACTGAGGGCTGGCAGCCCCTAAGTAGCTTCAGGATAGGGCTGGTCAGAGGAAAGACCAAGGCAGGATCAGTCCTGGGAAGAGGAGAGAGAACTGACGGTTAAGTTGATCACCAGTGACATTGCAATCATATCATATTACAATCAATCGTATCTCCATAATGAAGCCTCCGTAACAACATAAAGGGACAGATTCAGGGAGCTGAACACATGAAGGTTCCTAGAGGGCGGTGCTTCCCAGGGAGGGCATGGAAGTTCCACACCCCTTCCCCATAACTTACCCTATGCATCCCTTCAGCTGTCTCCTTTGACGTATCTCTTGTGATAAACCAGTAAATATAAGTAAGTGTCTCCCTAAGTTCCGTGAGCCACTCTAGCAAGTTAAACCCAAGGATGTGGCCATGGGAACCCCAATTTCAAGCTAGTTGGCCAGAAGCAGAGGTGAAACAACCTGGGGCTTTTGATTGACATTGGAAGTTGGGGAGCAGTCTTGGGGATTGAGCCCTTGCTACCACACTGGACTGGGGTCTGCTTGCCAAGTGCAGTAAAGCCAAACATCCACACTGAGGTTTTGCAGCAGGAGAAGAGAGGGCACTTATTTGCAGGGCACCAAGCAAGGAGAATGGGGACAGCTCATACTTGAGACCCAACCTCCCCAGTGGCTTACAAACAAGGCTTCTTAAAGACAGGGGTACATTTCAGGAAAGCAGAAGTTACAAGTACAATCATAAATCAATATACAGGGGCTACACATTGGTTTGGCCTAAAAACGTGGGATGTCTTGAAGTGGGTGCACTTCTGGGTCATAGGTAGATTCAAAGACTCTCTGATTTGCCATTGATTAAGGAATCTAGACTTTGTCTAAAAACTTGGGGTCAGCAGAAAGGAATGTTAAGGTCTGGCCTGTGGATGTGGCTTCTTTCAGGCCCCTCAGGAAGAAATGTAGATCAAAGAACAGCAAGAGGTCAGAGTTCAGTGCTCAGCTCCCCGTTCTCTGGAGTCTATGTGCCAGCAGACTCCATGTGGTGGGGGTCCAGGTTTTTGAAAAGCTCAGGGTCGGTGGCCGGTTAGCTCAGTTGGTTAGAGTGTGGTGCTGAAAAACAACTCAGGGACATACGTGAAGATCTTATCTTCAGTTTCTATAGGGAACCAAACATCTGACTCTAACTTCCTTGGCTATTGTTTTATGTTACTATTACCTTCTTGCTTATCAAGCTGCTCATTTACTTCTCAGGCCTAGCTGGGTACCTGGAAGTTCCCCTGAAAGGACTCAAGATTTTCCTTTATCTCCTTGTGTGGGGTAGGGTGGCAGTGCTGGTGTCCCCTTAAGAGGGAGGGGTCTCTGCTCTGTCCCCTCCTCAGCCTGTGGTCCGATGTTGTCTTCAGATCGATGGTGTCAGAACCCAGCTGGTGTCTGCTGCAGAAGTGCTTGCTTGCTGGTGGGGAACAATCCCCCTACATTTGGTCAGTGTTCTGTGTTGATTGTTGAGTGATAGGATAGAAAAAGCACTTTGGTTTGGGTTTTTCTATACCCACAGAGAAAGATACATATTCAAAGAGTTTGTAAAATGACGGGATACAGTTTAGACCAGAATGACTCCAATAGGCCCACCACCCGCCTGAAGAAACAGCATTCCAGTCCCGTGGAGGCCCCGAGTGTCCCCACCCAGCTTCATCTCCCTCTCCTCTCAAAAAAACTCCCTTGCTTTTTACAGTTCTGAAGGTGTATTCTTAAACAATATACAGTTCAATTTTACTTGGTTTTAACCTCTACATAAATGTAACAGAGAAAACACTAAATCTCTTCTGTGGCTTCCTCTTCTGCCTGGGTATCTTGGGGTGAGCATTTTTATTATTATCTGTTAAACTTGCATGTGTGCCATGTTCTCTTTGGCGTGTCTCATACACTTAACAGTTACAAATAAATACATACAGTGCCAAATGTAAAGTTCAAAGTCTTAAAAAAAAATAAAGCAGTTTAGGCCAGGCGCGGTGGCTTATGCCTGTAATCCCAGCACTTTGGGAGGCCGAGGCGGGTGGATCACGAGGTCAGGAGATCGAGACCATCCTGACTAACACGGTGAAACCCCGCCTCTACTAAAAATACAAAAAATTAGCTGGGTGCGGTGGCGGGTGCCTGTAGTCCCAGCAACTTCACAGGCTGAGGCAGGAGAATGGCGTGAACCCGGGAGGCAGAGCTTGCAGTGAGCCGACATCGCGCCACTGCACCCCAGCCTGGGCGACAGAGTGAGACCCCATCTCAAAATAAATAAATAAATAAATAAATAAATAAATAAATAAATAAATAAATAAAATAAAGCAGTTTAAGTGACTGTTTTCATGCTCTTCAGATGAGGAAGCCCTGTCCAAGCATATCACCAAAGACAAGCCGAAAAGAATAGACTGACACGTTTGATGACAAAATAGCTTAAAAAGCCTGTGGATTAAAAAACTCCTGAAGCAGAGTAGGATGGGCAAAACAAAAACTGTGAAAATAAGGCCCTGGAAAGATGAATATCCTTACTACATGACGAGGCCCTTTCCAAATCAGACAGGAAAGGGGTGACAAGCCCCTCACTCTGGTTCTAATGGAAGTTGGTTCAACAGTTTAAGAGGGCATTGTATATCAAAAGGTGAAAGAAAAGTTCACCCTTTAACCGCATTTTTAGGAATTTTGCTTCAGGAAATAGCCCGAGATGTGCACTAAAATTCCTTTACAAGATGCCCTTCACAGTCACACCTCAAACCAGGGAGCAAAATGGAAGTGACCTAAATGTGAAACAATACGGCATGGTTTAAACTATCCAAACTATTGAAATCATTTTCCAAAAAAAATCTTTCTGGCCTGGAGCAGCGGCTCACGCCTATAATCCCAGCATTTTGGGAGGCCAAGGAGGGTGGATCACAAGGTCAGGAGATTGAGACCATCCCGGCTAACACGGTGAAACCCCGTCTCTACTAAAAATACAAAAAATTAGCCGGGCGTGGTGGCGGGCGCCTGTAGTCCCAGCTACTGGAGAGGCTGAGGCAGGAGAATGGCTGAACCCAGGAGGCGGAGGTTGCAGTGAGCCGAGATTGCGCCACTGCACTCCAGCCTGGGTGACAGAGCGAGACTCCATCTCAAAGAAAAAAGAAAAAAAAGGAAAAAAAAAGTCTTTCCTTAAGTTGCAAAATAATGATGTTATCGTAGCTTCCTGAAGAAGAAGGTAGTACTCCGATAGATTGCTGATTAGAATAAAACATGGTACAGCCACTCTGGAAAACATTTTGGCAGCCTTTCCTAAAGTCGAATCTACATTTATCACAGAACCCAGAAATTCTATTCTCAGCTATTTACCCAAGAGAAATGAAAACATGTGATCACACAAAACCTGTACACAAATGTTCATAGCGTCTTAATCCACAATAGCCCAAAACTGGAAACAACCCAAGCGTCCCTCAACTGCTGAATGGGCAATAAACAAACCATGGCACATCCATACCATGAAATACGACTCAGCAATAAAAAGGAATGGACTTTTGGCTCAATCTCAAAAGCATTATGTTCCATTTATACGGCATTCTGGAAAAGGTAAAACTCTAGTGGCAGAAAACAAATCCATGTTTAGTGAGGGGGTGGGAGGGGTGGGGTGGGAATGGAAGTCAACCGCAAATGTGCAGGTGAGGTCTCTGGGTTGTGAAGGAAGGGGCCTAGGCAGGGGTTACACAGCTGTCTCCATTTATCAAACTGACACTTCTAGTTGGTGAATTTTAAAGTCTATAAATTATGCCTCAATTAAGCTGATTCTTTAACAGTTTTTTAAAGCATGTTATAAAATAACATGGTTGGGCCGGGCACAGTGGCTCACACCTGTAATCCCAGCACTTTGGGAGGCCAAGGCAGGTGGATCACCTGAGGTCAGGAGTTCGAGACCAGGCTGGCCAACATGGTGAAACCCCGTCTCTACTAAAAATACAAAAATTAGCCAGACATGGTGGCAGGCGCCTGTAATCCCAGCTACTGGGGAGGCTGAAGCAGAAGAATCGCTTGAACCCGGGAGGCGGAGGTTGCAGTGAGCCAAGATGGCGCCACTGCACTCCAGCCTGGGGGACAAGAGTGAGACTTCATCTCAAAAATAAAATAAAATAAATAAAATAACATGATTGGTTCGGTCTCAATTTTGTGTAAAAAAGAAGTATACACCTGTGTTAGGACAGATTAAGACAAGCTGTGGTAACAAAACCCCTCAATCTTGATGGCTTAAGCAAACTAAGGTTCATTTCCTCATCATGTCCCAGTCTAAGATAAATTGGATAATGTCTAAGGCAGCTCTGCTCCACACAGTGACACTGGCATCCAAGCAGCATCCATCCTGCGGTTCCATCCTCTCAATATGACTTCCACAGTTACTGCCAACAAGAGAGGAGGATGTGAGAAGGCCCCAACTCTTAACTGTCTCCACTGCGGTTGGTGCAGGTCCCCGCTGCATCCGCCATCTGCCAGGATGAGTCACGTGGCCTCAACTCAACAGGCAGGGAGGCTGGGAAAGGAAGGAGACCATGGATATGTAGCGAGTGCTGGTTGTCTCTGCTGTAATATTTCCTTACAGTCACCAGATAACTCTTGCTCCATTTTTCCTATACAGAGAACACACCCCTCTTCCCTAAGGGAAAGAAACCTGTCCCACCCAGCACTGCCTCCAGCTCAGGGTGATGTGCAGGTCTATGTCTGTGAGGGTCCTCTTGTCCAGGGCCTTCTCAACTAAAATGACAAGTTACTTACCCTTCTCCACACCCCCCAGTATACTCCGGTGGATACCACGGGCATCCTTCCCACCTAGAGCCTGTGCAGACATGTAAAGATTCATAGTGACTTTGAGAGCCCACCGGTCAGTCTGTGGGCAGCCCCTACCTTGAGGATGAGGATGGGCCTTTCATCAGGCCCTGATGCTTCTCAGGGGAGAAACTCCCTTGTCCAGTGTCCTCCAGGGCCCTTCATTCTGCCTTTTGGGTTGTTCTCTTTCTGCCTGTTTCCTTTTTCTTCTTATCCCTATCTGGGTGAGATTTCCCACTTTCTCAGTCCACTGCCTCTCTCCTAGAAGGCCAAAGGTCCTAATGTCATTTAATCCCTTTTTAAGTTTCAAGTCATCAAAGGCTTTTGTAAGCCAGGCATGGGATTTCCCTGGAATCACATTCCCTTTAAACATCTAGTAGGATTCTGATCTAGTTGCCTCCAGTCTGTTCTGTGTGCCTTATAGGGATGATGGAGGATCAAGGCTCCCTCTACCTTAGATGCCACTGTGTCTTTGGAGATCACCACAGCAGTAAAAGAAAAAGAGGGAGGAGGCACACCAGGTCTTAATTGCTTCCAACTGGAAGTGACAGTCATTGCTGAGACTGGGAGGTCTTGCTACACGCCCCACTCATGGTGATTACAAGGGGTTCATAGAAAGGTCAGAGGGGCCGGAATAGTGCTAATAAATTAGAACTCCCTTCCAGGGCAGGGTCCACACTGAGAACTGGCTAAGAGTAGGCAGGGTATGGTGGCTCACGCCTGTAATACCAGAACTTTGGGAGGCCAAGGTGGCCAGATTGCTTGAGCTCAGGAGTTCGAGACCAGCATGGCAAAACCTTGTCTCTACAGAAAACACAAAAATTAACTGGGCATGGTGGCACACACCTGTAATCCCAGCTATTTGGGAGGCTGATGCAGGAGGATCACTTGAGCCCAGGAGGTCAAGGCTGCAGTGAGCTGTGATCATGCCACTGCATTCAAGCCTGGGCGACAGAGTGAGACACTGTCAAAAAAAAAAAAAAAAAAAAAAAGAACAGGCTGAGAGTAGAATCTAAAATGGGCAGAACAGAGACAACAAGAACCAAAAACTAGAAATGAAAGAAAGAAAGAGCAAGAGAGGGAGGGAGGGAAGAAGGGAGAAAAGGTTTAGGTAGGAAGGAAAAGGGGTATAAAATAAAGTACAAGATCCTATTTTTTAACACTTCACAAAAGCAACAGAAGAGGAAACTATAGAGCCGTGAAGTTAGAAAAGTGGCTCTGACCCACCCTCTTCTTCAGAGTTTAGAAAACTCATTTCATTAAAAAATGAGCAACACAAAATGATTGTGGTTAAACCCCATACAAAATTATTGTAAGAAAAATGAGAATGATGAATGATGCCCCCACAGATAATGAAGGCATTCCAGAAACACATGCCCCAAAATACATGCCCCAAAGTGTAGAAACTCATTTAAAAATGAGCCAACAGAAGTTAAGAAAGTAACAAAAGTTATAAAAGAATAACAAAATTTGGAAGACTTCAGGAAAGATGTGCTAGAACTGAAGAAATAATTAGAAATAAAAGAAAAACCCTATTTCAGAATGACGACTAAACTAGAAGGAACACAAGACCAAATGAACACAAAGAAGATAAAATGATGAACATTTCTAAAACAAAAAAATGGAAGACAGAGAACTAGGATTGAGAGAAAGTGACTATGTAGATGACAGGCAAATGATCTAACATATGTATAATAGTAGCTGCTGAAAAAGAAAACCAAAGCTAGATAATCAAAGAAAGAGTAAACACTACAATTTAAAAACACTTTCCTGAGATAGATAAAAACTTGAAACAACATTGTGTACCTAAAAAAAAAGTGACCCGGCACATCCAACAGAGAATCATATTCTATGACATATTCTATGGATGCCATTGAGAATCTGGGAAAAGATCAAGTCACTCTTAGACAAGACGGCATGACAAAAGGAAAAAAGAGAAAGAAAAAGATTAAGTCACTTATCAGGAAAATCAGACTGTCATCAGACTTACCTACATCAATACTTCATGCCAGAAGACAAGGGACTAGTATGGCCACATTATTAAAGGGGTAAAGTACAATCCAAGAAAGATATGTCTCCAGCCAAACTGATGTTCAAGTATAAGGGTCATAAACAATTACCAACATGCAAGAACTCCAAGAGTATTATTCCTGGGAGCACCTACTGAGGACCCTATTAGAAAACAAGCGTCAGGCAACCAAAGTGACTAGAGAAACATAAACATAAGGTCTGATGGTGCGTATTCAACATATACAGCATATACTTACTTGTACGATTAGGAGTAAACAATGGTTGTAAGGAATAAAGTACAGCTGTTACAGTACAATTATGAGATATTTGAGGGAAAATGGGAAGAGCATATGAAAAGTAGAATAAGCTTGTTGACTGCCTTATAGTTAATAACTAGGAGTAAAAGGATATTAATTCAAATCAGGTGCTGTGGGAAAGGAAAGGGAAGAGGATACTAGCACATTTCAATATTGTTCATAGTAGGAAACCAACAGACAAAAAAGAGGGAACTGAAAGCATTATGTGCAGATATTAGTATAAAGGTAATCATTTCAGCAAAAATATGACCCTTCCTTAGTACCAAAAAAAAAAACAATAAGAGATAGAGAAAAATAAAAGCCACACTGAAAAACAATTTGTTTAAAAGATTTACGTAAGTATAAATGTAACATAAAACAATATGACAGAACTGAGGTTAAACATACTGATTATATGGTCTTAATTCACCTATTAGCAGAAAAAAGATTTCTATATTGGCTAACAAAACAAAATTCAAACCTGTCCTTTAAAATTTCTCTGGAGGCTGAGATGGAGGCTCACACCTGTAATCCCAACGCTTTGGGGGGCCAAGGCAGGAGGATTGCTTGAGCCCAGGAGTTTGAGAACAGCCTGGGCAACATAGGAAAGCGCTATATAAAAAAAAAAAATTAGCCCAGTGCAATGGTGCACACCTGTGGTCCCAGCTACTCAGGAGGCTCAGGAGGGATTGTTTGAGCCCAGGGGGTTGAGGCTGCAGTAAGCTATGATCACACTACTATACTCCAGCCTGGGTGACAGAGTAAGACCTTGTCTCAGATAAAGAATAAATAAAATAAGATAAAATAAAATCTCTCTGGAGTGATGGCCAGAACATATTGTCTAGTGAAAAGTGTGAGGTAGGGAAGTGACTCTAATATGCTACCATTTATCTAATACAGAGACAGGATACACACATATATGAACCAGCTTATATTAAAAATGGAAAAGGAAGGGTGTTCTAATTACCTGAAGCAGCATAACAAACTACCTTTTTGGTGGGTCTGAACAATCATTTTATTGCATAAATGATTATTTGGGTCAGGAGTTCAGGCAGGGCTGGCTGGGTGGTTTTTCTTTCCCATGCGGCGTTGATGGAGATCACTCACTGACAGCCGGTTGGAAGATGGGCTGATCTGGAGGCTCCATGATGGCTTCACTCACACAGCAGTGTTTGGTGGGACATCTGGAAGGCTGGGCTCAGCGGATGGACCCAGGTGCCTACACGCGGCCTCTCCAAAAAGGGGTCTTGGAGTGACTGGACTTCTTCACGTGATGGCTCAGGGGGCTCCAAGCATGAATGCCCCAGGTGAGCTGGGTGGAGGCTCTAAGGCATTTTACAACCCACCTCAGAAGTCTCTGAGCATCATTTCTGCCACACTGTTAGCTAAAGCAGTCACAAATCCTCCAGATGCAAGCAGAGGGACATAGACCACATCTCTTAATGGGATGACTATCCAAGGATTTGTGGCCATGTTTTACAAATGCCATGAAGGATAAACTGTATATTGCGTATAATGGTTACATATGGGGAAGAGTGGGGACAAGGTGGGGCAGAAAGGAATAGAAGTTAGGCTTCTCTGAATATAATTCATTCTGTAGATCTGATTTTAGAAACATGTAAGTATGTCATATAATTATAAAAGTTTTACAAATCCCCTAAACATTGAAAGCAAAAGGGAACAAATGAACCTCTGTATACATTTTTTTTTTTTTGAGACAGAGTCTTGCTCTGTCACCCAGGCTGGAGTACAGTGGCACCATCTCAGCTCACTGCAACCTCCACCTCCTAGGTTCAAGCAATTCTTCTGCCTCAGTCTCCTGAATAGCTGGGACTACAGGCACGAGCTACCACGCCGGCTAATTTTTGTATTTTTGGTAGAGACGGGGTGTCACCATATTGGCCAAGTTGGTCTCGAACTCCTGACCTCATGATCCGTCTGCCTCAGCCTCCCAAAGTGCTGGGATTACAGGTGTGAGCCACCGTGCCCGGCCTGTGTATACACATTTTACAACCACATTGAGAGGAAGTATTCCAAGGAACTTTAAAATACCATAATTTGACTATACATTTCTAGTGCAATATGCCCTAAAGACAAAAAGAAAAAATCATTTTAAACTGTTTCAATCATTGCATTATGCTGACGATGGTGCTGGTATTATTCTGATATCATTGTGTGTGTACGGTGGCTTCATGCAAATGGTTTTCTTACTGTATTAATGTGTGTCATTGAGAACCAGATTCTTTCCTAGAGAAAATGAATACAAATAAATGACAGAAGTTAAGTGAAAGCCCTGCGGTCCTAAATTTGAATAGGAAGTATCATTATGATTTAATGATGTAGAAATACTGACCACAGGTTGGGCGTGGTGGCTCAATCCTGTAATCCCAACACTTTGAGAGGCCGAGGTGGGCAGATCACTTGAGGTCAGGAATTCAAGACCAGCCAGGCCAACATGGTAAAACTCCATCTCTACTAACAAAACAAAACTTAGCCAGGTGTGGTACTGCACACCTGTAATCCCAGCTACTCGGGAGGTTGAAGCCAGAGAATTGTTGGAACCTGAGAGGCAGAGGTTGCAGTAAGTGGAGATCGTGCCACTGCACTCCAACCTGGACAACAGAGGGAGACTGTCTCAAAAAAGAAGAAGAGGAAGAGGAAGAGGAGGAGGAGGAAGTACTGACCACAGCAGTACTGTGCACCCCTGGTACCCAAGTTGTGTTTTTTTTTTAATTCTATTTTCCTTTTTTTATATTTTGTTTTACATGCTATTTTGACAAAGGTTGTGGAGGCACTTCTCACTAAAAGGAACTAGGGCTCCTGGGAGAAATGGCTGACTCCAGGTCTAGAGCAGTAAATGCACACAATAAACCTGCAGCATCTTGCCAAACCAGAGAGCAAGTACATTCTCAAAGACCAATGGGGTCATGTCCAAAGTACTCAAGAGCCAGCTTGAAAGATGGGACAATTTGAACTTCAATAAGGGCAATTAATGCAGTCAATTAAAACACAGAAAATGTCTTTGAATTCACAAGTTTGTACTTATTTTTTTATCCCTACTTGATCATCGTTGGAAGAACAATTTAATTTAGAAAACTGTTAGAGGAACCAGATCAAGCATATATCACTTTATAAACTGTACCACCAGGTAGCCAAATAGCAGAAGTTTTGTTGAGGGTCAGTTTCTCTCTATAGAAACATTTCAGCGAATACATGAAGGAATGACAGAATATCACCGTTATGCAACCACTAATTTGTTTTAAATTTATTTGCAACCACTAATAAATTAATGAGTCCAGGCACTGAGCATCAGCAGCTGCTAATACCACAAAGAGAAGACAGAACACTGCCTCCCAACAGAAGAGCAGAGAACTCTGCACCAAGTGTTCTTGCCAAAAAAAAAAAAAAAAAAGTCCAACCTGATCTGGTCAAGTCACTAGACCAGCTACCGATTTACCGGAAATACAGACTACGGGAAACTCTACAATCTAACAACCCAGTTTCTTCAACAAATAAATTATGAGGAAGAAAACAGGGAGGGGCAACCACTAAATGAAAGACACCAAGGCAATCCATCAGCCAGTGGAGACGCGGGGTCTTATTCAGATACCAAATCAAACCATTCTTTTGTTAATTCTATTATTCATGAGACATTTGGAAATCTGAACAGAGACTGAATGGTTGCTGATATTAAGGGATGGTTGTTACTTGTGCAAATACTAAAGACTGTTATTGTCATTTTTTAAGATCCTAATCATCCAGAGCTATGCTCTGAAATATTTGTGAATTAAATTATACTGTGTCTGGGATGAATGGAATGAATGTTTAGATAATTTGGGAGGGGAAGTAGCTGAGGGTAGAGATGAGACAGGACTGTGTGTGGGCATCACTGCTGCAGCTGGTGCTGGCTTCCTGAAGGTTCCTTATGTGACTCTCTGTTTCTGTGTATGTCTTAACTTTTCATAATAAAAGGCTCGTGTATGTAAATTTTCACACAATAAAAAATTTATATTTAGAAAAAAGGCTAGAAGGAATAAATCAACATGCTAGCAGACGGGATTATAGGTAAAATTACTTTTTAAATTGCTTAGTATCTTCAATAGTACTTTAAAAATCTGGGAAAGAGATGAAACCAAACTATCCCACCCTTCCCCGAGGAAGGTTTTGCCTGTGCTCTGCAGGTGGTCGGGTACATTGGCACCACTGGACCAGGCAGACATTTGGCTGTATCAACCACGGCCCTTACAGGCAAATGCACTTCCCCTACCCGACTTCTCTTCTGGGAATCATGCCCGAGGAAATCATCTCAAATCTGAAATGCCAGCAAAGCTGCCTGCGCAAGGTGTCCACGTCGGGGCTATTTACTGGAGTGGAAGCTGGAGTCAGAGGCTGCGTCCAGGGCAAGGAGTGTCTCGGGGAAGCCACGGAAAACGGTAACCACGGGGCAGAAGGCCGCAGACTATGCTGGGGCGCCAGGGATGCGCATCTGCACATCTGACACATTCGTTTTGCAAACACGTGTGGGAAATGGACGGAAGCCAGTTATCAGCCTCCCGGGACACCCCGCTAATATTTAAAATGGAAACGCCCCAACCCCTCCTGGGGGAACCTGGCTTTCTCAAACTGCCCTGGAAGTTCCCAGGAGGCCTAGGGTCCCTCACCCCACTGCTGCCATGTTCCGTGTCGTTACACTCGCGACCTAGCTTTGTCGTTTTCTACTTGTCCCTGCCCGCCTGGAGGGCTCCGTTTACACCCGCTCCTTTTCCCCACCTCCGACGCCCCTCCCAGGCTGCTGCCTGTGTCCACTTTCCCTGAAGATGGAAGAAGGTCGGATTTCCCTAGGAGGGTCCTCATAGGACCTGCCTGGCCACTCCTTGCCCCAGGACGCCCTGGGCCGGGCACCTCCAGAAACATCTTCCCGCATCCCCGGCAAGAGCTCCCTTTCCACAGACACAGAATCCTCTGCATATTTTCTTACACGAAGACCATTCTTTCTAAAAGAATCTTGTCCCCGCTTTAAAGTTTGTGCTCCCTCCCTGCAGAGGGAATGACAGTCCCCACCTCTATTCCCCTCCCGCAGCCGTGGACCCCACTGTCCCGGGAGCGACTGGCTCCCTTATGAAGACTACATTTCCCAACGTCCTTTGCGGCCACGGCTGGCCATGTGACCCAATACTGCCAATGGGGTGCGAGCGGCGCGAGGAAGTGGATGAACCCACACCCGGCAGGGCAGAAAAGGGATAGAACTCAGTCCGCCGTCGCCACCGTGAACCACTGACTGCTACAGGAGCGAATAATCGTCTACCTTGTTTAAACCATCATTAACTTGGGTTTTGGTGTTTGTTTGTTTGTTTGTGTGTTTTTCGAGACGGAGTCTTGCTGGGTCGCCCAGGCTGGAGTGCAGTGGCGCGATCTGGGCTCACTGCAACCTCCGCCTCCGGGTTCAAGCAGTTCTCCCTGCCTCAGCCTCCCGAGTAGCTGGGATTACAGGCGCCGGCCACCACGCTTGGCTAATTTTTGCATTTTTTAGTAGAGACGGGGTTTCGTCATGTTGGCCAGGCTGGTCTCGAACTCCTGACCTCAAGTGATCCGCTCACCTCAGCCTCCCAAAGTGCTGGGATTACAGGCATGAAACACTGCGCCCGGCCGGTTTTGTTTTTTAATAAGTAACCGAGCCTGCATTCTAACCAATAAACTCATTCTATTAAAACACGCCTGTGGTGCCCAGGGCCAGCAGGTTGTCTCATGTCAGGTTCTCCCAGAAGCCGAGCCTGAGAGCAGGATTCAGGTGCAAATGTTTCCCTAGGGAGTTTCTTCCAGCTGAAACCAGCGAGGGAGCCAGGGAAAAAGAAGGAGAAGACAAGCAAGGGTTTCTTCAATTTCCATCCCTGCCGTGGCCTGAGCCCAAGGGAGCTCTGCAGCACAAATTATGCCTCTGAGTTTGTCCTGCCTTAAGGCAAGGGGCTAGGCTTTTCTGCTGCATACTTCCCTGAAGCAGGTTTGAGATGCAAGGGTTAGCAGCACAGCACAGAGCAGGCGGGGAGCTGGCTTGTCCCAGTAAGGAGGTCTGTAGGCTCTGGTCAAGGCACCAACATTACTCTATGCCCAGGAGTCCCGGACTCTTCGCAGCAGCTTTCCAGGCCCTCAGTGATTTCCACAACGTCAACCTCCCCCACCCACCTCGGCCCACCTCCTCACACCTTGGCCTAACAAGATGAATGAGTGACAGCCCCACAAACACTTCCCCAGGACCTTCAACCAGGAGTGCAATACCCCCACCCCAGCAGCCTTCGTCCCCAGGACCTCCAACCAGGCACACTAACGCCCAGGCCTTCATCCTCTGCCTCCCGGAGATTTCTGGCAGACACCACAAGACCTGGGATAGGACTGCTTAGCAAAGCATGCTGGCATTTGCCCAGAGAGGGTGTCAGGTCCCCGCCACGGGACTGAGAACGTGGAGAATCAGAGAGGGGCAGTGACTTGCCCAGGGCCACACAGCTAACAGGAGGGAGGAGCTGAGATGGTGAGGAGAGGAGAAAGCAGTGCCACAGAGAAGTCTAAAGGTGCGAGAGAAGCTGGGGGAAGTAGACCTCAGACTGTGGGGAACCACCAGCGCTGGTGTGGAGGGCGTGGTCCAGTGGGTCAGCAAGGATCCCTGTAACATCAGGCGTCATTTGCCGAGCACTTCGTCATCAGGTCCTGTTCTCCCCACCATGATTCTCAGAGGCGCTGTCTCCTTGGGTTCTCCCAGTACACTCTCAGACACTGAGAAGCTTTGGACTCAAGTAAATCCTAGGAAATACCCATAGGGAAGTGGAGAAGTGAGACAGGGAAGAGCCAACCAAGGCCATGTCATCAACAGAGCTACCGCTGGGTGCAACTGGAGCTCCATCCCTTGGAGATGGCGCAGGATATACACTTCCAAGTCTCCTCTCTCGGCTGGATGGATGCTCCTGAGGAACACCAGCCTCAGCTGGCTGGCTTTGCACTCACGCAAGCAACCTTGACCCCTCCGCTCCACTTCACAGCAACCAAACCGTGAGGGACGTGGTGACTCGCTGAAAGTCATCCACAGACAGAAGGGACCAAGTGGGCCCCAGGAGGGGGTCTGGGTACCTGGCCAGGCTCTGCCCTAGCTCCAATCAGGGCTCCAGGACTCCAAGACGGCAGGTCTGTGCCCACTTACAAGCACAGCCTGTGAAATCTCAGAGTCCCAGGACAGATGCCTCCAGCCTCCTAGCCCAAGGTTTAAGGGCAAGCCCAGCTCTGCCATGGATGTGCATCCTGAGGGACCCCACGGGGACAGATTGTAGTTGAAGGCAACTATAGGAAGCAGAATAAACTTGGGTTTGGCCCAAGAGGAGGCAGTGGAGGCAGGGACCAGGGGGACAGCATTATTCATGGAGTACCTACTGTGTGCCAGCCTGTTCCATGCTGCAGGGTTCTGTTGAAACCACCTGCAATCCTGCCAGATCCTGCCCCAATTTGCAGATGAGGAAACTGAGTCTCTGAGAGGTGCAGTGACATCTTCAAGGTCATACAACCTGGGGTGAAAGTGTCAAATTCAAGGTTGTCTGACCCAAGGGCTGGGGACAGTGGGGGCTGAAGAGGCACGGAGTAGGGCTCTGAGGGCAAACAGGTGTGATCTTGCGCTGCTGTTGTTCTTAATGCAATCAGATGACATCTCTCCCCGGCTCACAGCCCTCCAGTGACTTTTGCCCTGAATATGAAGTTCAGCCTCTCTGCCATGGCCTGCAGGGCCCGTGCCATCTGTCCTTCAACCCCTTGGTCTCTTGGGTGGCAGAAAATCCCTGCCTGCCCCAGGGGCTTTTAAATTCAAATGTAAAAAAATTAATTAATTAAATGTAATCATTTAATGGTAATTAAGCTTAACTAGTTTAAATGACTTTGCTAATTAACTTAGAGTTCACTGCTTCTCCTTAGGGAGTGATCATGGGGTGATGCTGGAAGAATGGGGGGAGCACAGCTTTCCGCGAAGGTGGGTGCCTCCTCCCTGCCTGACACCCTGGCTGAGCAGGTCCAGGTCTGTCTGAGCCCTGGTACAGCTCTGGTTCTAGAACACAACGTGGCACATAGAAGGTGCTCAGATAACACGTGCCATGGGCCAAACCCTGTGGAGAACAACCCAGATAAGGCCCTGCTGTCAAGTTCATGCTGTGCCTCCTTTTCCTTGGATGTTGTGGGAATAGGGAGCCATGGAGGGTTTGGGAGGCAGACAAGGAAAGAATTTCCTAGGCTAGTTCACAGAGCAACTCCCCCATCCCCAACCAGAGCTTGCAGCTGCTGCTGCCTCGCCAGGCCTCCCCAACTCAAGTCCCCAATAAGGCTGGCCCAGAACAGGAATAGAGCAGCCCACGGCTTCTGCGAGGACAGAGGGGGTGGCTGCAGCTAAACCTGGCTTGGCAGGTGGCTCACTGGGGCTGGGCAGAGCCTCAGCTGGGGGTAGGGACTAGGGGCAGGACGCCTGGGTTTCTGGGCTTCCCTGGCTCTGCCTCACTCTCTGGTGGCCTCAGGAGGGGTCAGAGCCTCGCTGAGCCTCTGTAACCTCCAGGAGAAGCCGGCTGCCCTGGGCGTGAAGATACACAAGCTCTGATAAACATAGTACAGCCAGTGTATATATAGACCCTCCCACCTGGTTTCCAAAAGGATTTGCAACAGCTTTCACAAGAGGCAAAGAAATGAGCATTGAGAGTGAGCCAGGGTTTACACATGGGCCCCTCACGTCACAGGCCTGGGGAACTAGAACAGGGAAAAGAAGATGGAACCCAGATCCCTCCAGGAATCGCGTCTGTATGGGAGTGAGCTCCCCATCAGGGCAGGTATGCAAGCAGAGGCCAGCAGGCCTTGGTGGGGGTGTGGTTGAGAGGATTGGTGCATCAGGGAGAGGTGTGGTCAGATGCGAAGCCCCTGTTGGAAGATGAGGTGACTGGTCCTGCCTGCCCACCACAGCCCCTGCCCACAGGGAAACCAGGATGAGATAATGCTGGTGTTGGGGGCCTGTATTCATCTGTTTCATTGTTGCTATAACAAAATACCACAAACTGGATGATTTCTTCTTCATTCTTTTCTTAAATTGAGACAGGGTCTCAATCTGTCACCCAGGCTGGAGTGCAGTGGCAATCACCGCTCATTGCAGCCTCGAACTCCTGGGCTCAGGCAATCCTCCCACTTCAGCTCCTGGAGTAGCTGGGACTACAGACATGCACCACCACACCTGGCTTTTTTGTACAGATGAGGTGTTGCTATGTTGCCCCAGCTGGTCGTGAGCTCCTGGCCTCAAGCGATCCGCCCGCCTTGGCCTCCCAAAGTGCTAGGATTACAAGTGTGAGCCATGTGCCCAGCCCAGACTGGGTACTTTCTAAACAACAGAAATTTCTCAGGGTTCTGGAGGCTGGGAAATCAAGATCCAGGCCGGCATCTGACAAGGCCTCCCTGCTGTGTCCTCCCATGGCTGAAGGAAGGCCGAAAGGCAAGAGAGTGCTGGAGGCAGCAGGGGAGGGCAAAACGCCCTTTTATTACAACCAACCCCCTCGGTAACTAACCCACTGGGAGATGGCTGGCAGCATTCATCCATTCAGGAGGGCAGGCCCCCAGGATCTAATCCTGCTGTGAGGCCCCACCTCCCAACACAGCAGCTTGGGGGACATATTCAATCCTTCCGGCCCCTGCCGATTCCCTGGGGGAAGAGGGACTTGACCACAGTTTCGGGGCTGCTGGAGCCTGAGCCGCCAGGTGGGCAGCACGGGCCTCCTTGGGCTCCGCCCTCAGAAGCAGAGCTCGGCCCCGAGGGAGGGCATGGGAGCGGGAGCGCAGCCGGGACGCTAACCCCCGGCACGGGTGCTGCCTGCTGTTTGACTTGGAGCTCCTGGCTTCCCTTCTCTGAGGTGCAGAGTCCTCAGCCAGCACAACGCGCCTATCGGCTCAGTATCGGCTCGCTCCTGGAAAGCCTTCCCAGAGCAGACCCCCGGAATAAACGGAATGGCAGCACTGTCCCCAGACCACCTCCCGCACAGCCCTGCTGCCTGCTGCCTGCGCTGGGCCTTGCGGCAGCCTTCCTGCACCTGCCCTGTCTCCTGTGAGCAAGGCCGGCTCCTCCTGGTCTTGCGGGGGAGGCGGCCAGTGGGCAAGAATGAAAATGAATAAATGTGAAGAAAGTGCGGCAGGACAAGTGTGGTCAGGGAGGCATCTGAGCAGACCCCAAAGCGGGAGCACATCCGGGGAAGAGCGTTCCGGGAGGAGAACAAGACAGCTCCTGCAGAGGCCCTGCACCGCCAGGCTCGGGGTGAAGCGCAGGGAGCCAGGCACAGGGTACAGGGGAGGCAGGGGTGGGCGCCCGGGGTGGGGCACTGTGGACCATGAGGAGGCCCCCACCGAAGACGGTAGCTGCAGCAGGGATCTGGAGGAGAGGCTTCACGCCCTGGCCTCTAGAAGGGAATTCGCCAAATCCTCCCTCCGCAGCCTCCCTGCTCCTGAGCAGGCCTGTCTGCTGCATTTTTTTCTTTTTTCTTTTTTTTTTTTTTTTTGAGACGGAGTGTTACTCTGCCCCCCAGGCTGGAGTGTAGCACCTCGATCTCAGCTCACTGCAACCTCTGCCTCCCAGGTTCAAGCGATTCTCTTGCCTCAGCCTCCCAGATAGCTTGGATTACAGATGTGCGCCACCATGCCCGTCTAATTTTTGTATTTTTTTAAGTAGAGACGCAGTTTCACCATCTTGGCCAGGCTGGTCTCGAACTCCCGACCTCAGGTGATCCACCTACCTCAGCCTCCCAAAGTGCTGGGATTACAGGCGTGAGCCAACACGCCCGGCCTGTCTGCTGCAGTTTTAATGCTGCCTGATGAGGAGGCTCTCACGGCTGTAATTGAACAAAGTCTACATGCCTCTGCCATCTCCCAGTCCAGAGACTCATTAATCCCGGGCCTGGAAGAGGCGCCTGCCCGGACCCTGCTGCCTGACAGGAAATGCGGGCGTCCGGCCTCGGGGGAGGGGGGGGCGGCCGCTCCCCATCCCCATTCCCCCACCTCAGGGACAGGGAACAGGGGAGAGGGGCCCTGCCGCTTGAGACCTCCACGGGTAGTATAAACTGTCAAGGGCCTGTGCTTTGTAAATGTTAGTGACCTGCGCACTGGCTTCCGCACTCTGATGGCTGGACACGCTCTGTAAAAGCCAAAGGGTCCCATAAATGGCAAGGGAACTGCAAACGACTGGGGCTGCAGTCGTGCGCGGAGGAGCCTGCTCTCTGTGAAGGGCTGCGGCATCCAGCCAGGCCTGCGGCGTCCAGCCAGGCCTGCGAGCCGCGAGGGGCGCGGTGGCCTGCGGGGCGCTGGGTAACTTCAGGGGCGCGCACGGTAAATCTCTAGGCGTTGGGTCTGCTGCTGTCTGCAGGCTGCAGAGTCCCCGGAAGCCCCGAGGGCCGGGCCAGGGGGTGCACACGGGCAGGACAGCCGCAGAGGCCGAGAACTGGGCTGACGCGTGGCAAGCCCGCGGCCTCCAGCTGCGCCGAGGACGCACGAGGACGCGGACGGGCGCTCGGGGCCGGGCGGGGCTCCAGGACACGCGGTTGAAGCCGAGCTCTACCGCCCCCTGGCGGCTACAGGAGACAGAGCCTGGGGCCGCGCCCCGGCAAGGGATTCATTCCCTCCCTCCCCCCTTCCCTCCCTCCCTCATTCATTCTTTCATGTGTTCATTCAGCAGAAGCCGAGCGCTCCCTCGGTGTCGGCAGCATTCTCAGCGCTGACGACACAACAGTGACAAGTCAGGTCTCGGCCAGGATAACCCAGGATAATAAGCTAGATTGGCTGGGCCTAGTGGGCGGAGGCTGTTTGAGCCAGAGTGGTCCTGGAAGACCTCGCTGAGGAGGTGACATGGGAGACCGGGATGGGGTTGGGGGGAGCCAGCCACAGGAAGACGGGGGAGGGGGTGTTCTACGCAGAGGGGACAGCCAGTGCAAAGGCCCTGGGGTGAAAACAAGTCTTCATGATTGAAGGATGGAGAGAGGGAGACAACAGCTCCCAGGAACTGTTCGCCCCTGTGCCAGGGAAGGGTTAGTGGGCAGAGACCTGTCCCAGACTGGGGCTGGAGGACAGGAGGAGTGCAGAGACAGACCCCATGGGGACCCTCCTCCTGGGAACACACCCTAAGCTTCCTCAGAGGACCACAGAGACCCTGCTCTCAGACCTTGAGCTGTAGTGGGCGGAGTCCCCTCATGCCTGACCTGACCTGAGCTGTCACACCCACCCTCCTGGCCTGGGGATGAATTCGACTCCTTCCCAGCTGGTAAGAGCCAGTCCTGGGACTTCAGGAGTACCCTGGGCACGGTGTGCCGAGCTCTTGGAGTCCCTGGGTCCTGACTGGTCCCCATGAGGGGGTGAACCTGAGACGGATGAACAGCCAAGGTGGATGCAAGTCCTTCAGGCCATCAGCTGAACTTCGAACCTAACGGTACCTGAAGCTGAGCACACCCGGCTTACGTGAGCAAATTCCCTGCTGCCCCAGCCATGCTGCCAGCGTCACAGGGCCAGACTGCAGGGCGCCTTCATCAGGCTGCCCCTACTCCCCTCGGAGCCTTCTCCGGAGCCCACCACCTGTCCCCAAGTCTGTTTTTCTGTCTTATAAGCTGTGTGGCTTTGGGTAAGTGATGTCAGCTCTCTGGGTCTGTTGTTCCCATCTGTAAACTGGAGGTCAGGTAACCTCCATGAGGTCACCGTGTCCAGCCCAGGCAAAGTGTGCAGGGTGCTCGCTGCTCTGTGACCTGGCTGTCATCACTACTTCAGGACAGTGGGATGGGTGGCCGCCACCAGCAGACTGGACCTGTGTGTTCGCTGCTCTGTCCAGTGTCAGTACAGGGCCTGGTGCCTGGATGATCACAGGATGTTACCTCATCACAGCCCTCTGGGGGCCTCTGTGTCCTCAGATGTAGAAGGGCCTGGTAGGTTGGCAGTCCTCCCTCCCCTGAGCACGACACCCTGCCCCTGGCCCAGAGACAAGGGTCCCTTGAAGGGCCACAACCTTCCCCAAGTAAGAGGGGGGCTCACAGGTGTCATACACAATCTCACACAACCTTTAGTCCTTTTTTTTTTTTTTTTTTTAATTAAAACAGCAACCAGGTAACTGCCCCAACCCATCAGGGAAAGGACCCGGGATGGGCAGTCGTTTTTTCAAAAAAATATATTTTCTTTTTTTAAAAACAACACCAAAGCAAACCCATAGCCCCTGTCAAGCCAGTCCTCAGGGAGAGTGAGCTGGAAGGCTCCCCCTGCACTTCTCTGAGCAGAGATCTTGGGCCCCTCCCACTGGACCCCAGCCTGAGCAGAGGGCAAGGCTCTGCCTGCTGGTACCCTAGGGGGTGGGGGAGAAGCGATCAGCTCCAAACCATGCAAGAAAAACAAGCCAAACCCATAAAGCAAAAGAAAAAATCAACAGAGGATAAATTAAAAAAAACACGAAAGGTGAATGACACCGATAACGGTGGCGGGCAGGACTGGGTGAGCCAGTGTGCTCCGCAGAGGCCCTGTTTGCCAGTGCCAGGGGAAGGCCTTGGGCGGCTCATGGCATCTCCCTCATGGGAGTCTTGGGGTATTCACACAACTCATCCCCTCTTGTGTACCCCGCACCAAAGCCGGGATAGAGGTGTGGCCACCCTGGGCCAAAGTGTGCAAAGTCCATTCAGTCGAGAGATTAAAAAAATATACAACTTGGATGGCATCCAGGCTGGGCAAGGCGGTGGCCCATCCACCCAGGCACTGGCAGCCTGCTGTGCAGGGGCAGCAGCATCCACAGGGGGCATCCAGGCCCCCTCAGTCCAGGATCTCAGCAGCTGGAGACGGGTCCTAGGAGCAGCAGGGAGAGGCACTGGTGGGGCCGACAAGGGCCTGGCTGGGAGCCCCAATGGTCTGCTTCTTTGGCACTTGGGACAAATGGCTCGCCACAGAGCCAGGTGGGAGCAGCCCCCTCGGTTCCTCCCAGATGCCCTGGGCCAGGATGGCAGTAGCTTATGGTGTGGGTGAGCACTGCCCCCGCAGATGGGGCTGTGGGGCTCTGGAGGGCCGGAGTGGGGTCCGAGGCCCAGCCCCTATGAGTCTTCTCCCAGGATCTCCTTCACGAAGGCAGCAATGTCCGTCTTCTTGGTTTTGTGCAAGGTGAAGAAGGGGTGCTCCTGGGGGTGACAGAAGGCACAGTCACCATGGAGGGGTAGCGGGAGGGAGAGGTGGCCACTCTTCCCCAACCAGCTCCAGCCCAAGTGTTCTCCTGACTGGCAAAATCCTACTCATCCTTCTAGGACCTCCACCCCCAGGAGGCCCTCCATGACTGTCACAGATGGCATCTGTGGCTCCTCCTCAGCTCTCTTGTGGTCACTCTCCAGCCACACTAACCTCCCTTTCCCCCCACACGTCAGGCCTCTGCCCATGCTGGACCTTCTGCTTGGGACAGCCTCTCCATCAGGAGATAACCCTTATTCATCCTTCCAGGCTCAGTTCAAATGGTACCTCCTCCATGAAGCCTTCCCTGATGCCACCCTTGGCCCCTCTGCCCCATTCTGTCACACACTGCCTGTGTACCCTTCCCAGGGCCTGGCATGCAGGAAGGAGGGAGGAGGGAGCCAGGTATGCAGGAGCAAACAAATGACCGAGCACCTAAAGGAGAGAACACAGGGCCAGCCAGAGGAGCTACCCATCTGTGTGCAGGATGCAGCCCTCTCCCCAGAGCCCCACCCAGCCCCAGCCAGCCCTGAAGAGCAGGGCAGGCACCTCCCGCCCATACTCACCATCAGCTCCAGGTAGCTCATACGCTCTGCGGGGTTCTTCCTCAGGCTAGGAGAGAATAGTGCAGCTGTGGCCAGGCTGGCAGGGAGGAAGCCCAGCCCCCAAGGGCCAGCCAAACCACCCCAGGATTGCCCCAGGCCTAGCAGCAGGGGACACGTGCACCCAGGGAAGAAGGGACAGGACTGTCTAGGGCTTCTTCCAGGGTGGAGGGGCATTCATAGGAGCAAACTAGAGACTTGCAGCAAGTTTCTCTGGCTCCTGGGGTCCTGGTTTTCTTGTCTGCATAGTGACCTAGGAATTTCCATATCAACACCAAAATGGGGCTGCAATGCTCTGCCTAACAGTCACACACTTGGTATCCTCAATCAGGAGAGAAACTCCTTATCATGGGTTCTGGGAGAAGTTAGTCCACAATTAAAGGGGTCAGACTGCCCAGGGACTCTGCTGGGCTCCTCTGTTGCTGATTATGGTCAACAATAAAAGTGCGGGGACCATGGGTGTGAGCCACCGCACCCGGCCGCTTCTTCCTTACCCAATTCTTGCTCTATTTAATTAAGTTCAGAGAAGTTGCCCTCTTCCTTATTCCTTCTGTAACCTCAAACATGATTTTTTTTTTTTTTTGAGACAGTCTCACTCTGTCACCCATGCTGGAGTGCAGTGGCATGATCTCGGCTCAGGCTCACTGCAACCTCCGGCTCCCGGGTTCAAGCGACTCTCCTGCTTCAGCCTCCTGAGTAGCTGGGATTATAGGCATGCGCCACCACGCCCGGCTAATTTTCCTATTTTTAGTAGAGTCGGGGTTTCACCATGTTGGTCAGGCTGGTCTCAAACTCCTGACCTCGGGATCCGCCTGCCTCGGCCTCCCAAAGTGCTGGGATTACAGGCGTGAGCCACCGTGCCCAGCCTCTCAAACATGATTTTTATAAGGCTCCTATGGGGCATTCTTTAATTTGGTACAAAGTTCTAGATATCAATAAAAGCAAACTTGTTTTTTGTGTTCAAATTTTCCATATACTTTGTTCTCTTTTTCAGTCTATCTGATTTGTCCACTTCTGGAAGAACTGTATTAAAATCTCCCACCAAGACCATCGTTTTGTCAAATGCTCCTCATGCTCCAGCTGTTTCTGCCTTACATATTTGGATGCCAAGTCATCTGGGGGTTTATTTGCCAAAGGAATAAAGGAACAGGGCCCAGGAAGGTGCAGGGATCTGGCCAGGGAGGGGCAGTGGCAGGCGCTCAGCAGCACCCAAGACTCACCACTGAGCAGTGAAGTCCACAAACTCGGGGGAGAAACGGTCGGCTGGGAGCTGGGGGGACGGCTCCTCCACCACCTGCTTCAGCTGCTGGAACGGGGTCCCCCAGGACTCGTAAGGGAACCGCAGGATGGCCATCTCAATCTGCAGCGGGGACAGGGGGTCAGAGGCCCCGGCCCCAGATACAACCACGCTCTGCACCCAGGAGCGAGGGTTGGGGGCTCCCACCCATCCTGGTACCAGAGCCAGGCGTCAAAGCTGCACAGCTGATCTCCCTACCACATCCCAGCAGAACAAAGGCGAGAAAGCCGGGGATGCCAGCTCTTAGCTCCTCCGACCCAGCCAGCAGGACCCAGCTCAGGAAGCAGATTCAGCCCACACCGGGACTGGTGGGACCATCATAGGGTTTTCAGAAAACCTGAATTCTGAAGATTTTACAAAACAATGCAGGTTCCAGCTGCTCTGGAAAAATCTGAGGAGCTGGCAACTTTGGGCCGTAGCCTCATGAGCCAGGTGGGCAGGTCCCAGGTGGTCACAGCCAATCCCCTTCCTAACATCTGACCATCTCAGACTTCAGCATCTGCTGTCATTAATTTGGGCTGTTTTCACAGAGGAGGCACATGGGAAATGCTACACACACACACACACACACACACACACACACACACACACACACAGCTGTCTCCAAGGCCGCGGACAGAGTGTGAGACCATGAGGCTGCTTCGCCTCTGCACCCGTGAGCCTGCAGCCTCATCTTCTGCAGGGCCCCAGCAGTTTCCCTCCTAGACAAGTGGCCTGTGTGGCCACATGTGCCCTGCTGGATCCAGATTTCCTGTGGGTGACATCGGGCCGGTGGGTCTCTGTCCTCGCTCCAAGCTCCCAGCCCTGTGGTTGGCAGGAAGTCATCATGGAAGGGACGGACTAGCTAGCTTACAACCAACTCTGGGCTCCAATCATGATGACTGGATGGAAAAAACAAGTTATGTCAGCCCTGGCCCCGGCCTGGAAGAACAGAGAATTCCGAGGCTCCAGCACAAGGGCCCTCACTGCCGGCCGTCATCACCATGATGAACGGAAGAGACCTCAGCACAAACACTTGGCACTGGCAACTGGAGCCCGGACAAGACCCTAAGGACTGTGCTGAGACTGTGCCTCCCATCAGGCTAGAGGCCCTTTCCAGCTCAGACAAACACACCCACACAGGCAGGGCCCACTGCGTGTGTGTGCATGTGTGCATGCGTGTTCACAGGACAAAACCGTACCGATTTGGGGGGCTTTTCTCTTAGAATTTTCACTGACTGCAATATGTAGAGCAAGTACCCCATACGAGCTACAGGAGAAGGACCAGCGGCCATGAGAGTTATAATTAGAAAAGCAGAAGTGTCCAAACCTTCAACCTCGTACTCCTTTATTTTTTCTAAAGAGCTCAAAAAATGAAAAACAACAAAAATAGCCTCCAGACACGAAGATGTGCCATATGGTGTTTTCTGCCAGGAAATACTAAGAAACAGCCTGAATGTCCAGCGCCAGGGGCCGGCCCCACCATGGGGGCGGAGACCCAGCCAGGACCGTAGTCGCACCCCTGTGACTCCCCAGCGACAACACTAACAGGCCAGCACCCAGTCAGCACTTGCTCCTGGCCAAGGGCCATCCCCGGCATGACCCCTGTCTGTTCTGGGTGATTCCCACTGGCATCCTGAGGCTTGTGCAGTGAGTGGGAAAAAGCCAACGCCAAGAGAGCTCTGGGGCCCTTGCAGGATGGGGGGAGGCCGAGGCCAGAGCCCCACCCAGGGGGACTCTCCCGACTCTGTTTCATCAGTCGCTCCCCCAGGATGGCTGAGAATTTGAAATGGAAGGAAAACAGCAGGAACAAGGGAAACAACCCACATCAGCAGACAGGGTGACTGAATGGTGGCAGATGGTTATGGAGTCTTTGGAAGGGATACATACAGGAGTCTATTATAATTTAGAGAAATTGGCCAGGTGCGGTGGCTCACACCTATAATCCAAGCACTTTGGGAGGCCGAGGCAGGCAGATCACTTGAGGTCGGGGGTTCGAGACCAGTCTGACCAACATGGAGAAACCCCATCTCTACTAAAAACACAAAATTAGCTGGATGTGGTGGTGCACACCTGTAATCCCAGCTACTTGGGAGATTGAGTGAGGCAGGAGAATCACTTGAACCTAGGAGGCAGAGGTTGTGGTGAGCCGAGATTGCACCACTGCACTGCAGCCTGGGCACCAAGAGCAAAACTACATCTAAAAAAAAAAACAACAAAAAAAACAAAAAACAAAAAAAACAGAGAGAGAGAGACAAATATGAACAACATGTAATGCTACAAAATTTTTTTTAAAAAGTTTTTTAAAAAGAAGCATTACGAGGCCAGGCGCAGTGGCTCACACCTGTAATCCCAGCACTTTGGAAGGCCAAGGTGGGTGGATCACGAGTTTGAGACCTGCCTAGCCAATATGGTGAAACCCCATCTCTACTAAAAATACAAAAATTAGCCAGGCATGGTGGCGCACGCCTGTAGTCCCAGCTACTCGGGAGCCTGAGGCAGGAGAATCACTTGAACCTGGGAGGCGGAGGTTGCAGTAAGCCGAGATCGCACCACCGCGCTCCAGCATGGGTGACAGAGCGAGGCTCTGTTTCAACAACAAAAAAAGAGAAGCATTACATATTGTTTGTATTTCTCTAAATTTTAATAAAACGTATTTTATTATATGTAATAAAAATATTATATATATAATATAATGCACAATGTTGGCACTGAAACGGGGTAAGAGGTGTCTCTAGGTAGAATAACTACAGTCATTTTCCCCTTACTGTGCCTCTATTTTTATGTTAGGTTTCCACTACGTTTGTAACTTGTGAAAGAAAAACCTAACCTGTGCCTAAAGTGACCACCTCCGCCTCCCGCTGTGTGCACCTGCTGATCCTCCATTAAGCCGGGAGCATTCCCTGCCCTTGAACCTGGGCTGGCCTGTGACTCGCTGACCAACACAATGAGGCAGAAGTGATGCTGTGCCAGTTCCAGGCCTAGCACTTCAGAGAACTTCCTTTTAGATGCCAGCCATCATGAAAGAACTCCAACTCTGCTGACACTGCCATGCTCTGAAGCCCAGGGAGCAGGCCAATGTGAGTAAGTTGCATGGAGAGGCCAGGCAGAGGAGGCCCATGTTTGTGAGGCCGTCTTGGGCCTTCCAGACCAGCCCAGCCCAGCCATGACCCCAGCCAATCCCAGGTACAGCAGAAGAGCCATCCAGCTGAGCCCAGCCACAGTGGTGGAAACATGAGAAATAAGAAACCGCTGTTGGTTTGGGTCACTAGGTTCTAGGGTGGTTTGCTATGCAATATTTGATAACTGAAATATACACTTAGCACACACTTGTCCAAGTTCCACCAGCCATATCAGAAGGCCACTAGCCATGGTGGCCCCAACAATCATGATGGATGGACAACTGGAAGGGAGACAGGGAGATGGGGAAGGGACATAGGGTGTGTGTATGTGTGAGGTAGTCATGAGCAGGGTCTCTAATATCCAACCAGTTCTGTGCAGTCTAAATACAGCAAGAACTTGTCCTTTGCATCAAACTTAGGACTTGGAAAACTGTTATTGCAGATACAGCACCTGCCTTCAGCCTGAATATTCCTCTCCACCTCAAAAAAAAAAAATTTTAATTGAAAAATTACATGTCACCAATTAAAGAAAATTGAAGGTATGGCCCAGTCCCACCTCTCTGACAAAATTATTTCGACTTTGAGTCTTTCCCAGTCACTGTCTACAGATACACTATTTATAAAGTTACAGCCACAGGCCAGGCGCAGTGGCTCAAGGCTGGGCGTGGTGGTTCACGCCTGTAATCCCAACACTTTGGGAGGCTGAGGCAGGTGGATCACCTGAGGTCAGGAGTTTGAGACCAGCCTGGCCAACATGGCAAAACCCCGTCTCTACTAAAAATACAAAAATTAGCCGGGCATGGTGGCAAATGCCTGTAATCCTAGCTACTTGAGAGGCTGAGGCAAGAGAATTGCTTGAACCTGGGAGGCGGAGGTTGCAGTGAACTGAGATTGTGCCATTGCATTCTAGCCTGGTCGACAGAGTGAGACTCCCTCAAAAAAAAAAAAGGCCAGGCACAGTGGCTCACCCCTGTAATCCTAGCACTTTGGGAGGCAGAGGCAGGCAGATCACCTGAGGTCAGGAGTTTGAGACCAGCCTGGCCAACATGGTGAAACCCCGTCTTTTTTAAAAATACAAAAATTTGCCAGGTGTGGTGGCTCACGCCTATAATCCCAGCTACTGGGGAGGCTGAGACAGGAGAATTGCCTGAACGCGAGAGGCAGAGGTTGCAGTGAGCTGAGATCATGCCATTGCACTCCAGGCTAGGCAACAGAGTGCAACTCCGTCTCAAAAAAAAAAAAAAAAAAAAAAAAAAAAGATAGCCGGGCATGGTGGCACGAGCCTGTAATCCCAGTTACTCAGGAGGCTGAGACAGGAGAATCACTTGAACCTAGGAGGCGGAGGTTGCAGTAAGCCGAGATCGTCCCATTGCACTCCAGCCTGGGCAACAGAGTGAGACTCCATCTCAAAAAAATAAAAATTAAAAATAAATAAAGTTATAACCACATGATGATGATAACAATGGTAGCAGCAACACCAGTAAAACCCACAACACCTGCGTCAACTCTCTACCCACCAGACACTTCTCTTCGCTCGCTCCCAACCCTCCCTCCCTCTCCTCTGACCCAGCCACCCAGGCACACAGCAGGCACAGCCCCACCTCAGGGCCTTTGCACTTGCACCCCCTGGTCTACCCTGCCCTCAGGTCAGCAGGGTGCCCTCCTTGCAGAGGCCTCCGCATCTGCAACAGTGGCCTTCCACCTGTCCCCAGAGCCACCCCTACCTGCTCCAGTCTTCTCCACCCCCGTGGCATAAAAAGGAATTTATTTGGTCTTTGTTCCTGGCATGGAGCTCCTAAAACCCTTGGAATTTCCTGAGTGACAGGAGTGGCTTTGTTATCCACAAGGAGCCTGAGTTTATGCTAATGAGGTGACTCAGGGTAAGGCCCCTAGACAGCCTCAGATGGGGCTGCTCCCCAGAAAACCCAGCTGATTATAGAGGGTGGGAACTCTCAGCATCACCCGCCAACTGATGCTGAGAGGAGGGGGGCCTGGAGACTGTGCTCTATAAAAACTTTCAGTGGGTGCAGTAGCTTGTGCCTATAATCCCAGCACTTTGGGAGGCCGAGGTAGGCAGATTGCTTGAGCCCAGGATTTCAAGACCAGCCTGGGCAACATAGTGAGACCCCTTTTCTACAAAACATTAAAAAAGTAGCTGGGCATAGGGGCACACACCTGTAGTTCCAGCTACTCAGGAGACTGAGGTAGGGGGATGGCTTGAGCCTGGGAGTTCAAGGCTGCAGTGAGCTGCGATGATACCACTGCACTCCAGCCTGAGCAACAGAGTGAGACCCTCTCTCACAAAAAACCTCTCCATGTGAGGCTGGGCGTGGTGGCTCATGCCTGTAATCACAGCACTTTGCGAGTCTGAGGCGGGCAGATCACTTGAGGTCAGGAGTTCAAGACCAGCCTCGCCAACATGGCAAAACCCCATCTCCACTAAAAATACAAAAATCAGCTGGGCATGGTGGTGCCTGTAATCCCAGCTACTCGGGAGGCTGAGGCACAAGAATCGCTTGAACCCAGGAGGCAGAGGTTACGGTGAGCTAAGATTGTGCCACTGCATTCCAGCCTGGGTGACAAAGTGAGACTCTGTGTCAAAAACAACAAAATTCCATGAGCTTGAGAAGCCTGTAGGTTCGCAAGCACAGGGAGGTACCAGGAGGGTGCCAGGCCCTGAGAGGGCACGGCAGCTCTGCACCCCACACTCACACCCCTCCCCCGTGAGTCTCTTCCATCTGGTTGGCCCTGAGTTATATCCTTTCTGATAAACCAGTAAACACAAATAAAGTGTTTCCCTGAGTTTTGTGAGCCATTCTAGGAAATTATCAAACCTTACGAGAGGGTCATGGGGACCCCCAATTTGTAGCTGGTCAGTCCAGTAGTATGGGAGACCCGCTACTTCCAACTGGTGTGTGATGTTGGGGGCAGTCTGGTGGGACAGAGCCCTTAACCTGTGGGGTCTGTGCGAACTCCAGGTAGCATCAGAACCGAACGGAACTGCAGGGCACTGGGTGGGTGTCTGGAGAATCCGAGAATGGGTTGCGGTGTTGGAAAACACCCCGCCAGCGCTTCTCACCACATCTTACTGATTCTATCTGACGGCCTCATCCCCAACACCAAACAGTCAAAGGGACTAGGGACAAGCAGGAATGTCCTGGGCCAGGCTTCCCTGGGCAGGGAAGGAGCTGACGCCCAGGACACTCCATTGGTCCCAAGCCACTCAACTGGCCAAGGCCACCAGCCTGAGCCCGACCTGCTGATGGCATCGTCCTTCCACGCGTCTCCTGCACAGCTTCCTAGCCCTGGCTGGGGGACACATCCTGGTGGTCTTCCCATCCCTCCAATCCACTGTCCACAGGGGAGCCAGAGCGGGCTCACCCACACCTTGACCTGAGCCCCAACACGGAAGGCATGGGGTTCTGCCAGGCAACTCCAGAAGCAACTGCTCTGGGCCCATCCCTACACCTGGACTTCGGACTTCTGCCACATCTGCCCTCACCCTACCCAAGCCAGGGATGCCTTTGGCTTCCACAGGCCCAGGATTGAGAGCCCGCCCACCCTTTCTACCACCCCACCGCAATGTACCAGGACGCCACCGACAACAAACCTTCTGCTATGAAATATTTTTGAAAAGATCTTTACCATCTTGCTTTTGCATGATTTACATACCAGGAACTTACGTAATTTGGGATTGGCTGTGATTTCTCAACAAGCACCAAGAACTCCAGAGAAAGCCCTGTGGCCACCATATCACAAAGCACCCAGGACTTCACGATGAGTGACCCTGACCCTAGGAGGTTCCCTTAAATAGATGGTAATTTCTGATGGCACATTTTCTTCTCAGATTTTGAAGCCAATACTTCTTTCCAGAACCTAAACTATTTGATGAGTCCCCCAAAAGCTCAGGGCCCCAGGCACGGCTCCACCCACCCCACCTGACCACCAAGGGCAGGCCCTGGCCCCCCACAGTACCATGGTGATGCCCAGGCTCCAGACGTCGGACTTGACATTGTAGCCCTTCTGGTTCAGCTCTGGGTTGATCCTCTCAGGCTGCAGGAGGGAAGAGTGAGGCGTGAACACCCGCCCCAGGTAAGCCCCCATGGCTAGGCCTTGCCTCCCAATCCCCAAACTGAGCGCTCAGCTTAGCCCACCTGCCCATGTGACGGGGGAGGAAACTGAGGCTAGGAGGGCCTGGGTCATGCTTAGAAGGCCCAACCCTTGCATCGGTCTGACCCTACCCGGGAGCAGGCCCCTAAGGCCCTCCTGACAATGAGGGCGGGGCGGGACCTGCACAGCCCACCAGTGTCCTCCGCAGAGGTGGTCCATGAGCTTATCACCCAACTGGGGCACTGTGGGGGTCAGTTAACAACGGGGTACAGAAGGGCTGCCCCTGGGCAGCAAGACACAGGTGGCCCCACTACAGCAGGAAACGCAGTGTGGGGAGGCTCTGCCCCTACGGACAGAGGGTATGGCCGGGGTGGCCAGCCTGGGCAGATTTCTCCCCGCCCCATCCTCTCCTGAGCCTGGGGGGCTTGGGGACCACTCACGGCCATGTAGGGCTTGCAGCCGGCATCCATCGTCTTGGCCACAGAGTCCACCAAGTAGCCACTGATGCCAAAGTCACACATCTTCACATGGCCCTCCTTGTTGATAAGGACATTGGAGGGCTTCACATCTGCCAGGGAGGGACATGCCTCAGCCACGTCTGTGGAGCACGACTGGAGGCAGGTGCCATGCTCTGCATAGCTGTGCCCCCCTCCCTCGCCCAAGACCCCTCCTGTGCCCCCTCCCATGCCCCAGTGGGCAGGTTGCACCAGGGTCCCAAGGGTCAGACCAGGGAACTGAGGCTGCAAGAGGTGCCGGGCCAGCTGAGAGTCATACTTGGTCCTCAGGGAACAGCCAGGACGTGCCCAGCCCGGCCCGGCCACTGCAAGGAAGGCAGGACTCCAGGTGCTTTGCTGGGAGCACCGTGCCTGCATCCGCCCTCCAGACATGAGGTCCAGTGAGAGCCTGGCTTGTGTGGGTGCTCCCAGAGGGCAGCAGGATCAATTAAAGCCTGGGAGGCAGGATCTGCGTGTTTGGACATGGAGTCCCCACAGACCAGCATGGGAGAGCAGCCCAGCAGGGATTCTCCATACAAATGCGCATAGGACACTCACATCCCCGTGCCCTCCATGGGGATGTGTGTAAAGATGGAAATGCACATAAAAAGGACCAGAAGGTTCCGTGCCAACCGCCAACCACAGTGACCTGGGGGGCTGGGATGGGCACCCAGTGGACAATGGGAACTAAGCCTAATTCATTTTTTGAAAAGCAGTAAATCTGGAAAAATAGACTTGTGCTCAGCAGCAAAAAGGAACAAACTGAGACCACACCAGACCCAGGTGGGTCCAGAAACATCAAGCGAGGCTGATGTTCCAGAAAGGGCGAAACCAACCCACTGTGGGAAAACCAGACTTGTGGGTGCCTTAGGCACATGGGGGATGGCAGGGAAGGAGCCCAAGAGAACATTCTGGGAGGGGGTGAGAGAATTGTCCTGCATCTTGGAGGGAGGTGGTTGCATGGGTGTGAACATGATTATATGCACTCTATGCTGGAGTTTCACGATTTGTAAACTATACATCAGAACAGAACCCAGTCCACCTTTCTCAGGACAGAAGTCAAGCCAGTCCTTGCTTCGAGCACCAGCAAACCTGAGGGGAGGCAGCTGCAGGGCTGCAGGTGGAAAGCGGCTGGAACCCCATCGGGCACGTCACAACCTATCACCTCTCGGAGCCACAGTTGCTCATAGGGAGACGTCCACCCGCCTTGGCCTGGGATCCCTCCCACTGGCTACACCGTGCCTGGGTGGCTGCCGGGCACTGACCTCTGTGGATCACCGACAGCTTGCTGTGCAGATGCTCCAGGGCCCGCACGATCTGGCGGTGGGGTGGGGAGGAGGGAAGAGACAGGACTCTGTTATTCCTGGTCACGTCAAAAACGACAGAGCAGTAAGACCCCATCCATGTCCACCTGTCTCCCGCTCCCGCTGCACAGGCTACGCACCCTCTCATCCCAGCCTCCTGCCCTGTCCTGGCATTTGCCCCAGCATCCTAACAATCCTGGTGCAGACACACTCGGCCTCCTGCCTCCTCTCATCCTCCCGGGCTCACCTCCCAGGGAGGCATCATCACTGCCTGCCACACTCTTCTTGGGTAAAACCCAGCTCTTGGCAGCCTCCCTGTCCCATCTCCCCTCCCGTGGCAGAGCCAGTATTCTAGCAGCTTGGAGCCATTTCCCTTGGGAAGGCTGGGTGGGGAGCCTGAGGCAGGGGTATATTGTAAATGTTTCCAGATGCAGTGAGGATTGAACCAGTCTCACTGGTTCTATTTTCCTTTTTCCTTTGGCTACTGGAATGCTCAAGCCCAGTGTTGCTGCCCTCCCTCAAGGACTTTTTAGACTCAAAAAGCACACATTTTGGATGCTAACCTTTCCCCCAACTTAGCTTGTACCTCTGTGAGCTGCCCCGGGGCATTTTTAGTATGACGCTGTTGTAAATACTAAATTCCTTTTTTAAAAAATGATCTGGAACTCAAGAGTTGGAATCAATGGCTCAGACACCTGGATCTGCCAAATCTGTGGGGCTCCAGGAGCCCCAGGAGCGGAGGTCTCCTAAGCACAAAGGCTCTGGTCTGGGGTGGAGGAGAAGGGCCTATGCAGGGCAGCTGCCCAGGTTCAGGGGGCACATTGATGCCCAGCTCTGCCCAAGACACCATCAATAGGCAGGCTCCATGCCTGCTGGCAGGGCTGGGCCTCTGCCTATGCACCTAGGACCCCCCGCCAGCCCACCCAGGCCACTCACAGACACAGCAATCTCCCCAAGGATGTCCTCTGGAATTGTCATGTTTTTATCCAGCACCTTCCGGTAGAACTTGTCCAAGGATGTGTCCATGAGCTCCATGCAGATCCACACGTCTCCCTGTGGGTGACACCCAGAGCTCAGCCAGGCTGCCGGGCTGCCCGTGTCTGCACCACCTGCACTGCCTGCCCCAGCACCAGCCCCAGCCCCAGCCCCCTCTCCGACGTGTGCCCACCCACTCAGCCACAGTTCACCGGGCTCCCACCCACCACCCACTTGCCCGCTTCCCCCACCCTCCAACTCTGCCTGCACTGCCAGGTTCGGGCGCCAGCCTCCTCTATCTGATCCCTAATTCCAGGTGTCTCCAGGGAGGAAGAGGATTAGCACACAGCCTCGCTGGGTCCCTCCACCAGAGCTTCAGGATGCACCTGCACCAGCTCCATGGCAACAGCCGGCCCTGCTGACCGACAGACACCCTCATGCCAGCTGACCCTGGCAGATGGCTCCCTGCCTGCAAGGACCTGCTCCCTCTTCCCCAGTGAACTCCTGAGGACCCTCCTGACAGGAAGGTTGGGAGATGCGCAGGGGGCACCCGCAGGCTGCAGGGGCCCCATCGGCTAGGGGCTGGCACAGAGGATGCTGAGCTCTTCATGAGTGACGAGTGAGGACAGGTGAAGCAGCCCTGACCTTGCCCGATGGCTGGACTCAGATGCCCTGACCCTGCCACAGCTCTTTGAGGGGCAAGTGACCAGTATGAGCCCAGCATCGCCTAGGCTCCCGGCCTCCCTGCTCACCCACACCCACCCGGCTTGGCGGAAGGCAGCTCCACTCTTCCAGCCTCAGTCACTCTCTCAGCACACACCCCATCCTGTCCACAAACCTAGAACCCAGAATCCAGATCTCATATCTCCATGGCCGTTGCCTGCTTGGGCACCCCACGCCCCATATGCCATTCCCACGCCCTGTATGCCATGGGGATGCGAATGGTCACACAGACAGAACTGAGTGCAGCTGAATGCCAGGCCCCAGGCCATGTCGTTTACCTTCCGTGTCAACTTTAGGAGGCACCCACAACCACCGGCCTCATTTGACTGACAAGGAAACTGAGGCACTGAGCAGGACAGTAACAGCCAAGAGACGGGGGAGCCTCCTGCCAGTATGCCAGGTGTCCCCAGCACCTGGCGTACTGGAGGGACTGAGTGACAGTGGGTTGCAGGCGACTGATGGGTGGGAGGTGGAGATCCCCAGCTGCATCATGCAAGGACGCACCTCTCTGAATAGTGCCCCGTAGAAGGTGACAGTGTAGAAACAGTCGACCGTGCGCATGTTGATGTCCAGGTCCATGAGCAGCCGCTTCTGCTCCTGTGAGTTCACGGTGGCCCGGATCCGCTGCAGGGAAGGACTGCCATTCAGAGGTTGCCGTGGCAGAGGCCAACACCCACACTCATGACAGGAGGGCCAGGAGCTCAGGGGGCCACTGCCCAGTGTGCCCCAAAAAGCCTAGCCTCGGTACTGATCACTGAGAGGGATAGGCAGGGCCCCATGGCAGAGCTCAGCCCGCCTCCTCCAGGGAGCCCTCCCAGCTGCCTCCAGGCCCTGCTCACCTTCACGGCCATGATGGTGCCGCTCTGGGCGTGCCGCACCTTCTCTACCACCCCATAGGCTCCACGGCCCAGTTCTGAGATGGTCACCAAGTCATCAGCCTCCACCTCAAAGTTCTTGAAGGATGGAAAAGAGAGTCAGTGGCCAGCAAGCTGGAAGCCAGTCCTCACCCCATGCCCAGTGGAGATACCTGGGCAGCATGAAGAGGACCAGCTGATTAGATCTGGGCTCAAACCTCATATCCACCGCTCCCTGCTGTGTGACCCTCAGCAAGTCACTTAACCTCTCTGAGCCTCACGATGCCCTCTATAAAACAGGCACAGTGCCAACACCCCAAGGCTGCTATGGAGTGTGACTGAGACAAAATGCCCCGCCAGCAGGTACAGCTCTGAGAAAGAGGTGCCCTGTCCCTCTTTTCCCGACCCCACTCAGCTGGCTAGAATGAGTCACTCATTCAGAAACTGTTTACCAAGCATCCACAATGTGTTTTAGGCACTGGGGACACAGTGACAACAAAACAAAAGTATTGCCTTCACAGATGTTTCCCTCTCTTGGGAGGGACACAAAAAGGAGTAAGCAAGTAGATGAACAGGACAGCAGATGGTGAGTGTCAGGGAGTGCGACAGCCTGGAGGGAGTATCGTCAAGGACAGGCCTAGGGAATGGGGTTTATTTTTTTTAGACAGAGTGTCACTCTCGTCACCCAGGCTGGAATGCAATGGGGTAATCTTGGCTCACTGCAACCTCCACCTCCTGGGTTCAAGCGATTCTCCTGTCTCAGCCTCCTGAATAGCTGGGATTATAGGCGCCTGCCACCACACCGGGCTAATTTTTGTATTTTAGTAGAGACAGGGTTTCACCACGTTAGCTAGGCTGGTCTTGAACTCCTGACCTCAGGTGATCTACCCGCCTCAGCCTCCCAAAGTGCTGGGCTTACAGGCGTGAGCCACCGTGCCCAGCTCTTTTTTTTTTTTTTTTTTGAAACGGGGTCTCACTCCGTCACCCAAGCTGGAGGGCAGTGGTACGATCATGGCTCACTGCAACATCCACCTCCTGGGTTCAAGCAATCCTCCTACCTCATACTCTCAAGTAGCTGGGGCCACAGGCACGCACCACCACGCTGACTAATTTTCTGTATTTTTGTACAGACAGGGTTTCGCCATGTTGCCCAGGCCTGGTCCCGAGCTCCGAGGCTCAAGTGATCCTCCTGCCACGGCCTCCCAAAGTGTGGGGATTACAGGTGTGAGCCACTGCACCTGGCCTGGGAGTAGGGTTTCTGTTGGGAGGAACGGGGCATAGCACGGTCCCTGAGCCAGGATTCTGAATGGCTAGTGCCCTTCCGAGGCTTCTGGAAGCATAAAATGCAGGTTGCCCAGGTGCTGGCCTGAGGGAGTGATCCAGCGGGTCCAGGGCGGCCTAGGAGCCTGCATGTTCAATACTCTCCCCTAGGGCTAGGATGAGGTGCAGGGCCTTGCTCTCAGCTCAGAAACCTTCCTACCAGCTCTGGGCTCGCCAAGCTCCAGTCAGGCAGCCGATGGTCCTCATTCCCACCAGGAGGGTCAAAGAGTGGGTGGCCCAGGGCCACACAGCCAGCAGCGCAGGACGAGGCTCTTCTCCAGAGCCTGACCCTCTCTGACCCCTCAGTCACCTCCCCCCAAAGTGGCCCTGCAGGGTCAGCTCTACCCGCTCGTCAGGTGAAGTGAGAGGCCCTGCAGGGGTGGCGGCTGGCACCTACTCTGTCTCCAATGGTGATGAAGGTCCGGGAGTCCAGGTTCCGGGGGGGTCTGTGGAGAAAGAAGACTCCGTGAGCTTCAGAGAGAACCACACCCTTCCCCAAGTGCAGCAGTAGATGGGCCAGTGTGGGGCCTGGCGTGGGGACGAGGTGCCTCCTGCCCCGGAGGCGCCTTCTCCGGCCACCTCCTCTCACTGGCTGCTGAGCATCTACACTGAGCTGGGCACGGCCTCATCGAGCCTCCAAGACAGGGTGAGAAGTGAGCAGAGCAGAGCAAATGGTGCTGCATGAACCCCCAGCAGCCGTCACCTGGCTGTATGCACAGCAGGGGCTGCCCAGGACAGGACGAGGTAAAGCAGGGCTGGCCCCACCTGCCTCTCACTCCTTCCATTGAGCCCTGTTCGGGAAGCCTCTCCAGGGTGAGCCAGGGAGAAACTGAGGCAGACTCACGTGGGGTTGGGTGCGGGTGGCTTGGACATGCAGGATATCCGTAGATCCTTCTTCCTCTTGGATTTTCCTAGAATGGAGAGAAGGTGAGGCGTCTGGCCTATCCCTTGACATCAATGTCCCCTGCACTCCCATGAGCCATCAGGCCCTGGCCCACAAGGGTGCCAGCCTCTGCCATCACCCATGCCGGGAGCCCCCTCTCTCCAAGCCAGGCCGTTAGGCCTTCAAAGGGGGAAGGAGGCCCACCAGCCCTGCAGGGGAGCAGAGCAGGACAGACCCAGGCCTGGAGGCTGGACTCCAGGGCCTTATCTCAGCCCTGCCCACTGGGCACATCTTGAGTACCTCCCTGGGCCTCAGTTTCCCCATCTGTGAGGTGTCCTCACTGCCCTGCCTGACTAGTCAATGGGATGTGGGGTGAGAAGGGGCCCAGCGGGGGTCCAGCCAGCACCTGCAGCAGCCACTGTACAGGGGCTTCATTAGCTGCAGGTAGCAGGATGGGGCTCATACTGCATCCAAGATGAGGAAGGCCAGGCCCCCAGAAAGGGCAACAGGCGGTGGAGCAGGCGGGGACTCCAGCCCGGGCTGCCCTCCAGGCTAGCTCTGCTGGGCCCTGCTCACCCTGGAGGCCGACACCCGATGCCCGTTTCTCTCCCTCCCCTGAAAAGCGCTGGCTCTCTCCCCTCCCCTGCACCAGGCAGGCCAGAGTCCCGGGGCAGTACCTTCCTCACTCCACCCCTAGGGACAGGCGAGAGGCCCCAGTGTCCACACCTCTCAGGCTGGCTACAAGAGCCTGGCCAGGTGCACAGCACTCAGCTGGTACTAACGGAGGGTCAGCATTTCTGGGGCTCCAGGCACAGTGGGGCTGGCATGCAGAGAGAGCTCCCTGTAGTCAGGGCCGCCCTTTGAATAAGGCATAGCCGCCATTCCACAGGCAGGAGAAGCAAGGATCAGAGATGCCAGGGTCACCTGGTGCTCTGGCACCATCAGGCAGCAGGGCTGGGAGTGACACGGCTCCCGGAGACCACCCAGTACAGACATGCTGGCCACATGCCTGCCCTTGTGGGAGCTTCTGCCTCATCATTTCCCAAGCATGATCCTGCCACATCTTGGCCCTCACCCACCACCCGCCACTCCCTGCTGCTGGCTCACCCTGGCTGCTGGTACTGGGGCTTAGAAACTGCCCATGGCCCTGCTGCCGCCTGCCAAGAAGACCCCAGTCTCTGAAGCCGCCTCCAAGCCAGGTTCAGATCCAGCCTTGGCCACGGTGCAACACAGACTTGTGGCCCCATCTCAGAGCCACGCACCGGGGCCCAGCAGCCAACCCAGCCCAGATGGAGGGCGAAGGGTGGTTACCGCTACTGGGAAGACAAGGCCAGAACAACAGGAAACAGAATAGCCTTGGCAGGGACAGGGGTCCCAGGGTCCATCCTGGGGCAGGTGGGCAGAGTGCAGGAGCCAGGCAAGCAGATACCTGCAGCCTTTCCACCAAAGCCACCCCGGGGACCCCGCTGCCAGGCCCCAGAGGCTTCAGGAAACAACAGCGTCCACAGACAGAAGCAGCAGCAGCAGCAGCAGCAGCAGCTGCCGCCACATGCACTGGGTGCCTGCCTGCTAACTGCTCACCCCATGAATCAATCGCCTAGTCACTACTCCTGTGCGCAGCGTTTTTATCTCATTTTAAGATGCAGCAACACCCTGGCTGTCAGGGACCGCATGGGTCTCACTGCGAGTCTGTCACAGCCACAGCACCGGCCACAGGCAGGGCCCTTCTCATCTGTGACTCCAGATACTCCCACAGCCCTACAGGGAGGGGCTCCCAACCTCACTTTACTTGGGGAACAGGCTCAGAGAGGTGAAGCCACTTGCCCCAGGCTGCACAGCAAGTCAGGGGTCTGGCCAGGAGTCACTCCTGAGTTTATTGACTCGCAGACCCCAACAGGCCAGGCCATGGCTCACAGCACCCCTGCCACAGGGAGCCCTCCCTGAGGCGGAAGGAGGGGCCCAAGTCTCGTGCTCAACAAGAAACGGCAACAGAGTCTGGAGATGCAGAGGCTCAGCACATTCTAACAGGAAAAACCATGGCACACAGGGCCAGCAGCTTCTGAGGCCACTTCTATCCTGCCTCTGGGCCAAAGTCTCTGAACTTCTGAGGCTCTGGGCTTGGAGTGGCGCAGCCGTGGTAAACTCCAGCTCTGCGACCCTGGCATGGTGCCCTCCTCTGCACCTTGGGTTCCTCATGTACAAAACAGCTCGAGGCAGAAATGCCACCCACCTGCCCCGCACAGTGCTGCAGGACGAAGCAAGATCACGTCTGCAAGGTGCTCAGCACAGGGTTCACTGCGCAGATGGGGACCTGTTGTGGCCCATAAATGGTCACCATGGATATGACCAGCCTCTCTGCAGAGGTGAAAAAAAAAACTGCCCTAAGTAATGAGAATTATAGGTAGCTTTTATTCCTGATGTCAGGCTTTTCGTAACCAGAATATAAAATATTTTCTGTTAAAAATTAAAGCTCTGCACAGAGACCCTGGGCCTTGACCTTGCCCCCAGCCCCTTGAGTCCCACCCTTTCCCTGTGGGGTCCACGCCACACCCTCCCTGCACTCTCTCTGCTCTTGGTCCCTCTGGCCCCAGCCTGCCACCCACCTCATGCCTTGGGATTTGGGAATGTTGTATCATGTGGCCCCCCCTTCACCAAGCCTCAGTTTCCCCACCTGTCAAGGGCACTTGCACATATGGGCTGGATGGGTGGGGACCACGCTCCTCGCAGGCCTGGGTGGTATATGGACTGGCCTCTGCATCCACCGGCCTGTTGGGGACACCAAGCCTGCATCAGGAGGGCCACAGGCTCCATGGGGAAGCCACCCAGCTGTCAGAGGGAGTGGGTGAGGCCGTCATGGAGACAGCCTAGAAACAGGCCTCAGGCTGCTGCAGACGTCAGAGCTGGGCCCAGATGGCCAGGCAGCCCAGGGCTGCCCAGGTGCAGCCGTTGTGGCAACCATCACCACAACAAACAGAGGCTCTCGGCGGCCACTGGCAACCCACGATAAGCCCGCCTGTCCCGGCTCTCAGCACGGGGTGTCCTGGGGTGTCCTCCACATACTCCAGCCTCATAGCAGCCCCCAGGCAGGGGCAAGGAAACTGAAACTGACCAGAATTCAGCCACTGACCTGAGGCTACACCACAGGTAAAGAGAGGCACCCCCAGACTAGAACACAACTCTCACTGGCCGTGGCAGCTCTGCCCTATCTCCTCCCACTCACCCCCAACTAGAGCCCCCGACCCTTGAGTGAGCCCTTCTCTGAATGAGACACCTGCTTTCCCACCGCAGGGCCTTCACACATGCCCTTCCCTCTGCCTGAAATGCTCTTCCCTGTGACTGTCCTAGCTACTACGTCGTCTTGCCTTTCACCAGTTCAGAGAGGCTGCCTGACTGCGCAGGCCCCAGTGACCGGCTCTCCCTGTGGCCTGATGGCTTCTCTGCTGTGGAGTCCCACAGGTGGCCGTTCTGCAGTTACCATCTCAGAGAGCCAGTCAGCAGGTCACCTGTGAGCACTCACTCTGGAGCCAAGGCCTGGGCTCAACTGCAACTCTGCCCCTTCCTAGCTGTGTGCCCTCAGGCAAGTGGCTTCACCTCTCTGGACATATGTAAAGTGGAGATTACAGACAAACCTCCCCGGGTTATCAGCGTCATGCCATAGCAGTGCCTGGCGCGTGGAGATTAGATGGGGCCATCTGGAAGTGCACAGCTCCCAAGAGAACACCACCCTCAGCCCCAGACCACCCCTGTCCACCCTCTCAGTGACTCCACAAGGGAGTAGGGGAGGTTCACTTATCTGTTGTATCAAGCATGCGGGAGAAGAGGTGACTTAGAGAGGCCACACGGTGGGCGTCTGGTGAGGAGTGGCCATAAAGGCAGGTCTGTCTGGCTCCAACGTCCAAACAGCAACAGCCTGAGGGCAGGGCCCCCACTTCGGCTGCTCCCTCTACCCTGGGCCTGGGGAGACCAAGCTGTGTGACCCTCTAAGGGTCACCCACAGGGGCAAGATGACAACCCCTCCTTGCAGCCCCTGCTCCGCCTCCACTCATAAAGTCAGCCCCACACCATGCCACATGCAGGAGCATCACCAGGTTTCTGACAACAGAAGTAATCCCTGCTCCTAGTTCACTGCCCTCACCTGACTTCCGGATGTTCCAGGAGGTCCCTGTTCTACTGCAGAAGTTCTGGGCCTGCCAGGGAAGGAGCCACAAGGGCTGGGAGATGTGAGCAGCAAGAGGCGCCGCCCTGCCCCAGGCCACCTCTATTCCCCAGGGTCCCTCAGAGGGACAGCAACAAGGCCAATGCGCTCCATGGCACGGGGGAAACTGAGGCCCCGAGAAGTGGGCACAGGCTTTTGCGTGGGCAGATGTACCTCGACGGTGTGGATGGATGTGTTTGGCTGCGACCTGCCAGACACTGGCCCCTCTCCCCAGGACAGGTGCCATCAGAGGTCCTGAGGTACTGCAGACGCCACTGCCAAGCACCTGTGGGCAGCAGGGGGTGGCCATGCACCTTCAGGCAGGGCCCCTTGCCCTGAGGTTCTGGGGCCCCTGTCCTGGGCTCTGGAGAGGATGCAGGACAAGGGGAAGGTTCTCCCATCTAACCAAGTGCCTGCTCCATGCCAGGCCCAGGCTGTGCCATCTGGCCTCATACACGGCCACTGCAGGCCCTACCTTCTCTATCCTCACCTTGTAGGTGTGCAGCAGGCTAGGGTGAGGAGGAGTGACCAAGGCTCTGCCCTCCACAGCCCTGCCCTGCCTCTGCCCGGCTGTGCAAGGCCACCTGGCCAGGGCCTGGCCTCCAGGGCCTCACACCCTCCCCACCTCTCTACCCTACAGGGACTTCCTCACCTGCAGAGAACGGGGGATCCCCAGACTATCCACCTGGCAGCGCCCCCTCCCCGGTGATGCTCCGGACCAGCATGGCTCGGGAGCACCCCTAACATCCGGTGGGGAGGCCAGATGCTCAGCTGCACAGGGGCAACCATGGCTGCCAGAGGGTCCTCCCGCCCAATGCCAACAGCCCAGCAGAGACAACCATGGCCCGCCTGCAACATGGAACCACTTGTGCTTTGGAGGGAAGGACGTAGGGAAGGGCCAGAGGCACGGGCCTCGCTGGAGAGGGAAGGAGGCAACACGGGAGGACCCCGGGCAGAGTGGCTGGGGCACAAGGCACGTGAAAGACAGGGGGCCCACAGCAGGTGGCTGCGGGCATCAGGGTGCAGCCTGGCCTCCCATGGCCAGACCTCACCGGTCTGGGTCCTCCATGCCCCATGGCCATCAAAATGCCCATTCTTCTGCATCCAGAAATTCCACGTTGAGCAGCTTACCCCCACACTACAACACCCACTAACATTTAGTGAATACCTACTATGTGCTGGGGTGTCCTGGGGTGTCCTCTGCGTGCCTGGCCTATGCAAATTTCTTTCATTACATCTCATTTGATCCTCTCAGCAACCCCTTGAGGCAGGTACTAATGTGATCTCCATGCTGCAGATGGGGAAACTGAGGCCCAGGGTTTATAGAATCAAAAGGCTGGCACATGGAATTGGTGAGGATCCTGCAGGTCCTCAGCAGGATGCGAGGAGTGGCCTCCCAGGGACAGGAAGAGCCAAGAGCAGCAGGAGTACAGCAGTGTGAGAAAGAAAATGCCGGTCAGACCATGTGAGGTGGCTCACGCCTGTAATCCCAGCACTTTGGGAGGCCAAGGCAGAAGGATTACTTGAGGTCAGGAGTTTGAGACCAGCCTGGCCAACATGGTGAAACCCTGTCTCTACTAAAAATACAAAAATTAGCACATGCCTGTAATCCCAGCACTTTGGGAGGCCAAGGTGGGTGGATTCCTTGAGCTCAGGAGTTCAATACTAGCCTGGGCAACATGACAAAATCCTGTCTCTACAAAAAATAAAACAAAACAAAAATGTAGTGGGCGTGGTGGTGCGTGCCTGTAGTCCCAGTTACCTGGGAGGCTGAGGTGGGAGGATCGTCTGAGCTGTGGTGAGCCATGACTGTGCCACTGGGCAACAGAGCAAGACACTGTCTCAAAAAAAAAAAATGAGAAGAAGAAGGAAAGAAAATGCTGGAGTGTGCAGAGTATTCCGAGGAGAAACAAGAGACTGCCTTTTTGTCCCTTTGAGATTCCTGCACTGTGTGATAAAGGCTACTCAAGTGCAGGCAATTTAAAGAAAAGAAGAAACAAAGAGGCCTGCTTGAAGCCAGCCCCAGCACTCTCCTCTGTCTGAAGGGGCAGCCAGGCTCACTGAGCACAGTACAGCCCCCGCAGCAGGCTGCTCAGGCTGGAGGGTGCCCCAGAGACTGTCCAGTGCAGATGCTGACACCAGGGGCCCCAGGACACGCCTGAGGTGACGCACCAGGGCAGCAGCAGAGTCAGGCCCCCAGCCTGGGTCCCAGCTCCTGCCTTCCCCGCACCTCAGTGGAGAAACCACCACAGCGTCGGCCCGTGCCAGCCTGGGGGCGAGCCACACTCCCTCTCTGTGCAAGCCTCGGTTTCCTCCTTTGACGTCCTATGAACGGGTGAAGGGGCCATGACCTCTGGGAAAGGATGAGCAAGGGTCCGGAGTTGTAAAGACAAAGCCATGCTCCCAGGACAGTCCTTCGTGACCTTGAGCAGGTCACTATCCCACCAGGCCTCAGTTTACTCACTCCTAAGATGGGGTTGATGACAACACACCCAGGTTGCTGGGTAGCCGTGAAGACCAAACAAGTCCATGCACACAAAATCCCCAGCACAAAAGGGGTCAGATCGGTGGGACTCTGGCCCCAGGCTCCCACACTGTGGGGCAGGCCCCATGCTCAGGCTTTAAGAGGCCATGACAGGGCAGGGGGACCCACAAGTGATGCTCAGCCCTCCCAGAGCATCAGAAGAATGGGACATTCCTTGCACCAGGATCGTAGGCTGTGCTCCAAAGGTCCCCACGTGGGCCCGGCTCGAGGTCAGCAAGGCCATTGCCAGCCACCTGCACTGTCGACAGGCCAGTGCTGCTGCTCCTGCAGAACGGAAAACAAACCTGAACAAACGCCATCTGTGCTTCACTGTTATCACTACGTGTTGTGTTGTGTTGTGTTGTGTTGTGTTGTATTGTATTGTACTGTATTCTATTGTATTCTATTGTATTGTATTCTATTGTATTGTATTCTATTGTATTGTATTCTATTGTATTGATTGTATTGTATTTATTTTTGAGACGATTCTCTCTCTATTGCCCAGGCTGGAGTGCAGTGGTGCGATCCCGGCTCACTGCAAGCTCCGCCTCCCGGGTTCATGCCATTCTCCTGCCTCAGCCTCCCGAGTAGCTGGGACTACAGACACCTGCCACCACGCCCGGTTAATTTTTTGTGTGTTTTTAGTAGAGACGGGGTTTTACCGTGTTAGACAGGATGGTCTCGAGCTCCTGACCTCATGATCCACCCGCCTCGGCCTCCCAAAGTGCTGGGATTACAGGCGTGAGCCACCGTGCCTGGCCTACTTCTATTTTTTTTAAACAGACAGGGTCTCACTCTGTCACCCAGGCTGGAGTGCTGTGGCACTCATTGCAGCCTCAACCTCCCAGGCACAAACGATCCTCCCACCTCTGCCTCCTGAGTAGCTGAGACTACAGACGTGTGCCACCATGCCCAGCTAATCTTTTATGTTTTTTGTAGAGATGAGCTCTCCCTATGTTGCCCAGGCTGGTTGTGAACTCCTGCCCTCAAATGATCCTCCTGTCTCGGCCTCCCAAAGGCTGGGATTTATCATTACTATTAAAATCTTACAAAGCATGGGATTGATGATGAGACATACCAAAAACGGGGTTCTTGGTGATGGAAATGCTAGCACAGACATCAGGTTCAAATTCAGTGCTGTCTGGTACCTAGGGGCTCCCTGGACTTGCCAGGTCTCATTCACCCTCAACAGCAGCCCTGAGAGGTAGGTAGGGAGCTGGCCTAGAACCAGCCCTGCCACCTGGAAGTCCCTGCAGACTTTCCCAACGAGTGTCTGCCCGCGCCACCCTGGGGTCTGCCCCAGCCATCCGGGATGCCGTGTGCCATGCCAACGGCAGGAGGCTATGGGTTGACCAGAAGGCTAAGCCAGGCAAGAGCAGAATGACAAGGGGATGGGAGCTGTCTCCATCCCCATACCCAGAGCCGTCCTGGGCAGGCCTCCAACGTGTGCCTCAGCTGCCAACTGACACCGCCAAAGCAACCCTCCCAGGCAGCAGTGCTCCCCAGCCCCCACACACCTCCTGATTAGGTCTGAACACACCGCTGGCATCCACAGCCCCTCGCAGCCCTGCCCCAGTGAGGCAGCCCCCTGGCCTGTCACCGCATCACCGCACACACTGGCACATGTAAACCTTGGGACGGGCCTTGGAAGCCCTTGGGGGCATCAGCACAGTGATGCAGGCAAGGACAGTCAGGGCACTCGATATAGCCGCCAGGAGGTGTCAGCAGAGCCAGGTGCAATCCCGGCCATGGGCCACATGGCAGGAGGTGGTGCCGGCCACCCTGGGCAGGGGACCAGCTGGGAGAGGGACAGCTGGACATGGCCTCCCCAGAGAAACCAGGGAAGGTGGCCCTGGAGTGCAGGGCAGGGAGGTGACAAGGACATGTGCCCAGGACTGGGGTCAGGGGAAGAAAGTCTGGGGCCCTCTCTGGAGCTGCCGCAGTCAGGCTTGGTATCTGGAAGCTGCAAGGGGCCCAACAAACTGCTTCTGCCTCCCCTGGCCCTGTATGGCCTTCATGCCCCTGGCAAGAGGCTGTTTGAGGTTTCCAGGGCCACTGCTTCGGGGAGGCATCTGCAGAAGCCACTGGGCACACAGGCCTGATGGAGGTGGGCAGCGCCAGGAGGCGCGGACAAGGGCAGGCGTGGACGGCATGTGGGCATCAGTCGTGGGGCCCTGCCACAATGCTGTGTCCTCCATGCTGCTGCCCAGCAGCCCTCCTCTGGGACCCTCCCAAGACACTGGCACCCAGTTGCTCCCCTCAGCTTGGCCCACCACCCCCCAACACCCCTGACTCAGGACTGAGCCCCTAGAACCATGACCCCAGGCCCTCTTGCTTCCCGGGCTGGCCCAGGGGCCTGAGTTCTAATTCCCAGTCCCACCCCACCTTCCCCATATTCGTCCTGTTAATGCTGCATGCCAAAGCCAGGGGCAGGGCAGGCCTGCAGGAGCAGGCCCCAGCTCTCTGTTCCCCACTCACCCTCCCAAGGGAGGCCCAGGAGGCCAGGGGCAGTCCCCAGCCCCACGTTGGGGACCAGTGGGTTAAGAGGCCCTAAAGCCTGGTAAATTCTGGCCTGCGTGAAAGGACCCTACAGCCAAGAGGCCTCATGTCACAGCGCCTACGAGCACATTGTCACGAAGCCCTGCTACTGTTTATCCACCTACCAATGAACTACACCCACAAAAGTAACAATAATAAAATAATAACAGGTGCCATTCACTTAACAAATGCTATCTTCAATCTCGACCACTACCCTGCAAGGGAGCATGTTTACTCCCACTTTACAGAAGAGGAGACTGAGGGCTAAAGAGGGCACAAGACTTGCCCAGGTAAGGAAGTAGTGGAGCCAGGATTCGAACCCAGGGCCATCCCAGCAGAGCCCAGGACCCCCGGCTTCCTGCCTGACAGAGGCATGCCTCGGCTGGGTTCTCTGCAGGCAGAGGGCAGTCTCACTATGACTTGTGCCTGACACTTAGCAAGTGTGGAATGGAACTGTCTACATCCAGACAAGCAGGGTCCCCATTCTCAGTCTGCAGATGAGGAAATGGAAGCTTCTCCTCTGAGAGCTGGGCCATGCCCAGGGGACAGAAATCATTTACAGAGTGCAGAGAGTGGACCAGATGCAACTTGTCCCACGTCACATCGCAAAAGGGACAGAGCTGGGGTTTGGACCCAGGCAGTCAGGCTCTGGAAACTGAGGTCTTAGCCTCTCCACATCACCATCTTCCAGGAGCTCAGGCCGGGTCCCACCCCAGCCGACCCTGCACCACCTCTGCTCCTCACCCTCCCTGAGTCCCAGCTGCACAGCTGAACCTGAGGTGTCCCCTGGGCCAAGGGTGGTAAACAGTCACTGCCACCTGCTCCTGCTCTGTGAGCAAGAGGAAGCAGAGCCCCTTGCCTAATAGAGGAAGTTCCTGGGTGGGGCACAGAGGGCCTGCCCAGGGGTTCCCAGCCCAGTCCGAGGCCCAGGAAGGGGCCACCTCCAGTGCCCCAGCTCAGGGCTAGGTGCCACCTGCAGGACACGTAACCCCCTCCCCACCCACCAGGCTGGCAGGCATCGCCCCTTTAAGCTGTAGGCAGCCGGCTGGCATGCCCAGCGGGTGAGTCAGCACCCAGTGCCCGCTGACTCACCGCCGGAAGCCTCCGCTGCCCCGGCCTTCTCCTCACACGGGCCAACTGAGAACTTTGCTCCCTTTGGGCGCTGGGCCATGGGTTGGCTGACAGAGAGTTTCCTGTGCGTCACAAGAGGGGTGGGGGAAGTCCCCGAGGTGCCACCTCCAGTCTTTCCGACAGCCAGGGGTTGGGGGGGTGGCCACAGCAGGCAGGGCTAGGATACAACAGTGCTCTATGAAACCTCAGTGTCACCATCGGGCAGTCAGGAGTCCTACAGCCACAGTCCAAGCTGTGTGAAGATTAGCCATGAAGTGCTCCCACAGGTGGCACTCTTAGGGCAGAAGGGGCAGAACCCATGTTCTGAACGACAACAGGACACGTGTGGTACCCTCCAAGGACAAATGTGGCTTGCACACATGCCCCCACCCACTGGCCCCAGCGCCAGCCACTTGGCCTCTAACCCCAGCCAGAGATGGCCATGTGGGCAAGGAGGCCAGGGGAAAACCAGCAGAGCTGTGGGCCTGAGGGCCTCACACACTCATAGAAAACTCCCCAGGCCCATGGCATGGAAACAGTGCAGGGCACCTGCTGCCAGGCAGGAAGCTCAAAGGTAAAGCTCCAGTAAGGTCAAGCGCCAGCCACTCCCTGCTTTGTTCAAATTCCTTTGAGAAGGTGGAGAAGGGATCAGTGCTGGGAGGCCCAGTGCCCAGGATGGGGTGGGCACAGAGTGAGGCTCTCCACCTATGGGGGCAGTCCGGCCACTCCTCCATCCAAGCTGAGTTCTGCATCTGTCAAATGAGTGGGATTTTGCAGCGAGAATGCAACAGGCCCAGTGTAAAGCGCTGTGCACAGGAGAGGCATCACCTCTGCCTCAGTCTGTCCTCTAGGTCTGACGTGGCCATGAGGACAGGCCCACTGCACATGCTCTGAGCAAGGCCAGGGGTGGGGGCACCCCACCAGCTCAGCTCAGGCATCCAGCATGGGAGGGGCACATAGGGGAGCACGGGGAAGGCCACTGTGGAAACACAGTCCTAGGGGGAACCCTAGCTCCGCCTGTCACAGCTGTGTGGCCTCAGGCAAGGCACTTAACGCCTCAGTTTCCTTATCAGTAAATGGGGCTATGAGGAATAAATGAGAAAATGCATGGCACATGGAAAAAAAGAAGGAGCTCATAGGGTTTTTGGTGAAGGGCATTGTGGCTCTGCCACCACATCCTTCCCCAGACCCCAAAGAGACTACAGAGTCCCTGGGCCTGAGGGAGGTCCCTGACCCTCCATCCAGCCCCCTCAACCTCATCTAGGACCTGGGTCCACATCTAGAAGTTCATTTTGGCCCTCTCACAGCATTCTCACTGCATCTATGACCCCTCTCCTTTCACAACTCTGCAACTGGAACTTTTATTTTGATGAGGCATTCTCTGCCTGGAGAGCTAAAAAGCCTCCAAAACAAACAGTGCTTCCTACCCTTCCCCGAGCTCTCCAGAGTGGAGAAGTGTCTGATTTCCTGGTTCCCAAGCTCCACGAGGTCTGTGCAGTGCAAGTCCCTCCCCAGACACCTCCCCCGTCGAGTGCCTCCCGAGTTACTCACAGTGGTTGGGCAATGGTCAGGGATCCGGCCTCCCACTTATGTAAGGCATAATTATCCAGCCCACCCGGCTCCAGCCACCATAGCAGCCAGCAGCAGGGGCCAGGAAGAGCCCATGCCCTCCCCAGGCCCACATAGGGCTCCCATTGGCCTGCACCCTCCAGAACAGAAGAGCGGCTGACCCCTGATGAAGTGCCCACTAGGTGCCCGCTGCTAGGTGCTTCCTCCTGCTCACTCTGAGGCTGCACTTCCAGCAGTGGAGGCCTTTCCAGCAAGAAGAATGGAAACAATAGCGAGATGTGTGCAGCCAGTGTACCCTGGTGAGCACCGGCTCTGCGCCAGGTGCTACGCTGAGAGAACGCCTCAGAGCTCTTTACTATTCACCACCCCACACCACACTCCCACGTCCACAGAAGCAGGTGCGATTACTTCCAATTTACAGAAAAGGAAACTGAGGCCCAGAGACACCAGGGAGCTTGCTGGGGTGAAGCAGCTGCAGGTTCAGAAAGCCAGGAGGCAGCCCATTCATTACGGCTATGTCCGGTTTGGAAATCTCTCGCACAACCCAGCCTACTGAAACTCCGACGCACCAAAAACATCCTTTCCTCTTCCTGAAAAAAAAAAAATTCCCCTTTTGCCCTCCGAGTTTCATCCTTCCCCCTCCGCATGACAAATCCTGCTGCTGCCACCTCACAAAAATTTCCAGGAAGGCCAGCTACTTGGAGAAGAGCAAATCCCTTGCACAGCCAGCACCCTGGCCTGGCGGCTGGCCCAGATCCCAGGCAGCCAGGACAAGAATAAGATGGGGTGAGAACCCCCAGTGCAGGGAGAAGCTTGCAACTCAAGACAGAGAGAGGCCGGTAGAGAGGGGGCTGTACCTTAGGGAGGGGTGGGAGGACAAGGAAGGTTCCTGGGAGCCCAGGGCTGCAGGACAGGGTGCAGGCCAGCCAGGGAAGGGGCAACATAGGGCCTATAAGGATAAGAAGAGCTGGGGGAGAGAAGGACGGGGAGTTCCGAGCTGGGGTGTAGCCAGAGCACCCGCATAGGGGGTACAGTGAGGTCCGCAACAACAGGAGCACTCTGGGGCCCAGATGGAGACTCAAGTTAAATCCCAACCTGGATACAGCCCTGGGACCCGAAGCTAGAAATGGGACTGGGTGCTGCCCAAGGACCCAGGTGAAGGCCAGTGTGAATCTCACCTGGGTCCCGCTGAGGGAGAAGACTGGGAGAGTTCATGTCCAGGCTGCAGCCATAAGGCCCAAATGAGGTCAGAATGAGGCTCCTGACTTGGATGGGGTGAGCAGAACAAAGTCCTAGTCTGGGTCCAGCCTGGGTGATCTCGGGCCTGAGTGCAGTCCCAAGGCCTAACGTGGGGGTCCAGGTGAGGGCCCAGGCGGGGGCTGGTCCCGGGACCCCGAACAGGAAGGGGTTCCGGGACCGGACGCCGCTGCCAGGTCGAGAACAGGATGGGGTGGGACCAAAGAAAGGTCGGGGTTTGCAGCCCGGCCCCAGATTAGGCGCGGGGTCAGGCCGAGGTCCCGGCCGGGAGCGCCTACCTTTGGACTGGGGCATGCTGGCGGGCTGGCTCGAGGCGGGCGACTCCATGCTGCAAGTGGGTCCTGGACGGCGGTGGAGACTAATCTAGAGGACTGCGGGCTCCACCGGGGCCGAGCACGCTCATGGCTGCGGGCAGACGGCCCAGGCCAGGCGGAGGAGCAGCGGCGGCGGCGGCGGCGGCGGCGGCGACTGCGGCGAGGACTGCGGCGGCGACTGCAGCAAGGACGAGTCCGCGACGGGCGGCGCCGGAGACAGACTGGGCAGCGCCGGGGAGACCCCGGCCGAACTGCGCTGACTCAGGCCCCGCCCCTGCGTGCCCGATTGGTCCTTTCGTTTCCAAGGCCCGTCCTCTGCCTATCAGACGCCGGCCTGTCCCTGCCTGTCAAGCACACGCCCCACCCTCCTTAGGCCCAGGATCCGGGCCCCTCCCGCTCTCTGTCAAGTCCGCCAGCCGCCCGAAAAACCCAGGTCCGGTCAGGCTCCGCCCCCTGGACTAAAGCCGCGCCCCTCGCGCTGCCCGTCAACATGCAAGCCCCACCCACTCCCGGGACCCACTGAGCCCGCTGCTCCCTGCAGGCGCCCAGGCCCAGCCCGGCACCCCCAGACCCGCAGCCCCGGCGGGTGCGATGCGCGGGCGCGTTCTCCTGGGTGCGTCGTCTGGAAAAAACCCGAGATCCCTAAAGGTGGCACGGCTGGGCCTGCCGAAGTGGGCGGGGGTTAAAAGTGCGCTGCTGGGCTGCCTCCTGGCTCTCTGAACCTGCAGCTGCCTCACCCTAGCAAGCTCCCTAGTGTCTCTGGGCCTCAGTTTCCTTTTCTGTAAATTGGACCCGGGTTCGGATCCGAGTCGGCAGCTTTGTAGCGGAACTAGCCTTGGTCAGGTGGTGACACCTGAGCCTCAGTCTACGCATCTGTGAGCGGGCGGCGGTGACAGCTATCTCCCGGCGCTGCTCGCTAACACGCACTGAGGGCCTGGCGCCAGCAAACGTCGCCCGCGCCCGCGCTCCAGGCGCCCGGCCAGGGCGCGGGGTCGGTGGTGAGCTCAGCGATGCCCGGTGACGAGGCAGCACGAGGAGTTTTCGTGGCTGGTTACTGCTGCCCCTGTTCTACACAGGGGGAAACCGTGTCTCAGAGGGAGTGAGGCGGCATGCGGTGCATTTTATCCCGCGAGCCCCGAGGCCCCATCCTGGCTCTCTCCTGGACCTTCGTTCTCTCCTCTCCTCCTAGGATCTCAGTCTGCCCATCTGCATAATGGCTGGATGGGCCAGTCCTCCCTCTGCTCCCACACGGAACCTCGGGGGATTTCAGGAACCGCTGACCAATCTGGCGCTGGGAACAGATGACTCTGGATGTAAAGCCAGGGCTAGTGAAGGCAGAATGTACCAGGCAAAGGTCAAGGGGTCAGCCCCTGGCCTCCAGGCAGACATGTGTACCCTGTCAGGGACCTCACGTGAGGGAAGCAGATTCCACCACCTGCTAGAAAGGCTTGAGGCCGGGCCTGACCTCTGCTTGCCCAGGTGTAAAGTGGGGGTGATGCAGGGCCCCATGCACAGAGTGGGGAGCCACAGGAGATAAGAGGGAAGCCTTGCAGCCATCACCATTCTCTTCCTGCGTCTCCTGTTCACCCTTCCCAGGCAGTGGGATGGAAAATCATGAGTCTGGGGCTCAGATAGGTATGGGTTCCAATACCAATTCCTCCACTTACTAGCTGGATGACCTTAAAGAAGTCACTGAGCAGCTCTGTGCCTCAGTTTACCTATCCCATGGGGACAATAAGGTCTCTGAAAGCGTTTCATGAGTTCAGGAGTGGAAACACCTGGCCTAGGGCTTGGCACTCACTAGGTGCCCAGGAAATGTGAGTTTGAAAACACTGTGGGCTGCCTCCATCCTTGCCATATCATCCCTGGTGACCTGTGCTTATCCGTCTGTAAAATGGGCATCCAGGAGCAGCTTCCTTTCTACCAGAACTGCAAGGCTAGTCCAGCGAGTTTTCTGGGTTCAGGCACTGGCCAACAGCCTTGACTTCTGCACAAGGCCACACTCCGCCTTGTGCACTCTGCTTCTTGGGATGTTCAAGAGTCTCAGTATTGCCCCTCAAATGTGCCAGGGATGGTCCTGCCGCAGCAGCTTCACCCTTGCTGCTCCTGCCCAGAACATTCTTCCACTCAAGCCTCCTGGGGCTGGTTCCCTCTCATCCCTCAGACCGCTTCCTAAATGAACACCCCTAAGAGGCCTTCTCATCATGGTCCCCAGACTGAGGCACAACACTTATGCTGCTGATGTCTTTGTTACTGACTCAGTTTTTAACACAGCTCTCCCTCCAGACCATCCGAGCCTCATTCCCTGCTGTGTTCCCAATGCATAGCCCAGAACCAGGCACATAGTAGGTGCCTGATAAATATTTGAGGAATGAAAAAAGGAAGGAGGAAAGCATCCACAGACCAGGGTGAAGCGACTCCAGTCCCGTGCCAACCTCCTTGGCGGCCAGATGACTCAGACAGGCCCTCGCATACAAGGAGTTTGGGGATTAGTCAGGAGCCCGATAAACAGCTCAGGAATCACAAAACTCCATGTGAGTGCTATAAATAGATGCATGAGCAAAAGTCCCAGGAGGGTGCCTGGGTGATGCAGCCATCTCCATCTGGGTGGGGACAAGGAAGGCCTCTCAGAGGAGGTGATTTTGAGACTGGACTTTTAAGGACCAGTAGGAGCTTACCAGGCAGAGAAGCAAGAAGAGCATCCCTGGAAAGGAACAGCAGAGGCAATGGGTTGGAGATGTAAAAAGGGCCACACATGAGGACCAGGTGAGGGCCAGACTGGGATGCACAGCTGCACCACTGGAGCTCAAGAAGTACCATCAAGAACCATCAGAGACAAAGGTCTCTTGCTGGCTTGCTATAGTGACATCTCTTGATTTCTTTCTGTCTGTAAGTGGCACAGTCAGATTGGGGAACTCCATGACCATGCAGAAAGCAGAATAAATGTTTGACATGGGTCACAAGAGGCTGCCTCTTACCTTGATTCCTAGGAGAAAAGTCCCAAACCTGCTCTCTGTGGATGCAGGAAACTGAGTCTCTGGATGGGAAGGATTGTGGCCAAAGTCAGGATGCAAGCATGATCTGAGGTGGGCAGGACCTGGGGTGACAGAAGGCTGTAAAGAGAGGCTGACTCAATAGCATTAACTATAAGTTTTGTGCTTCCAAATCACTTTTTGGTTTTTAAGAATTTCTTGATACTATTGTAGCCTGCCTTCGATTTTGATCCTTTATTCTTTCTATTTGTCAGGTGCACAAGATTACCTTCCTTTTTTAGCCTTCTGTCTTGTCACCAACCATTCCTACTTGGTGGCCATGTACTTGGAAAAAGGCCGCATGATCTTTCTGGCTCCAATCAATGTCTAAGGCACCCTGCTTCCTTTGCTTGCATCCCACAGACTATTTCCCTCATCCTATTTACTACAGCAAATCTCTCCTTAGTCGATGAGATTGTGTTTATCTCCCTTTAAAACCCTACCTATCCTGAATGGTCTGTCATTGTCTGCCTTTAAAATCCTTCCTCTTTCTTCTTCCTCTATTCTTTAAATAATGATGGGGCTAAGTTATACCCAAAGCATCACTTTACAAAATATTTCCTCGGTACTTTGCAGAAAACACCAAACAAAAATGCCATTTTAAAAGAGGTGTATTTTTTCTTTTAAAATGTAAGCTCCTCAAGGGCAGGGAAATGTTTTCTGTATGTTCTATTGTGCCTAGTACACTGTAAATGCTCAATAAATACTGATGATGGGGGAAAAAAAAGAGAGAGGCTGACCCAAACCCAGGATGTGGGCAGCTCCTTCATTCATTCAACAGATATTCATTGAGCACTTACTGTGTGACTGGCACTGAGAACACAACATTGAACAAGATGGACACAACTCCCTGGGGAGGTATGACCTGGTGTGTGAGCCAGACAAGCAAAATGCCTAAGTCAAATTATGTCAGGCCAGGCATGGTGGCTCACACTTATAGTCCCAGCAGTTTGGGAGGCCGAGGCAGGTGGATCGTTTGAGCCCAGCAGTTTGAGACCAGCCTGGGCAACATGGCAAAACCTCGTCTCTACAAAAAAAAAAAAAAAAAAAAGTTGGCTGGGTATGGTGGCATGCTGCTCAGGAGGCTGAGGTGGGAGGATCACTTGAACCCAGGAGGTCAAGGCTGCAGTGAGCCAAGGTTATACCACTGCACTCCAGCCTGGCGGGCAACAAGACCCTGTCTCAAAAAACAAAAAATTATTACAAATGCTATGGGGGAAAGTAGGGGAGGGGACAGGGTGTGTGTCTGGACATGGGGGCTATAATTTTAAGGAGGGAGGTCAGGAAAAGCCTCCCTGGAAGGTGCCACATAAACAGAGACCAAAGGACTTAACGGAAGGACCCACAAAGAGATCCGGGGGAAAAGCATTCCAGGCAGAGGGAACAGTTGTGCAAGGGCCCTGAGGTGGATGGCTTGTAGGCGAGTAACAAGGAGACCGATGTGGCTGGGTGGTGGGAGCTGAGGAGTCCCTGTTCTCACCTATATACACCCCCTTGGACGTACTCACTCCCACGTGCCCCTTCACACCTGTGCAAGTCCACACACCCCAAATACACATGCACACACACATGACACAAGGGGGTGCACAAGTGTGTACGTTCATGTGGAGGGACCACATGGTCACGTCCACAGACACAACCCACAGGCACAGCGGTGCACATGGTCTATGCATAGCCTTGCCACCAGCTGGGGCCTCCACTGCTTGCTGCCCCACAGCGCCCTCTGGTGACCAGGGCCCGGCAGTGCTCTAGAGTGCCCAGGAGCACAGGATCCACTGCCCTCACTGCTTTGACGGCCATCCAGCCTCCTCTTCTCTGTGCTGCCTGCCCCCAGGCCTTCCACACTGCAGCCAGAGCCTTCCCAAACACGGCTGGCCAAGTTCTAAGTCCTGCCCTGGCTCCCTAGGCGGGCAACTTCCAACACTCCAACCCCTGGTGACTTCTCCAGACATCCCCCAGTCCAGCCACTCTGAATTCAAGCTTTCCTCTTTGAACCTTTCTTTGCAAAGGCTGTTCCCTTAGCCAGGAATGCCCTTCCCTACCTTCCGACCTGACACATTCCCTCCGCTCCTTCGAGGCCCAATTCTGAAGGTGGGACAGGAGGCCCTGCCTGACACTGCTCTGCCCAGTGCCCCTGCCCCAGCCCCTCTCACCATGGCTCACCCGCCCTGTCAGTGGCTGCGCCCCTGTCTGCCTCTCCCATACGACTCCTGCTGCTTGAAAGCAGGGCCTGTGACTGGTTCTCCCCAGAACAGCATCAGGCCATGCTGGTGATGGTGGAAAAGTGAAAACTTGAGAAGCTTGGAGGCAGCAATATGTGGTTCCTGAGCATCTTTTACTCAGGGGCCGGTTCTGAAGTCGAAATATAGAGAAGGAAACCTCAACGGAGGCTCACCTGCTTTCTTTAAATCATCATCACTCTCAAATATCAAAAGATGAATTCACACAAGTGACTGGCTCCACTAGCAAAACAGCAAGTCCTATTTTTACAGCTCCTACTATGTGCTAGTCCCTCCAAGCACAGCATCTTATGGACTCACTGTGATGCAAGCTGCACGGGGGCAATGCCTTTGCTTTGGTCACTGCAGTGTCTCCGGCACACAGTAGGTGCTCAGTGAATACTTGCGGAGTGGAGGAAAGTTTTCAATGTCCCAACGAGGTGTCTAGTATTATCATCATCTCCACTAAAGAGATGAGAAAATCGAGGCTCAGAGAGGTGCCCAGAAGCATCCAATACCGCTGGTAATGGCAGAGCTATTGTTTGAAATCTGTTCTGTCAGATGGAGATAGTTTTCCCTGCCTTTTCCTGCCCACACTTCCACTAAAGTGTTTTGCAACACCCTGCTTCCGAGCAAAACAAACTCCCCTTGAGCTCCCTTCACTGCTTTCTGGAAAGCCACCAGCTCTGCTTCTAACAGAGCAGTTGAGTCTGGCCTGCCCGGTTCCCTGCAGGGTTGCACGAACAACCCTGTGGCTGTCCCCAACACCAGTCCAGGGGTCCAAGGAGCCTCAGCATGGTGTCTCCCTGCCCAGGGTTCTCAAACTTAGCACTTCCTGCCCAGCAGGCAGGAGGCAGTCAAGGGGACAACACTTACTGGCACCTGTTGCATGCCAGGCCTCGTGACTTGACACACATCCCAGGGAAGTGGGTGTGGTTAGACTTTCATCTTACAGATGAAGAAACAGAAGCCCAAGGCTTCAAGCGCTTGCCCAGGTTCCACCACCAGGAAGGATGACACCAGATTTTTAACCCAGACCATCACTGTAACAGCCTACTGTGTGTCAGCCTTTTTAGTTCAATCCTGTGCTTCATTATCTAGATGCCAAGACCACAGGGCTGTTCTTATTGCCCCATGATGGGTGAGAAGTACTGCAGACACAGAGATGAAGCAACTTGCCCGTGAGATCACACAACCAGGGAGAAGAGAGGCAAAAGCGTCCCAATGGGGCTGACTCCACAACACGGGTGCATCCAGCATATCTGCCTTCAAAGTGCTGTTTTCTAATCTAGGCCAGGAAGTAGCCAAGTAACCGTGAACCAATGAGTTGTCTCAGCCAGGCCTTGGAGGTCACCCTGTCCGTTCCCATCAATGCTTCTGTCCCTTTTCGGCCATCCAAGCCTGGGCTTATGTCCCTCCCACGATGAGTGTCTCACCCTTTCATGGCAGGGTCTTTCGTTCCCAGTAAGCTTGGACCATTATCAGCTTTTTTTTTTTTTTTTTTTTTTTTTTTGAGACGGAGTCTCACTCTGTCACCTAGGCTGGAGTGCAGTGGCGCAATCTCAGCTCACTGCAACCTCCGCCTCCTGGGTTTAAGCGATCCTCCTGCCTCAGCCTCCTGAGTAGCTGGGATTACAGGCGCACACCACCACACCCGGCTAATTTTTGTGTTTTTAGTAGAGACACGGTTTCACCATGTTGGTCAGGCTGGTCTCGAACTCCTGACCTCGTGAGCTGCCCACCTTGGCCTCCCAAAGTGCTGGGATTATAGGCGTGAGCCACCGCGCCTGGCTACCACTATCAGCATTTTCTTAAGCAATCCTGAAGTTGTGTCACGCTCAAACCCATCCATTCGTTCCATATGCTTCCTGAGCATCTGGTTTTGCCTGACATTATGGGAGGCACTGAGGATACAGTGAAAACCAAGACAGAAAGGTCCCTGCCTTCATGGGGCAGTGAAGACCTCCTGCCTTTATGGGGCAAGCCTTCTAGAGGAGCTTGAGAAATAAGGCAAATTCAGCATGGATGAACATAAATCTATAAAATAATTTCGAAAAGCCGTAAGGGCTATGAACCAAAGTAGAGCTGAGTGATGTAGCAGAGAAGCACTGGGTAGTCAGGGAGACCTTCCTGGAGGAGGTGTCTTCTCTGCTCAGGCCTGGGTGACAAGAAAGAGCCATGTGAAACTGGGGATAAGGGCTGGCTTAAAATAGGCTGTGGCACATAGTAGATGCTCAGAGTGAGAGGGACTTCTAGCTAACATGGAACTAACAGGGATATTTTTCTCTTTTCCCTCTCCAAACCCCACTAAGATGACAATATAAGGAAAAATGTTTAAGTCGCAAACTTATAAAGAAAGTCAATGACAAAGAAAGTCAATGGCAAGGACAAAAAGTCTACAGAACTTTTCCTTTGGAGACAGGGTCTCTCTCTGGCACCCAGGCTGGATTGCAGTGGCGTAATCTTTGCTCACTGCAGCCTCAACCTCCTGGACTCAAGTGATCCTCCCGCTTCAAGCTCCAGAGTAGCTGGGCCCACAGGCGTGCGCCACCACACCCCACTAATTTTAAATTCTTCTGTAGAGACAGGGTCTTGCCACGTTGCCCAGGCTGGTCTTGAATTCCTGGACTCAAGCGATCTTCCTGATTCAGCCTCCCAAAGTGCTGGGATTACAGAAGCGAGCCACCGCATCCAGCCTACAGAATTTTCGAAGCTGGAAAATTAATAGTAATCACCTAGGCAGAGTGGAGGAAGCTGCAACCAAATTCTGCATGTCGAGGGAACCATTCAAGGCCAGAGGCCCCCCAGATACATAGCCTGGGAGTCACAAGGTCCCTCTGGAAGTGGGGGGGCAGGTGGGGACAGAAACAAGATGAGTTCAGAGCTTGTAAAAACAGCACTTGTGCCTTCCAGCTTCCCAGAACCGAAGGTCATGTCTCCAGATTTGAAAGGATCCACTGAGTGTCCAGCTTGATGCAAGAAGAAAACAGGCTATTATGAATTCCCAGGAAAACAAACAACACAAAATGGAAAATGTTGTCACAATGTACTGCACAGCTCAGCTGGGAACAATATTTACATAACCATAATACTGTAAACACCAAATACTGATGCATCCCAAAACTGATGAAATGAGTCTTGGAGCTCACAGGAGGTGAAGCACAGGGTTCATACCTAAGAGAACCAAATCCTCACTGAGTGTCCATGGTAGAGAGCCGGCGGATACTGCCTAAAATAGCAAATAAATAAAAGAATCGCAGTGTAGCATGAGACTGAGAAATAAGGAGGGAAGAGCTCAAAGGGCCGAAGAGGTGCTGCTGCCGTGTCGCGGCGAAGAGGTGCTGCTGCCGTGTCGCGGCGGGACTGGGTCTGTTGGGGGGCCACGACCCGGGCTGCACTGGCGATGCGCATCCTGCGGGTGGGGGTGGCGGGTGGGGCAGACCGCTTCGCCGTCGCCACCTTGAGCCCTGCAGACCCGGGCTCCCACCGCTCCCTGCGCCACTGCCTTCCTACAGACCAAAGGTGGCTGCAGGGAACTGGAAAGGCCCACGTGTCCCCAGCACACAAGACCGAAGGAGCAGAGAAGCAGAGGAGCGCAGGGACACAGAGTGAGCAGGCCAACCCAGGTCGTCGAAGTTCAAAAATGGGGTATTTTTAGAGAATGTTAAGTCACTCGGGGACTCTCCGGCCCGCCACAACCCCCTACACAGCCGCGCAAGCAAAGGCGGCAGCGCAGAGACGCCGCGGGTACCGCCCGGCCACGCCCTCCAGCCACGCCCCCCAGCCCGGGACGGAGTCCAGGGCGAGCCTCTGATTGGCTGCGCTTGCTCACATGGCCGCGCGGGCTGCAGGGCAAGCTGCAAGGGCGAGTGTGCGGCTGCCTTCAGCTTTTCAGCCGCGAGTGGGGTGGTGTGGAGCGGCGGGGTCAGCTCAGGGCAGGCGGATGGGGCGCATGTGCCCAGGGCAGAGCCCTCCGGCCTTGGCTGGGAGAGTGGCCTTCGGTCCCAGGGCAGAGCTCAGCCCCCAGGGCCGGGCCTCCCGAGGGCCGCGGACCGTGGGGACATGGGGCAGGCGTGGAGCCGGACCCGAAGCCAAGCCTTAGATCTGTGCGGGCAGATGCGTGGCCGAGGCTGTTAAACCGGTGCTGTAAAGGCCTCGTTTTCTCTCCCTGAGCGGCTCCCCACATCCCCATGCTGAGAAGAGGCCGCTTCTCCTCTCCCGTCAGCTGTGCCCCCGGGTGCAGCAGCTACGGGTCCAGCCCTTTAAAGGTTGAAGACGATCACCCACCCCATGCTTTCCCAGCAAGGAACAGGTCTTGCTTTTATGAGGGTAGAGAGGACATTCAAGTGGTCGGTCTTGGAAAACTGCCATCCGAAGGATTGCAAACATTCTTGGGGGGAGAGAAGAATTTGTCCCCGGGTGGAGGAGGACTGCTGGGGGCTCGAGGCCGCTGATGAAGGGAATTCATTTCCTCTCCCGGGTGCCCAGGATTCAGACTGATCCAGACATCTGTTGGGCGGGCAGCCAGTATGCCCCCGGCGTGCTTAGAGAAGTGGCTTTCTTTGCCCTCCTGAGGATAGATTTACACAGTCCTGAGTCTGCAGGTTATTTTTTGTGCATGGGGACTTGAGAGCCAAGAATAGTCTGCAGCAAGAAGGATGCACCGTCTTCAAGGCTGCCCCTCTACAACAGAGCAAGTCGGCGGGGCATGGTGGCTCACACCTGTAATCCCAGGACTTTGGGAGGCTGAGGCAGGCGGATCACCTGAGGTCAGAAGTTTGAGACCAGCCTGGCCAACATGGCAAAACCCATGGTTTTTTTAGTCTCTACTAAAAATACAAAAAAATTAGCCGGGCGTGGTGGCGTGTGTCTGTACTCCCAGCTACTCGGGAGGCTGAGGCAGGAGAAACGCTTGAATCCGAGAGGCGGAGGTTGCAGAGTCCACCTTGCCCAAGTGATGTGAATGGCTTGAGGCAGGAGGAAAGGCTGTGAGAACCCCTGCGGCAGTCGGTGCAGGGCAGAGAAGGAGCAGCCTTGGACTGGGGATCCTGAGTAGTCCTGTCTGGGAATGGAGGGCACTGAATTGGCACCCTCCTTGGAGGCCACATGGCCCAAACATGGGCATTTCTGCTGGTGATGGGATCTCTCCCTTCTGCCAGCTGGTCTCTGCCCTGTTTGAGCTGGGAAAGTTTGCTGAAGGCTGCAGCCTGTTCTGAGTTGGATGGTAGAAATGTAGGAAATACACCAACACATCGGCCATGATTATTTCTGGACACTGAAATTACAAAGATGGTTTTGTTTTTGTTTTTTCTTTACACCCTTTCTGTCAAACATTTCTGCAAAAAGTGTGTATTATTTTCAGGATATATTAAATGTATAGTATTTTAATGTTAAGGCAATCAATATAATTGTTAATATAATATTTTAATATAAATAAACAAAATGTCACAATTATTTCAACTCTGCCTGTTCGTTACAGCTCAAATCCTGTCTCTTCCATGCAGCCTTCCAGGATTACCCAAATTGAGGTCCTCATGGGAAGCCAGAGCCAGGAGGAACATGTCACCATCTAGTGACCTGAGACCCCAGACTCAAATATTGTCAGGGGCTAGGGTGGGTGCAGTGGCTTGGGGGTAGTGCAGGGGGTCCTATCAAATGTGCCCTGATTCTAATCCTGCCCCCACTGTTTTACAGGGACAGAGAATACAGTGGATCTAGGATTTGACTTTGAGCTGCCTGCACAGCCCCTGTCCCCTCATGGGTTCCAGCAGATATGTGTTGAGAAAGGAATGATGACCAGGGTTGGGGGAAGTCACAAAATCCCCTCTTTGTTTATCTCCTGCTGTGTCACAAACCACCCTAAACTCAGGGGTATGAAATAGCTGGCACAGTAGGGATGGCCTGTCCCTGTGCTGTAACGTCCCAGCCTCGGCTGGATTCATGTGCAGTTTCCTTCACCTGCATATTTACCTCCTCCTCACCCGGGCCAGGAGGACTCTGGCCCTGCCTGATTGGACTGGAGCACTTCCATCCAGCCTCTGCCTATGACTTCCTCATAGCATGGCAACAGGCACGGAGCATGAGTGTCCCAAGAGAACCAGATGAAGCTGCATGGCCTGATGTAGCTTAGACAGCCTCCCAGCATCACTTCTGCCTCACTCTGTGGGTTGAAGTAGCCCATTTAGATATAAGGGAGGAGACACAGACCCCGCCTCTCAATGAAGGAATGACAGAGAATTTGCAGCCATTCTCTAAAACCTCCACACTCCTGGAATTTAATGTGAACCGTGACTATTCACGGGGCCACCTGCCACACTTCCCAGTCTGTCAGCACGTTTCCTAGAGCAGGGCCCCTGGCGGAGGCTTCCTCCTCCAGTGGGGAGGGGACGGGACCTGAGAAAGATTCTGAGGCTGTGGTGGCAGGTAGGCAGTAGAAGGAGGCTGAGGGAGGAGGCCAGGGTGATGGAGAGGCTTGGAGCCTCCTCCAGATTAGGGTTGGGGAGCCTGCCAATCACACAGATAAAACCAGGCGGGGCAGTGGGTGTGGGAAGAGGAGATAGAGCTTGATGGAGAAATGTGGAGTTGATAGGCTGATGACCACGTCATCTTTCTAGGCCACATGCCAGCACCACCTCTCCAGGGCAGCCTTCCCCGATGCTTCAGGTGGAACTACCACTGGCTCCTCTGGGTTCCTGCAAACCCTGTACTGACCTCAAGCCTGCAGGCCCAGGCCAGATGTATCTTTGGATTCCTAGTGTCATTCAGAGCAAGAGAAAGGCACCTGCAGGCCTCGGGGCCTCCCTCAGTTGGAAGCTCCCGGCCGCCTTGGCCAGTCTCCCTTGGCCAATCTCCCTCAGGGGCTGCTGTGAGCCTCCGGATGGAGTTCTGGTTCTTACTAACTGCTTGGGTGGGGAAGCTGGTGCAGGAAGCAGCCCTGCACGGAACAAGGTTCAGAGATGGAGCCACATGAGCTTGAATGGAGAAGGAAACAGGATTTCAAGGGTGAGTGGGAATGGCAGGGCCTCCTGGAGGACCTTTGTGATGATTGGTGAGGGCACACACACAGCATGTGTGCTCCCAGAACTACGGGCCAGATTGGGGCCCATCCCACTGAAGGGACACAGACCATGGATTCAGTTTGGCCCAGCAGTCAGGCACTCAGGCTGAGGAAATAGTGTGCCCAGGTTCAAATCCTGCTCTGCCACTAATTTATTGAGTGAGTCACTAGGTCTCTTTAAGCCTCAGTTTCCTGGTCTGTAAAAGGGGACAATAACACAATAACAGCCACCTCCCTGGAGTGAGATCATTTATGCAGTCTCGTGCTTCATACCTGCTGGGTGCTCAACAGTCCCTGCTTGCCTCTGGCTGCTCTCCCGCTTGGGCAGGCAGCAGGAGAGGTGGATGAGGGTTTGCTGAGTGAGAATGTGAGCAAGTGATGACATGAGAGCCAGAGACCCTGCAATCGTATCTCAATGCGAACCTTCTGGGCCGTGGGACTCTCAGCAACCGCAACCAGATGGCCTCTTTGAGCCTCTGTTGTCTCATCTGGCAAATGGGAATCAGAACCTAGACCCGGGTGCTATGGTGTGGCTCTAATGAATGGGAGATGTCTGCAGGCACCCAGCACACTGGGCTGTGGGTGCAGGCCAGGTGATGGGGAGGGCTATGATGTTGTCTCTCCGACAGGTCCAGGAGGGGGAGGCCACCTCCCACGCCTCCCCTCCCATGAGCAGTGCGGCCAAGCAGCCTAAGCCAGCTGGCTGGTTTTGATAAATGAGTATTATAAACACCAAACAACACACAAAGGGCATCCCAGTGCTCTGGTGGAAGCTGGGGCTCCTGCGGGGGGTCCTGCTGGAGGGGACCCAACTGGTAGGTATGGGGCACCAAAGAAGCTCCGTGAGCAGGTGCTCCTGGCAGTTCTGGGCTGGGAGACACATCATCGTATCCACAATGACAAAATGAAGTGATAAATAATAGTAGTAATCATAATAATGATAAGAGCACCCACTATTGGGTGTTGATGATGTCATTTAATGCTCCAAACAACCCTGAGAGAAGATCTTGGCAGAATACTTCTCAGAGGCTTGCACCCAGAGCATGCAAACAACTCCTACAACTCAATAGTAAGAGAAGAACACAATGAAAAATGTGCTATGGCCGGGCGCAGTGGCTCACTCCCAGCACTTTGGGAGGCTGAGGCAGGTGGATCATGAGGTCAGGAGTTCAAGACCAGCCTGGCCAACATGGTGAAACCCTGTCTCTACTAAAAATACAAAAATTAGCCAGGCATGGTGGCGCACACCTGTAGTCTCAGCTACTCAGGAGGCTGAGGCAGGAGAATCGCTTGAACCCAGGAGGCGGAGGTTGCAGTGAGTGGAGATCACGCCACTGCACTCCAGCCTGGGTGACAGAGTGAAACTCCATCTCAAAAAAAAAAAAAGAAAAGAAAAAGAAAAAGAAAAAAGATAAACATAAACGTGCTGAAGATCTGAACAGACACCTCCCCAGGAAAGACATGTGGATGGCAAATAAGCACATGGAAAGAGACTCAACCTGGGAGTCATCAGCAGAGTGCAGTTAAAACCAAAATGAAATAACTACACACCTATTACAAAGGTGAAAATTAAAATGACTGAAAAACGTGCTAAAGATCTGAACAGACACCTCCCCAAGGAAGACATATGGATGGGGAGTCTCTTTCCATGTGCTTATTTGGAAAGTGACTCAACCCTGGGAGTCATCAGAGGGATGCAGTTAAAACCACAATGAAACCACTACACACCTATTAGAAAGGTGAAAATTAAAATGACTGACACAGCCTGGGCAACATAGCAAGACCCAATCTCTACAAAAAATAAAAAATTCGCTGAGTGTAAAGGCCGGGCGCGGTGGCTAATGCCTGTAATCCCAGCACTTTGGGAGGCCGAGGCGGGCGGATCACCTGAGGTCAGGAGTTTGAGACTAGCCTGGCCAACATAGTGAAACCCCGTCTCTACTAAAAATACAAAAATTAGCAGGGCATGGCGGCAGGCGCCTGTAATCCCAGCTACTCGGAGGCTGAGGCAGAAGAATCGCTTGAACCCGGGAGGCGGAGGTTGCAGTGAGCCAAGATCGCGCCGTTGTACTCCAGCCTGGGCGACAGAGCAAGATTTCGTCTCAAAAAAAAAAAAATTAGCTGGGTGTGATGGCACCAACATGTGGTCCCAGCTGTTCGGGAGGCTGAGGCAGGAGGATCACTTGAGCCTGGGATTTCAAGGCTGCAGTGAGCCATAATCATGCCACTACCCTCCAGCCTGAGTGACAGAGCAAGACCCTCTCTCAAAAATAAATAAACAAAGAATTTAAAAAAATTTAAAAAAAGATAATTCCAGGCCGGGCACGGTGGCTCACGCCTGTAATCCCAGCACTTTGGGTGGATCACGAGATCAGGAGTTCGAGACCAGCCTGACCAACATGGTGAAACCCCGTCTCTACTAAAAACGCAAAAATTAGCCGGGCGTGGGGGTGCGCACCTGTAATCCCAGCTACTCAGCAGGCTGAGGCAGGAGAATCGCTTGAACCCAGGAGGCAGAGGTTGCAGTGAGCCGAGATCGCGCCATTGCACTCCAGCCTGGGTGACAGAGTGAGACTCTGTCTCAAAAAAAAAAAGATAATTGCAAGTATTGGTGAGGATGTGCAGAAACTGGAACTCTCATACATTGCTGTGGGAATGTGAAATGGTAGGATCACTTTGGAAAACAGTTTGGCAGTTTCTTATAAAGTTAAATACACCTACTTAGGACTCAGCTATTTCACTTCCAAGAGAAATAACTGTGTTTACACACACACACAAACCTGAACACAAAGGTTAGTAACAGCTTTTTCCATAATAGATAAAACCTAGCAAGAACTCAGCTGTCTATGAACTTGGAAAGGGATAAACAAAACATGGTATATATCCATCAATGCAATACTACTCGGTGACAGGAAAGGAATGCACTCCCAAAACATGCCACAGTGCAGATGGAGCTCAGATGCATTCCGCCGGAAAAAAAAAGCCAGATTCAAAAGGCTACCTACAATACGATTCCATTCACAGGACGTTCTGGAAAAAGCAAAACCACAGTGGCACAGAGCCATCAGTAGTGGCAAGGGACTGGGGTGGGGAGGGGATCAACTGCAAAGGGGCCCGAAGGAAACTTGGGAGTGAAGGAAATGTTGTGTATGATGATTGTAGTGGTGGTTACACAACCGTATACATGTGTCAAACATCATCAAACCATGCGCTTAAATGGCTGCATTTTATTGTATGTAATTATCCTTCATTAAAGCTGAGGGAGGAGCAGAGAAGTCCTTTCAATGAAGGGAAAAAACGGTGAGCATTTGGGGCCATTACTGCCATGTTACACACAAGAAAACTAAGGCTCAGGGGGTGACATGATGGGCCCAAGGTCAAGGAGAGAGAGAGTCTGTGGTGAGACCGGGATTTGCCTGCACTCTCGCCCTCAGGACTCTGCCCTGCATTTGCTGTATGATTACAGGCTGGTCTCAGTTTCCCATTCTTTAAAATGGGTAGGGGGATGAGCAAAACCCAGGCCCTCTCAGGCGATGGAGCAAGAAAACCCACACCCACATAATGGTGGCACTCAGAGGGACTGCGGGAGCCACTGGGTGGTGACTGACCCAACCTGGGCTGAGGATGGGGGAAAGCTCCTCAGAGTGACGATATTTAACCTGGGCTTCAGAAGATGAATAGGAGTTTGCCAATTGGAGTGTAGGAAAAAGGACATTCCAGACAAGGGGTGAGAATGTCCCATATATCTCCCCAGTCGCTCTGCCTCTTGCTGCCTGAAATTCCACTAGTTTATGCCATCCCTCAGGGCCAAAGCCTGGCTAGTGGCAAACCCTGACAGGAAGAGACACGCAGAAACCTATACAGAGGCTGGAGGGAAATAGCAGCAAGGCAGGGCGGGGGCCATGGCAATTGCTGGAGATTCTGAGATTCCAGGGACTGCAGGGACAGAGGAATATGTGACAGAATTGATCGTGTGCAGGGCAGCAGGGCAGGAGCCTTCTCATGGGTCACCTCATTAACTCCTCACCCCTGGAGCAGCACAGAGAGGTCAGATGAATCACCCAAGGTCACACAGCAAAACTGGGGGCCAGGCCGGGCCTGCTGATCCAAAGCCATTGCCCTTGATCTAGGGATCGGAGGAAGGTGGGGGCCTAGGGACCAGTTTCCCACCCCAACTCAATGTGTGACTCAGGCAAGTAACTTCTGCTCTCAGGCCCTCAGCTTCCACCTCTGTGAAATGGGCTGTAACAGAACCACCCTCACAGAGCTCTGGCAGGAAGAGAAAAGACAAAGGGACAGGAAGTGTCACCTCAGCCTCTCCTGCCCAAACAGCTGCTTGCATGCGGTGTGAGGAAAACAGAATTAGGGAGGGAAGTCCGCTCTGAGAAGAGACCCTCCCTCCACCTCTGGGCCTCAGTTTTCCCATCTTGCATTGAGGGAGGATTGGGCTGAATGACATGTCACAAACCAGGGGCCATTTCTAGCACCCATATGTTTTGTTTCACCCCTGTGGTCACTTTTTCCCCCCTTTCCTCTGAATTTTTATTATGTAAAATTTAAGCACACAGGAAGTCAAAAGCAGAATCCACAGCTGCCATCTGGTGCGACCTGCCCGGTGCTGACAGCTCTGCCCACGTGCACACTCCCCTCTCTACACATAGCTATGTGCTGTTTTCGGAATCTTTTTTTTTCTTTTTTTTTTTGAGATGGGGTCTCGCTCTGTCGCCCAGGCTGGAGTGCAGTGGCATGATCTCGGCTCACTGCAAGCGCCGCCTCCCAAGTTCACGCTATTCTCCTGCCTCAGTCTCCCCAGTAGCTGGGACTACAGGCGTCCGCCACCATGCCCAGCTAATTTTTTGTATTTTTAGTAGAGACGGGATTTCACTGTGTTAGCCAGGATGGTCTCAATCTCCTGACCTCGTGATCGGCCCGCCTCAGCCTCCCAAAGTGCTGGGATTACAGGTGTGAGGTACCACACCTGGCCCTGAATCATTTGAAAGTAAGTTACTGGCCAGAAGCAGTGGTTCACGTATGTAATCCCAATGCTTTAGGAGGCCAAGGCAGGAGGATCACTTGAGGCCAGAAGTTCGAAACCAGCCTGGGCAACATAGCAAGGCCTCCTCTGACTCCTCGATCTTTATCTAAAAATCATTTAAACAAAAAAAAGAAAGTAAGTTTTTGACTTTGTGACCTTTTGCCCCTAGTCCATCAGCATGCACTCCCTGAGAAGGCGGCCGTTCTACAAGACCATGATACGCTTACCTCACTGCAAAAAACACTGTAATTCCACAGATATCTAACACACAGTCCACATTCAAGTTACCCAGTTGTCCCCAAAATGTCTTTTATGGCTGGACTTTTTGTTTCAAACTAAGAGCTAGCCAAGATTCAGATGTTACATTTAGTTTTATCTCTTTCAGAGTGAGCAATTTGCTCTTTTTTTTTTTTTTTTCCCTTCAGAGAGAGTCTTGCTCTGTCGCCCAGACTGGAGCGCAGTGGAGCGATCTTGGCTCACTGCAACCTTCCCCTCCCGGGTTCAAGTGATTCTCCTGCCTCAGCCTCCCAAGTAGCAGGGACTACAGGCGCCTGCCACCATGCCCAACTAATTTTTGCATTTTTAGTAGAGATGAAGTTTCACCATATTGGCCAAGCCGGTCTCGAACTCCTGACCTTGTGATCCACCCGCCTCAGCCTCCCAAAGTGCTGGGATTACAGGCATAAGCCACCGCACCCAGCCTGAGCAATTTTCTTATTTTGAAAAAATTAACACCTCCAAACAAACAGCCAGAATCGTGGGTGAATCTGTACATGGCCTTTGCCTGGACCTAGCAAGGGTTTCCCATTTGCCAGAGTACCCCTCTCCCTCCCTGTCTCTCTGCCTCTCTCTCTCTCTCACTCTCCCGACCATCTAAGTTAGCAGCAGACACACCTACCTGTGTTTTAAAATCAGTTGGCATTTATTTATTTGTTTGTTTACTTATTATTTATTTATTTATTTTTTAAGACAGAGTCTTGCTCTGTCACCCAGGCTGGATTGGAGTGGTGCCATCTCTGCTTACTGCAACCTACGCCTCCCGGGTTTAAGTGATTCTTGTGCCTCAGCCCCCTGAATAGCTGGGACTACAGGCATATGCCATCATGCCCAGCTATTTTTTGTACTTTTAGAAGAGACGGGGTTTTGCCATGGTTTGGCCAGGTTGGTCTCAAACTCCTGGCCTCAAGTGATCCCCTCTGCCTCGGGTTCCCAAAGTGCTGGGATTACAGGTGTGAGCCACCTCGCCCAGCCTATTTATTTTTGAAACAGCGTCTCACTCTGTTGCCCAGGCTGGAGTGCAAAGACTTAATCTGCTCACTGCATCCTCAACCACCCAAACTCAAATGATCTTCTTACCTTGGCTTCCCATCCCAGCTAATTTTTGTATTTTTTGTAGAGGCGGGGTCTCACTATGTTGCCCAGGCTGGTCTCAAACTCCTGAGCTCAAGTTATCCGCCCACCTTGCCCCCCCAAAGTGCTGGGATTATAGGCATGAGCCATCACACTCAGCCAAAATTAACTGCCATTTAAACATCAAGAAGTCTCACATTTTTATTCGATTTCCAGCTCCTGTTGAAAAGCAGAAGACTTAGCCCAGGGCTCCCTTGTGGAACAACTTGCTGGAAGGAGCAGAAGCTGCCCCTGGGACAGACCAGGTGGTCCCACTTTGCCACACTCCACACTGCTCCCTCTGTCTGACACCCAGCCATTTCTTGCAATCCTGTAACCTGCCTGGGTCCTGCACCATGGAATTTTTTACCCTCAATTAATTCCACATAATCTTTTTTTTTTTTTTTTTTGAGATGGAGTTCTGTTCTTTTGGCCCAGGCTGGAGTGCAATGGCGCATCTCGGCTCACTGCATCCTCCACCTCCTGGGTTCAAGCGATTCTCCTGCCTCAGCCTCCCTAGCAGCTGGAATTACAGGTGCCCACCACCACGCCCGGCTAATTTTGTATTTTTTAGTAGAGACGCGGTTTCACCATGTTGGCCAGGCTGGTCTCGAACTCCTGACCTCAGGTGATCCGCCCACCTCGGCCTCCAAAGTGCTGGGATTACAGGCATGAGCCACCGTGCTCAGCCAATTCCAGAGAATCGTTAAGAGCCTCAGGTCTCTTCAGGGTGGGGGAGGCACCTTATCCTGGGGAGGCAACTGCCCATCAGTGCCAGTGGCTTCACAATGCATTGACTTTGTAGCCACTTGTTCTCTGCTCAGGAGATCAGACTCCAGACTTACCCCAACTGGGGTTCAGATCCAAATTCCAAGAGCTACCACCAAGGAGACTTTTGGAAAGTTCTCAGGCTCCTCAGAGCCCAGTCCCTTCATGAGTGCAACTCCTGCTTCCGAGGGTGGGTGTGAGGACTGGATGAAAGAATTCCCAGGAAGCACTTAGCATGGCACCTGGCCTAGGAGGAGCCCTCGGGTCTCATTTTCCTGAGAAGACAATCAGGTGGGTGGGCGGAAACAAGTACTAACACACTCATCCATCGCAATGCAGTGAAACACTGGAAATTATCAAAATCCCAACAAGAGGGAACTGGATAGATCATGAACATATCCCTGAGATGAAAGAATCAACAACTGAGACAAAGATGCTGTATTTTGAAATTACCCAGATAGCCATCGGTAAAGGACTGCTGTATCCAGGAGAATGGTTAGGATCTTTCAGCTGTGAGTGCCATGTCCCTCCACTCCGTGGACCGCTGTGCTATAGGGAGAGACAGACGGGTCTCCAGGAGAGACTGCTAAGTGATATGCCAACTTGTGGGTTAAAAGTGGGGGGGAAGAATATATATTTGTATTCACTTGTATTTATGTGTGGAAAACACTGGAAGAATTCATGAGAAACAAGTAAAAATGCTTCCCTGTGTGAAGTGGAGGAGCTCTGGGCAGAAGGCAGATGGCAGACAAAGGCAGTGGGTAGATTTTTTCTTGGTACCCACATACACTTCATTTTAGTTTTTGAAACATGAATATATTACCTAATCAAAATTATCTTTTAAAATATTCTTTTTGGGGCCGGGCGTGGTGGCTCACGCCTGTAATCCCAGCACTTTGGGAGGCCAAGGTGGGCAGATCACCTGAGGTCAGGAGTTCGAGACCAGCCTCAACATGGAGAAACCCCATCTCTACTAAAAATACAAAATTAGCTCGTCATGCTGGTGCATGCCTGTAATCCCATCTATTCAGGAGGCTGAGGTAGGAGAATTGCTTGAACCTGGGAGGCGGAGGTTGCGGTGAGCTGAGATTGCACCATTGCACTCCAGCCTGGGCAACAAGAGCGAAACTCCATCTCAAAATAAAAAAATAATAAATAAATAAATAAATAAATAAATAAATAAAATATTCTTTTTTTTTTTTTTTTTTTTTTTTTTTTTGTAGAGATGTTTCCCAGGCTGGTCTCAAACTCCTGGCCTCAAGCGATCCTCCTGCCACAGCAGGAAGTGCTGGGATTACAGGTGTGAGCCAGCCCACTCAGCCTAAAAATATTCTTATAGAATAATTCTGTGGTTTCCTATATATTAACAAAGGAAAATGATCACAGCATATTGTTAAATTGAAAATAAAAAACAAGCTATAAAACAGATAATCTGATTTGATTACAATTTTGTTGGAAAACTTTTTTTTTTTTTTTGAGATAGGGGCTCCCTCTGTTCCCCCAGGCTGGAGTACAGTGGTGCGATCTGGGCTCACTGCAACCCCTGCCTCCCGGGCTAAAGCGATCTTCCCACCTCAGCCTCCCAAGAAGCTGGTGCACACCACCATGCTTGGCTAGTTTTTGTATTTTTGGTAGAGATGAGATTTCACCATGATGCCCAGGCTAGTCTTGAACTCCTGGACTCAAGCAATCCACCTACCTCGGCCTCCCAAAGTGCTGGGATTTCAGGCATGAGCCACCGCACCCAGCCTTGTTGGAAAACGTTCTATTTGCACATAAAGAGCTCCATGTGTGCAGGGCTTTGTCTGTCTGTTCACGCTGTGTTCCCAGAATCCAGAACATACCTCAATTGCTCAATAAGCACCGTGTGAGTGAGCAAGTGCATGAGTCAATTAGTGAATGAATGAGTAAATGAGTACATGAATGGATGGTTACAGGATCAGGAAGATGTCTGAGGGCATGTGGCCAAACTGAACAGTGGTGGATTTATGACTTTTATCTTCTTGATATTTTTCTGTGTGTTCTGAAAATTTTAAACGAGCACTCCTCATGCTTCTAATCAGAAAAGAAAAACAGTAAAGGCAGGCCAGGCATGGTGGCTCATGCCTGTAATCCCAGCACTTTGGGAGGCCGAGGCAGGTGGATCACTTGAGGTCAGGAGTTTGAAACCATCCTGGCCAACATGGTGAAACTCCATCTCTACTAAAAATACAAACATTAGCCAGGTGTGGTGGCACGTGCCTGTGATCACAGCTACTCAGGAGGCTGAGGCAGGAGAATCGCTTGAACCTGGGAGGCGGAGGTTGCAGTGAGCCGAGACAGTGCCACTGTACTCCAACCTGGGCGACAAGAGCAAGACTCTGTCTCAAAAAAAAAAAAAAAGAAAGAAAGAAAAGAAAAACAATAAAGGTATGGAAAGAAAAAGCAAATGCTCTGTCTGCAGGTGTCAGGGCACTGGGGTCTGGGCAAGGGAAGGGAGTAGACTCACTAGGAAGAAGCTTGGGCTGGTGACCAGCACGCGTCCCACATGCCTTGCTCACACTATTCTGCCCCAGCAGCAGAGCCAAGATTCCCGGGGCGGGCAGCTCAGCAGCACAGAGAATCAGGGCTGCAGGAGCCCTGTGAAGGGAAGATGAGGCCCAGAGAAGGACTGTGACTGGCCTCAGGCCACACAGCAGGGCCAGGATGGAACCAGGCCTGCTCAGGTGTCAGCCTCCAACACCAGGACGCTTTGATACTTGTTGAAGTAATTCACACTTCTTACCTCTGGTTCACAGATGGGGAGTAGAGCTAGAGGCTCTGAAGACAGACTCAGCGTCTCATCCTAGACCGATCTGTCACTAAACTTTTGTTGGTGCTCCTCCCTCTCCTGCAAGGAGACAGTAGGATCTGGGCCAAGCCCAGGAGCTGCCTGCACATGCGGGGGTCCTCAGGCTGCAGTTGGCTGTTAGGATTCTGAGGTCAAGCTTGGCTGCCTCCCTGTAATCGGTTCCCTGGCCCCACAGTGGGGATCAGAAAATCTACAAATGTCCATAGAGCCCCTGGGGAGCCTTGTAGAGACAGCGCACTCCTGGAGACAGAACACGGAGGGGCTGGGTTTGAATCTGACTTTGCCACTTGCCAGCGTGTAACCCAAGGAAGTTACCTCCCCTCTCTGTAAAGTGAGGCTGAACTGAGCATAGCACCTTCTTCTGCACAGCACTGCTGTAAGAGGGAGGAACTCAGGGCCACAGGCTACGCGACTGCTGTCACTGCGTGTAGGGAGAGGATAGGGGTCCCCTGCTCTCCCCCTTCCCCTCCAGGGTTCATCCCCCACATGGAGGGCAGAGCGGTCTTCAAAACCAAGGCCAGTACATCATTCCCTGGAATCCCATGCAGCTGTGAAGGGACAGACTGCTGATCCGTGCAGCACCCAGGTGGTCATTCTTTTTTTTTTTTTTTATGTTTTATTATACTTTAACTTCTAGGGTACACGTGCACAACATGCAGGTTTGTTACATAGGTATACATATGCCATGTTGGTTTGCTGCGCCCATCAACTCGTCATTCTTTTTTCAAGGCAGGGTCTCACTCTGTCACCTAGGCTGCAGTTAAGTGGTGCAATCACTGCTCACTGTAGCCTCGACCTCCTGAGCTCAAGCAATCCTCCCACTTCAGCCTCCCAAGTTGCTGGGGCTACAGGCACATGCCATTACGCCTGGCTAAATTTTTTATTTTCATAGAGATGGAGTCTCACTAGGTTGCCCAGGCTGGTCTCAAACTCCTGGGCTCAAGCAATCTTCCTACTTCGGGCTCCCAAAGTGCTGGGATGATAAACTGTTTTATAACTTGGTAGTGGTCATGGTTAAATGACTAGATATGTTTGTCAAAACTTGCAGAGCATGCTGAAAGAAAGAATTTTTACTGCATATAAACAGTACATTAAATTTTTCTCTTTCTTTCTTTTTGAGACAGAGTCTCACTCTGTCACCCAGGCTGGAGTGCAGTGGCGCCATCTCAGGTCACTGCAGCCTCCACCTCCTGGGTTCAGGCAATTCTCCTACCTCAGCCTCCCAATTAGCTGGGACCACAGGTGCATGCCACCACACCCAGCTAATTTTTGTAATTTTAGTAGAGACAGGGTTTTGCCATGTTGGCCAGGCTGGTCTTGAATTCCTGGCCTCAAGTGATTGGCCCACTTCGGCCTCCCAAAGTGCTGAGATTATAGGCATGAGTCACCATGCCCAGCCATAAACAGTACATTTAATTTTTTTTAATGAAAAGAAAACCAAACTCCTCAGCCACGATACAGGTACATGGGCTTCATTTTCCTATTGTATATATTTACATATATCTTTGAAGTTTTCTAAAATTAGGGAAAAAAAAAAAACCAAAAACACTAAGATTGTTACTGGAAATGGGTCCCAAAGAGAGGGTTCTTGGATCTCACCCAAGAATGAATTCAGGGCAAGTCCACAGAGTAAAGTGAAAGCAAGTTTATTAAGAAAGTAAAGGAATAGGCCGGGCGCAGTGGCTCACACCTGTAATCCCAGCACTTTGGGAGGCCAAGGCGGGCGGATCACAAGGTCAAGAATTCGAGACCAGCCTGGCCAACATGGTGAAACCCCCATCTCTACTAAGAATACAAATATTAGACGTGATCAGCTTCCCAGGCAGGGCGGAAGGCCCAGGCATTCCCTGAGCCTGGGGAAGCCAGCTGTCCCGGACTGACCTGCTCCAGGAGAGCCAGCAAAGGACACATTCGGCCTGGCCCAAGCCCTGATGATTTCAGTGTTATTTTCTGCACGCACAAAACATCTAGGGGGGATGGCAGTGGCAGTGGCATCTGAGCTTTGCAAACTCCTGAGGTCTGGCAATCCGCCCGCCTCGGCCTCCCAAAGTGCTGGGATTACAGGCGTGAGCCACTGCGCCCGGCGCAGTTTAACCTTTCTTTTCAGACCCCTTTGCTGATGCAAGTAAGGCTGATGACCTGTTTCTTGCTAGCACTGAGGATTATATCCATATAAGAATTCAACAGAAAGGCCAGGCGCGGTGGCCCACGCCTGTAATCCCAGCACTTTGGGAGGCTGAGGCGGGCAGATCACGAGGTCAGAAGTTCGAGACCAGCCTGGCAAATATGGTGAAACCCCGTCTCTACTAAAAACACAAAAAATTAGCTGGGCGTAGTGATGGATACCTGTAATCCCAGCCACTCGGGAGGCTGAGGCAGGGGAATCGCTTGAACCCGGGAAGCAGAGGTTGCAGTAAGCTGAGATCGCGCCACTGCACTCCAGCCTGGACGACAGAGCTAGATTCTGCCTCAAAAATAAAAAATAAAAAAGAAGTTTGCCTGCAATGGTGCTGTAATTGAGCATCCGGAATATGGAGAAGTACTTCAGCTATAGGGTGACCAACACAAGAACATATGCCAGTTCCTCATAGAGACTGGACTGGCTAAGGACGATCAGCTGAAGGTTCATGGGTTTTAAGTGCTTGTGGCTCACTGAAGCTTAAGTGAGGATTTGCCTGCAATGAGTAAAATTTCCCTTCCGTCCCTTGTCACAAGTTTAAAAACCTCATAGCTTGTACAATGTAACCATTTGGGGTCCGGTTTTTAACTTGGACTAGTGTAACTCCTTCATGCAATATACTGAAAAGAGACATAAAAAAATACAAAAATTAGCTGGGCGTGGTGGCACGTGCCTGTAATCCCAGCCACTCAGAGGAGGCTGAAGCAGGAGAATCGCTTGAACCCGGGAGGCAAAGGCTGCAGTGAGCCGAGATCACGCCACTGCATTCCAGGCTGGGCGACAGAGCAAGACTCTGTCTCGAGAAAAAAAAAAGAAAGTAAAGGAATAAAAGAAGGGCTATTCCATAGGCAGAGCAGCAGCTTGAGCTGCTGGACTAAGGATAGTTTTTTGATTTTATATTAAACAACGGGTGGATTATCCATGAGTTTTCCAGGAAAGGGGTGAGCAATTCCTAGAGCTAAACCCCTTTTTAGACCACACAGGGTAACTTCCAGACATTGCCATTGCATCTGTAAACCCTCATGGCCCTGGTGGGGGAGTGTCTTTTAGCATGCTAATATATCCTAATGAGTGCATAACGAGCAGTGAGGACGACCAGAGGTAACTCACATTGCCATCTTGGTTTTGGTGGGTTTTGGCTGGCTTCTTTACTGCAACCTGTTTTGTTTTGTTTTTGAGACGGAGTCTCGCTCTGTCGCCCAGGCTGGCGTGCAGTGGCTCGATCTTGGCTCACTGCAAGCTCCGCCTCCCGGGTTCCAGCGATTCTCCTCCCTCAGCCTCCTAAGTAGCTGGGACTACAGGCGCCCACCACCACGCCGGGCTAATTTTTTTTTTTTGTATTTTTAGTAGAGACGGGGTTTCACCGTGTTAGCCAGGATGGTCTCAATCTCCTGACCTCGTGATCCGCCTGCTTCGGCCTCCTAAGGTGCTGGGATTACAGGCATGAGCCACCGCGCCCGGTCTTCTGCAAACTGTTTTATCAGCAAGGTCTTTATGACCTGTATCTTGTGCTGACCTCCTTTCTCATCCTGTGACTTAAAATGCCTAATTTACTAAGAATGCAGCCCAGCAAGTCTCAGCCTTATTTTACCCAGCCCCTATACAAGATGGAGTCACTCTGGTTCAAACGCCTCTGACAAGATCATGCCCCAATCCCTCCCAGATCAGAGTCCAAGCCAAAGTCCCCTCAATCCGCCTGCAGGACCTCTGGTCTCATCCCCTGTCCTCCAGGGTCTCTCTGTCCTAGCCACGCTGGCTTCCCTGTGTTCTGGAAACGCACCCCAAGGCCTCTGCACAGCCACTCTTTCTGCCCTTCCCCCTATACCACCTGATTCACTCCCTCACTTCCTTTAAGTCTTTTTTTTTTTTTTGACATCGAGTCTCATTCTGTCACCCAGGTTGGAGTGCAGTGGCACAATCTTGGCTCACTGCAGCCTCCGCCTCCTGGGTTCAAGCGATTCTCCTGCCTCAGCCTCCCGAGTAGCTGGGATTACAGGCATGTGCCACCACACCCAGCTAATGTTTGTATTTTTAGTAGAGATGGGGTTTCTCCATGTTGGTCAGGCTGGTCTCAAACTCCTAACCTCAGGTGATCTGCCCACCTGGGCCTCCCAAAGTGCTGGGATTACAGGCGTGAGCCACCACCCCGACCCCTCCTTCAAGCCTTTCATAAAAGACTCCACATCAGCTGATGTCTGTCCTGGCCACCCAATCTGAAACCATGACCTCCTCCAGGAGCACGCCCCTGCCCCCTGCTGAATCTCCCACTGGGCCATGTGAACGGCCAGATCATTATTTTCTTCTTTGCTTATTGTCTCTCCCCCAACTAGAGCATCAGCTCCTAAAGGGCAGGGAGTTTTTTGTTTTGTTCACTGTTGGGTCTCCTTATGACAGTACCTGGTATGCAGTAAGCATCCAATATTTGCTAAATGAACTGATGACTGACTGAATAAATGATATCCTACGTCTACAACCTGGTCTCCACATGGCCGGGTTTCGGCACATACTGCTTCCCCAGGGTAGGGAGGCAGAGCACATCCACTGACTCAGCAGACAGTAAATGCTCACTTGGTTCTTTTGTTTATCCTTGTTCCAGAAGGGATTTCTGCAAGGTGAAAAGATGCCAGTAAGCTAAGTATATTCAAAAGCAGGGGAGAAGAAAGGGAGCCAGAGACAAGGAAGACCCTGGCTTTTAACTGGCCCTGGTGTGTGCTGGGCTCTGCCAGGGACTGATGAGAGAGGAATCTGTCCTGGATCTAGGATAGCTGGGGAACAGACACTAAATAAATGTGACTGCAGAGATGAGGGCTTCCCAGAGGAGGTGATGTTTGGACAACAGCACATGCATAGGCCCAGAGGAGGGAACGAGTATGGCCGGTTCAAGAAATTTCAGGAGGCGCGGTGGCTCAAGCGTGTAAGCACTTTGGGAGGCCAAGGCGGGTGGATCACAAGGTCAGGAGATCGAGACCATCCTGGCTAACATGGTGAAACCCCGTCTCTACTAAAAATACAAAAAAAATTAGCCAGGCGCGGTGGCGGGCGCCTGTAGTCCCAGCTACTTGGGAGGCTGAGGCAGGAGAATGGCGTGAACCCGGGAGGCGGAGCTTGCAGTGAGCCGAGATTGCGCCACTGCACGCCAGCCTGGGTGACAGAGCAAGACTCTGTCTCAAAAAAAAAAAAAAGAGATTTCAGGAACACGTTCTGGCCTCCCTAAACCACTTAAGTGCTCTGGAGATGGAGAAGTCACCTGAGACACTCATGAGGTTACATCTTGCTTGCTCAGGACTGCAGCCAACATGACTCAGCTGAGGTCAAGGACTTACCTGACCCCAGAATCACTTTCTGTCTCCTTGCATGTAAAGACTCACTCTCTAGCCTTGTTTTGTTTACAAACTTCCCAATACAAGACACACTGGTTGAAATAACAATAAAAATATGCTAGCAGAGGTTAGTCTCAGTAAATATATCTGACAAAGGAATGGTAACTGAACAACAAAAATCACTCTAATGAATTTAAAAATTAAAAAAATTAAATTTGCGCCACAAAAACTGTGGCACAACAGTTGGCCAAAGTGTTCACAACAGGATATCCAAATGGCCAAGGAGCATATAAAAAGAGGCTCAACATCTCCATTCAACAGGCCGCCGCAAGTGAGAGCTACAATGTGATGCCACTTCACATTCAGAATGGCTAACTTGGAAAAGAGTGTACAACGAATGAAACTCTCAAAATTGTCAGCAGGAGTGTAAAATGGTACACCCGCTTTGGAAAAAGCTCTGGCAATTTCTCACAAAACTAAATATACACCTACTATAAGATCCAGCAAAGGCCAGGTATGGTGGCTCATGCCTGTAAACCCAGCACTTTTTGAGAGACCAACACAGGAGGATCACTTGAGTCCAGGAGTTTGATACCAGCCAGAGCAACACAGAGAGGCCCCCAACTCTATGAAACTGAAAAAAATTAGCCCAGGATGGTAGCACGCTGTAATACAAAATTAGCCGGGCGTGGTGGTGCATGCCTGTAATCCCAGCTACTCGGGAGGCTGAGGCAGGAGAATCGCTTGAACCCAGGAGGCAGAGGTTACGGTGAGCCAAGATCGTGCCATTGCACTCCAGCCTGGGCAACAAGAGTGAAACTCCGTCTCAAAAAAAAAAAAACCCATAAAATATATATAATTAGACTGACAAAACAGACTCTTTTTTTCCTTTTTTTTTTTTTTTTTGCTCACTGCAAGCTCTGCCTCCCGGGTTCGCACCATTCTCCTGCCTCAGCCTCCGGAGTAGCTGGGACTACAGGCGCCCGCCACCACGCCCGGCTAATTATTTTTTTGTATTTTTAGTAGAGATGGGGTTTCACCATGTTAGCCAGGATGGTCTCGATCTCCTGACCTCATGATCCGCCTGCCTTGGCCTCCCAAAGTACTGGGATTACAGGCGTGAGTCACCGCGCCCGACCCAAAACAGACTCTTTGTAGCACTAAGATAACAAATTCCAACCTGACTCTGGTATAGCATCGCATGACAGATAACAGGCCCCGAAGGAAATTAACGAATTTTACCCAAAAATATATTATTCGACTTATTTTGGAATGGCCCTGCAATGCCATCTCTTGTGGGGGAAATTTGCATGTGTGGAGAATCCCCCTCCCTTTCTGGGTCTTTTTCTGATTAAGGAGAGATTTGACTAAGAGTCTGACACCTTTTAAAGTCCTAAAAGAGACATTTACCATCTATTCTTTCTGAAGCCTGCTACTTAGAGGCTTCATCTACATAATAAGAACCTTGGCTTCCACACACCCCTCCTTATCTTAACTCGAGTATTTCTTTCTGACATCAACTCTTTTTAGGAAAAGCTTAACTCTTTCAACCACTTGCCAATCAGAAAATCTTTGAATTGGGGGGGTGGGGTGGGGGCGCGAGGTGAGGGTGGCTCACACCTATAATCCCGGCACTTTGGGAGGTCTAGGCAGGTGGATGAGGTCAGGAGTTTGAGACGGATGGATCGCCTGAGCCTGGGCAACATGGTGAAACCCCATCTCTAAAAGAAATACAAAAATATTAGCCGGGTGTGGTGGCCCATTCCAGTGGTCCTAGCTACTTGGGAGGCTGAGATGGGAGGATCAGAGGATATTCTCGGTAAATATATCTGACAAAGGAACGGCTTGAGCCAGGTAGGCAGAGGTTGCAGTGAGCCAAGATGGCGACACTGCACTCCAACCTGGGTGACACAGCGAGACCCTGTTTCAAAAAAAGAAAAAGAAAATATTTGAATACACCTATGAGCTGTAAGCCCCCACCACTTTCTGGATGGCCGAACCAATGTACACCTTACAGGTATTAGGTCTTTGCCTGTAACTTCTGTCTCCCTAAAATGTATAAAACCAAGCTATAACCCGACCACCTCCAGCACATGTTCTCAGGACCTCCTGAGGCTGTGTCCAGGGCCATAGTCACTCATATTTGGCTCAGAATAAGCTCTTCAAATATTTTACAGTTTGGCTTTTTTTGTCAACACAATGGAATAATTACTCAGTGGCGAAAAAGATGCAAAAACAGGGATGAATCTCACAGATAAAATATTGAGCAAAAGAAATTGGACATTAAAAGTACATATTGGACTGGGTGCGGTGGCTCATGCCTGTAATCCCAGTACGATGGGAGGCCAAGGCGGATGGATCACCTGAGGTTGGAAGTTTGAAACCAGCCTGGCCAACATGGCGAAACCCTGTCTCTACTAAAAATACCAAAATTACCCCGGCTTGTTGTTGTAGCCCTGTAGTCCTAGCTCCTCAGGAGGCTGAGGCAGGAGAATCGCTTGAACCCAGGAGGCAGAGGCTGCAGTGAGCCGAGATCAAGCCACTGCACTCCAGCCTGGGCGACAGAGAGAGACTCCGTCTTAAAATAAAATAAAATAGTATATATTGTATGATTATGTTTACATGATGGTCTAGAGAAACCTAATTAGTCAACAACACTAGAAGTCAGGGACAGTGGTTACCTCAAAGGGTAGGGCATTGCTTGGAAGAGGGCCCTAGGGAACCACCAGTGTTCTGTATTTTGATTTGGATGGTGGTCACACGGGTGTGAACATCAAGTTTGCACCGTAATTAGCAAAATATTAAAAGTAACCTGTATGATTCACTGCACAGCTATGGGCAACAGGAGTGCCCCTTCAGGTGAGCAAGAGGGGAGGGTGTGGCTCTAAGGTTGAGCCTTGAGGAGCCTAATTAAGGCGCCTTTCAAAGAAGTCTGAGCCCCAACAGTCCTGTGTGTCTTCAAGCAAGTCCCTGCCCCTTTCTGGGATTCAGCCTCCCCATCTATGGAGTGGATCCAGGGATCCCCAAGGCCTCTTCCCGCATTTACGCCTCTCTTTGGGAGAGGTGGCATTTCACTCCTATCCCAAACAAGGCTTCACAGGACAATTCCTTCCCAGTAGCCAGTAGCCACCCAGGCTGCCAACACGGGTGGGTGCGCACTCCTAGCACCAGTAGCCCCAGGGCTTCAGCTGCGTGAGAACTTATGCATGTCTTTCACTTGTCTTAGCCTCTATTTGCTCATCTGTAAAATGGAGTCAAGCATACCTATTTCTCAGGCTTCTGGTGATAAATCTCAGCGCAGTGATTACTGAGCGCCCTGTGCGCCAGGGCTTTGCTATACACAGGCCGTGCACACAGCAAGTGCTTAATAAATGGTGGCTGCCTTGGGGACGATTAGAATGTCCATACAAAAGATTGTTACGTCTTTTTTAGAAGGCTCCTTGCGGGGGTCCCAAAGTTGCACGTGGGACAAACGCAAGACGGAAAAGTAGCCGGCGCGGCGCGGCGGCGGCCCGTGTTGTTTTGTTTGGGGCTGCGAGAGGAACGCGGCCGGCGCGGCCCCTTTAAGAGGTGACTGGAATGTATCAAAACAAAAAGGCCGCGCGTCCACTGGCTGCGCGCCGCACGTGACCTCACAGCTGATTTCCTGGCCCCCCCCCCACCCTTTTTGTTGCTGCCGCCGCCGCCGAGTGTCACTTTCAGCGCCGCCGCCTGCGGTCTCCCAGGCCGTAACTACCCCACCGCCTGCCGCCTGCGCCCGCGCTCCAGCCCCGCCGCGCGCCTGACCTTTCCCCGCGCGCCCCGGCCCCCGCCGGCGCCGCGCCGCAGCCCCGCGCGCAGATGGCGCACTCGGCTGCCGCCGTGCCGCTGGGCGCGCTGGAGCAGGGCTGCCCCATCCGCGTGGAGCACGACCGCCGGCGCCGCCAGTTCACTGTCCGGCTCAACGGTAAGGCGGCCCCGGCCCGCCCCGACCTTTTGTCTGCGAGCGAGCGGGGCCCGCCGGGGCCGCCCCCTTGCTGGGTGCCTGTCCCCCGCGCGCCCGCGGCCCGGCTCCGGCCCGCCGCCCGGGAAGGCTGTTGCAAGCGCGCGCCGCGGGGTGGTCCCGGGCGGCCGGAGCTCCGGGCGCGGGCCGGGTTGTGCTCGGGGCCAGGTGGGGGCGCGGCCGGCGCTCCGGGAAGTGGAACGGGCTGGGCGGGGGCAGACTTCCCGGGAGAGCAGGGGCCAGGGCGGACAGGGGCCCCTGGAAAGGCAGAGGCAGGAGCTGGGGCAGCGCGGGTCCCCTGTCTCAGCCGCAGGGGACCCGCACCTGCTCAGGCCCACTTGTTCACGACTGTTGGGCACCCACTGAAGGCTCCTGTTTGAGATCCTGGAAAGTTGGTCAGCCGTGACCTGTCCCCTTCTGCGGGTGGTATATGGCTTCCTGCTGCCCCTGGGAATCTTAGTCTTTCTACACGGGGGAGGCCTGCGGACCTGGGGCTGACCGCGAAAGGGGCTTGTGGTCCCCTGGGGGGAGTGAGGGGCGGGGGGATGGCTATCACTATCAAGACTTCAGTGGCTCTGGGACTGGCCATTTGCCTCACTTCTGTGTGCCTTAGTTTCTCCCTCTCTGCAATGGGAATAATACCAGTGCACACCCCATTGGCTAGTTGTAAGGATGAAAGACTGTAACAAATGTAAAGGATCAGACCAGCTCATGGGGGATTAGTAAGTGCTGGTAAACGTGGCCCGATCGTGATTCGTGAAGCCAGAAAGCAAGGGCAAGTTCTCCCTTAGTGTAGAGAAGTTTTTGTTTTTTGAGATGGAGTCTCACTCTGTCGCCCAGGCGACACAATGTTCCTGTGACACAATCTCGGCTCACTGCAACCTCTGCCTCCTGGGTTCAAGTGATTCTCCTGCCTCAGCCTCAGGAGTAGGTGGGATTACAGGCACCCACCACCATGCCCAGCTAATTTTTGTATTAGAGACAGGCTTTCACCATGTTGGCCAGGCTGGTCTTGAACTCCTGACCTCAGGTGATCCACCTGCCATGGCCTCCCAAAGTGCTGGGATTACAGGAGTGAGCCACCACGCCCTGCCAGTGTAGAGAAGTTTTGATTAGCCCATCCCCCCTCAGGAGGTCCCACAGGTAGGAAATAGAACTACAAAAACAAGGGCTATGAACTCCCTGTGGCCCACCTCGCCCCAGTGGGAATGTCCAAGCTGGACCGGTCCTTAGGGGCCACTGTGCCCATTTTCAAGAAGGGAAGGTGGAGGGCCAGGAAAGGGAAAGGCTTGCGAGAGGTCAGGCTGAGAGTTGGGCAGAGCTGGGATGGCGTCCTGACTGGTCTGACTCCCTGAACGGTGGGGCTCCTGCGACCCACATTTGGCTTCAGCCAGGAGGGGCCTCTGCCAGATCTCCGATGCCATTTGGAATGTGCCGAGTGTCGAGCCAGGCCCCACTACAGCTTCGTGGATGGGACTGTCACAATACCCTGACAATGTTGTGACATACCACCCCGTGTTACAGATGAGGAAACTGAGGCTAGGGACCTTAGGAAGTGATTGCCCAGCATCACCCAGAACTTCACCATTGGCCCAACCAACCCTACACCACCAGGCAGAGGCAAGTCCTGCTACTGCTGTGGTGCTGGCAGGGCTCAGCTGGCCAGGACACTCGGGGCCCTGGCGACTCTGGGAGAGAGGCCTCATGGCTTTCAAATCCTCTCTTCTGAGGTTCCAGAGCGGCCTCTGGTTCCCTTGTGGGCTCGGGAGGGCCATTATACTCAGAGACAGAAAGAAGAGGGGATACGTTTGTTTTTTTTTTTTTTTTTTCTTTTTCTTTCTCTTCCAAGTGGGTACAGCCAAAGGACAGCCCTCCAGAGCTGGCCGTGGTCAGGGCTGGACATGCCCAGCCGTATTTCTAAACTTACCCCCTTCTGGAATTCACTGCCCAGATAGCTGACCACAGATGTGGCTGGGCATCTCCCCAGCCAAGCCCAGGGGAGAAAGAAGAGAGAGGCCAGAGGCCCCCAAGGGAGTGGCTGTGCAGCACAGGGTGGGGCTCTTCTGGGCTTCCAGGCCCCACTGGGTTTGGGTGTGTGTCTTGGGACCAGAGAGGGGTCGTCTGAGTCTGAGCCCAGGCCTCCCTGAGCTGAGGAGGACAACAGGCTGTGGTGTCATTCCCGACCTGTAAGGCAAGCCTGGAGGCTGGTGCTGTTGTGCCCACTGAGAGATATAAACACTGAGGCTGAGGGGTCAGGTAGCCCCAGGCTCCTGGTGCAGAAGTGTTCCTAGGCTGTCCACATAGCACAGCTAGGCTGATTCTCTTCCTGCGAGCTCTGGTTCTGAGTGAGGGAAAACGTTTGAGCACCTTTGTTTATTAAGCATTTACAGTGTTCTAGGAGGCCCTGGGCACCTGGAGTCACTTTATTTCATAGCCACACACCACAGGGAGAGGGGAAACTGCATTTCCCATATACAGATGGGGAGACTGAGGCATGGGGAAGTGAAATGACTTGCCCAAAGTCTTGCACCACAGAGGTGGAAGAGCTGTGATTCACCCCGCAAGTATTTGTTGAGCACCTACCATGTACCAAGCACTCTTTTAGGTGTCGGGGTCTCCTGGGGCTGACAGTTTAGAGAGGGAAATGGACAAGAAATAGAGTCAGTTTTAAAGTATCCTGGAAAACAAGGGCTTTCATGAGAGGTGCAGGGGGCAGAGGGGAGGCTGTGTTGGGCAGGGCTGCTATTTACAATCATGTGTCTAGGAAGGCCCCTCCCTGGAGGGTGGCATTTAAGTGAAGACCTGAAGGAGGCAAGAAACAGAGCTGCAACAGGGAAGAGTGTTCCAAGTGGAGGGAATAGCAAGAGCAAAGGCTCTGCAGTGCCTGCGATGCCTTGTGTGTGCAGGATGGGTCAAGAGGTCATGGGGAGCAGGTGGTGCAGGGCCTGGAAGCCGTTGTCCTATGGGCTCGGCTTTGACTCTGAGGCTCCCAGGAGGGTCCTGAGCAGAAGACAGATGGGATGCCCCAGCTCCCTCTAGCTGCTGCTCTAAGGGGAGCAAACTGTGGGGACCAGGACAGAGCAGGGAGGTGGTTACTTTACTAGTCCAGGCACTGCAAACAGGCGTGGGAGAAACGTCTAGATCCTGGACAGATGTGGAAGGAAGCATGGCTGTGACTTGCTTGTGGGTGATGAGGGAAGGCTTGAGCTCAGGCTTGTCTGATGCCATATCCTGGTTCTGAAATGCAAGCTTGTCATTACTTTATAGATGGGGAAACCAAGGCGCACAGCCTGTAGGCAGCTAAGCCAGAATCAAGCCCCCGGCCTCCATCTGAGGACGGTTTCTGAAGGTTGGAGGCAGCTGGAAGAGACCCCCACCTCCTGGGCAGCCCCTTCCTTAGCCTTCCCTTTCCCTCACAGGCAGGGCTGAGTGTCCCACTTGCTGCAAGGAAAGGAACACTTGAGGGGTGCAGAACCCTGGAACTTTCTGCGTCCTCCCTAACCCCCATTTTGCAGCCAGGAAGACTGAGGCCCCAGAGAGTCAGCTGCTGCCCCTGGCCTCCCTCAGCACCCCTGGATGCAGTGGAGCTAAGATCACAGCCCCAGGCTTTGGGAGGTGCTCAGATCACAGCCCCAATATGAGGCCGCTGGCTGTGTTGGGCTGGGCTGGACCAGGGTCCTCTGGGGAGGGGAGGGACGTATGGTTGAGCTTCTCCAGGCTCACAGCTCCCTCTGCCTAATCTACCAATGAACCACCAACATGTGGCACCTCCCTGATCCAGGCTCTACTTACAGAGGTGCCAGAAAAGCCGGCCAGGGTGTCTGCTTGTCCTTGTCCCGTGCCACAGCTCTGGCGCCTGGGCTCTGCCTCCGTCTACCTCAGTCTCCTCATCTGTATATTCGCGTTTTGATCTGCCAGCTCTCCTTGCGGGGTCAGTGTGGGCCGAGTGGAGAAAGCAGAGGTCAATGTCTTCTGCAGACTCCACATCTCCCAGAGGTCCTGCCCCTGTCCCCTGTCTGCAAGCTTTGGTCTTTCTCTGTGATCGCCTCCCCTGACAATTTCCTGGCCCCCTTTGGTCCCGAGGTTCAGGAGGGGCAGAGAGAGCATGGGGGTGCAGAGACCCAGGGACGGGTCCCCCACGAGCAGTGTAGCTTTAACTTTTCCCAAACCAGTCACGTGATGCTGGTGGGGTTCTCAGGCCCAGGAGGGAGGAGGGTGGTAGTGATCATCCAGGGACAGGTGAGGTCTCTGGGGCAGAGGGGTGTCAGGACTGGCATAAGATCACCTGGCAGAGTTGAGACTGGAACTGAGGGCCCTGCCCTGCCCTAGGCTTGCTCCTGTGGCTCCCAAGTGACAAGTCTTGCCCCCCTGTGCTAGTCTGAGGTCTGGAGTTCTCAAGGCAGCTCTTAGAGCTGCCCAGATAAGGGCCTGGGCCAGGCCCAGAGGCTATGCCTATGTCACTGTGAGCCGAGACAGCAGGATCCACAGTGCCCAGAAGTGAAAGCGTGGCTGACAGTGCTACCCTGGTGTCCTGCTGTCCCATCATGGGGGCTGCGGGTGGTCAGGGGAGGCTTCTGGGCACGTGACCTTTGGGCTCACCTGAAATGAGAAGGAAGGGTCCCCGGAGGCCCTGGGCAGAAAGGTGACAGGCAGGGGAGCAGCCACCAAGGCAGGGAGGCCAGAGAGGCAGCTGGACCCCAGGCATGTTTAGAAAGCCATGTCCACGGTCCTGCCGAGGGTCAGGTCAGATGAGAAAAGGTGAGGAGGAGCCAAGGACCTTGGTCAAGCTTTGGGGACTTGGGCATTTTCCTGGGATGTCCAGGCAGGTTTGGGGCAGGACAAGGAGTTGAGCGTGAGGACCGGTATTGCATTTGTGGCCTGTGTCATGGGTGTAACACTTGTGACTGGGTGGCCTTTGAAGGCCCTCCAAGGTGGGGTTCAGGTCCTGGCCAGATGCTCCGAGGTTGCTGCCCAGGAGCCTGGCTCCTCGCTGGCCCAGTGCCATGTGGTCTGGCCCATGTAGGGTGTCCATTTAAACTCGGTCTTTTCCTCACATACAGCCCCACCACCACCGTGGCCACCCCAGATGCCCTCTGTTCCCCTTTCAGCCTGAAGACCCTCCTTTGACTCAGCCCTATCCCCAGTCAACTCCATACACCTCCGTGACTCTCATTCCAGGTGAGCCCAAACGTCACCTGCCCAGAGGCCTCCCCTGACTGCCCGCAGCACCCATGACGGGACAGCAGGACACCAGGGTAGCACTGTCAGCCACGCTTTCACTTCTGGGCACTGTGGATCCTGCTGTCTCGGCTCACAGTGACACAGGCATAGCCTCTAGGCCTGGTCCAGGCCATAGGCCCTTATCTGGGCTAGGCTCTAAGAGCTGCCTTGAGAGCTCCAGACCTCAGACTAGCACAGGGGGGCAGGACTTGTCACTTGGGAGCCACAGGAGCAAGCTTAGGGCAGGGCAGGGCCCTCAGTTCCAGTCTCAACTCTGCCAGGTGATCTTACCCCAGTCCCGACACCTCTCTGCCCCAGAGAACTGACCTGTCCCGGGATGATCACCACCACCTTCCTCCCTCCTGGGCCTCGGTTTCCCCATCTGTACATGGGGCTGTGAGAATCGTGTTTAGTGGGATGGTTGTGAGGATCGTTGTGTGGAGAGAGCAGAGCACGAGCCTGCCCTGTGCTGGGGCTGCACACGCTTGGGCCACCACCGCTTCTGTCCTGCTGTCTCCTGGGAGCCACAGCCTGAGGTGCAGGCCTGGCTGTGGGAAGGCCAGCATGCTGGTCCAGCCAGTTGTCCACAGGTCTGCCACAAGGCCCTAGTGTGTGTCTGGCAAAGACAGAAAGCAGTTGTTTTAGTTGGACAAACATTTCTTGGGTGTCTACGCCGAGCTGGGTGCCTGGAATATGGTAGTGGCTGAGCTGTGCGATCACTGAGGGTCAATGGGAGGCAGAGAAGTTCTGAGGACTCCCAGGGTCAGGTCCATCCATGGCCCAGGTGGCTACTCCAGAAACACTGACGCAGGGTGTGCACAGAGGAGTAGTAATGAGCTTGCCAGGCTTCTTGTATCCACCTCCCTGCTCTGCAGAGACTGCTGGAGCAAAAGCTGAGGTTTTTTTGGTGGCTTGCAGGGCCCTGTGTGGTCTGGCCCCAGGATCTCTGACTTGGTTTCCCAACCCTCACTCCCGGCTTGTTTGGGCCCAGCCACTCTGGCCTCCTTGCTCTTCCTTCAACCTCCTACCCCAGGGCCTTTGCACGTGCTGTTCTCACCAGTGGGCGGCTCATACCCCACATGTCCTTTGGGGTCCTTGTATGCCCTCTTTACAGTGGCAGCCCTGCCCCTCCCCACCCCTCCTCTGCTGTATAGTGATCCTTGGCACCTGTCAGCTTATCACCTGTGTGGCCTCTGTGATGTATGTATTTATTTAGAGACAGGGTCTCACTCTGTCACCCAGGCTGGAATGCAGTGATAACAATCATATCTCACTACAGCCCCAAACTCCTGGGCTCAAGTGATTCTCCCGCCTCAGCCTCCCAAATAGCCGGGACCATAGGTGTGTACCACCATGCTCAGCTTTTTTTTTTTTTTTCTTTTTTTTTTGAGATGGAGTTTTGCCCTTGTTGCCCAGCCTGGAGTGCAATGATGCGGTCTCAGCTCACTGCAACCTCTGCCTCCCGGGTTCAAGTGATTCTCCTGCCTCAGCCTCCCAAGTAGCTGGGATTACAAGCACCCGCTACCATTTCTGGCTAATTTTTGTATCTTTAGTAGAGATGGGGTTTCACCATGTTGGCCAGGCTGGTCTCGAACTCCTGAACTCAGGTGATCCACCCACCTCGGCCTCCCAAAGTGCTGGGATTATAGGAGTGGGTCACCGTGCCTGGCCCCTGTATTATTTATAATGATATTACTTATTGTGTGTCTTCATCAGTACGTAAGATCTCCATGAGGAAGAGTTTCATCAGTTTTGTTCGCTGCTGCCTGCCCTGCAGCCCAAACCCTACTGGGACACAGTAGGCCCTCAATGAGCCTGGGGTAATTAAATGGCCAGGCTAGGTAGGCAGCTCCCTTGGTGACGGAGTCAGTCCCAGAATAGCCTCCGATCTCTGCTCTCCTGTCCTGGGTGAGTTGAATTAACCCCAGCAGGTGGGGAGCCAAGAACCACATCCCTTGCTGTGCAGCCAGGACAGGCGGCAGTGGCCACAGCTGGGCCTTGGCCAGGGTGGCAGGCATAGTCCACAGAAGGACAGTCAGGCCCACAAGGAGGAGGCAGCAGGGCTGGTGTGGGGGCGGGGCTGCAGGCATGAGGGGAGTGGGGCTGGGGAACCCTCAGCTGGGCCTGGCAGGAACGGAGAAAGGGCATCAGGCAGAGGGAAGTGCCTAGGCGATGGCGGGTGCAGGAAGTAGCAGGTGTGTCGGTGGAGCAGAAAGAATGGCTGTGGCTCAGGACCTGCAGGCCTGGGCTCCAGCGTCATCTTGGCCTGCTGTGTGACTTGGATCCCTGCATCTCAGTAGTTCCTCATCTGGAAATGGGGAGATGAATTGTAGCCACTCTCCTGAGGCTTTGGGGAGAATCAAAGGAGATACCAAGAGCCAGAAGGCCTCCTTGCTGCCGTTGGCCCCAGTTCCGGTGGCCCTGGACTAGTGGTTGGACCTCTTGGCCTGTCAGCCTTCCCCTCGTGTTGCCCAGCACAGGCTTTAAGGGCAGATTTTCTGGGGCTTTGAAGTTAAAACTCATGAAACACAGCATGATTTTAAAGAGTGAATCACATCTGTCCCTTTGCTGAGGGCCTTCTAGTGGCGCCCAGCTCAGAAGGCTTAGGAGGCTCTGCAGGACCTGCCCTATCACCTCCCTGCCCCCATCTCTGCCCTTCCCCTCACCCACCCCACTCCAGCGGCCCCTCATTCAGGCCTACTCCTGCCTCAGAGCCTTTGCACTGGCTGTTCCCTCTGCCCAGAACACTGTTCCCTCAGAATGGCTGGTGCCCTCTCCTTCCTGTCTTCACCTGCCCCCATTCCCTGGCATCCTACACATCACTTGCTTTTCATGTTTATTCTCTTTCTCCCCTTCCGGTTTCATGGGGGTAGGACTCCATGTCTAGCTTGTTTGTTGCTATACTCCCAGCATCTGAAACAGTACCTGGGGCTCAGGAAACATTTGGTGGATGGATAAGTGGATGGGTGGGTTGATGGATGGGTAGGTGGAGAGACAAATAGATGAGACACTAAAAACTGTGATTAGGAAAAAGTTCAGTTAATTGTTTGCCCAGCAGCAGTTTGGGGTGGACTGGTGAGCTCCAGGCTTGGCAGGCCTGGTGGAGTGTGAAAACCCGTTTGTTCCTGCCTCCTGTGCCCAGCGTCAGTTTCTCATGAACTCTACCACAGGCCTCTGATCTTTCCTGCTGCGTCTCTCTCAGGGTCCAGCAGGTGGTCCTGATGCGTGGCGCAGCGCTGCCTCTCTAATCTCTTCATGCTCTGCCTTAGTTGCAGATTTGCTGAGCCCTGTTCTGTGTCCAGTGCTGGGTTCTGGGACTCCCAGATCCAGGGATGTGGTGGGGTGGGGATGCAGGGAGCAGGGCTACAGAAAGGGGTGGCAGGGCCCTGGGATGCTAGGACTGACGCAGTAGCAAAGGTTCATGTGGGGCTCAAGTGTTCTAGGCATGGCTGTAAGCACGTCACAGAGGTTACCTCATTTAATCCTCCAAACCACCCTATGAAGGACATTTTATTGTACCTCCACTTTATGGATGAGGAGACTGAGGCACTGAGAGGTTATTCAGGATTCAGCTGTAGCAGCTGAATGACTCCAAATGCCTGTCCCTCCACCCGTCTTGGTGCCTGAGTCCGCTGGGATGGGAGTCAGCATAGGCTTACCTGTCTCCACAACCCCCAGGATGTCATGACCGGGCCGTCCTGCTCTATGAGTACGTGGGCAAGCGGATCGTGGACCTGCAGCACACCGAGGTCCCAGATGCCTACCGTGGGCGTGGCATCGCCAAGCACCTTGCCAAGGTAGGGCAGGCAGGTGGCAGGGCCAAGCGGGGACGGGGACATGGGGGCTGCCACCTTCGCTCCGAGGAGACGGTGGCCCTGGTGGCCACTTCAGCCTGCTTCTTGGCCCTGGGTCCTCTCTGGGCCAGTGGCCGCCTTTCTGGGCCCAGGCTCCTGTTCTGCAAGACCCTGGCGTGGCTGAGCCTCCAAGATCCTCACACACCTCCTGTGTGGCAGGTGCTTCACAGGAGCCCCATTCCTGCCCCCAACCCCTTCATCCTCAGGGCATCCCAAACCCCAGGCTGCCTGGAGAGCAGGTTTGGGCTTAATGAAGGGAGTTACAGCCAGAGCAAAGAATGACCGTCACTCCCCTGAGGGCTGCTGCTGGGACTTAGCTGGGCCGTCTGCCGGCTTCCCCTCCTCCACCCCCACCCCGCCAGGAGAATTGCAGGGCAACCTTTGTCCTCCATGCTGCCTGGGGCAAGGGGGCTTGTAGGGGAGAGGTGATGTGTTTTTTCCTTGTGTACCGGACCAGTCTGTGGGGATCATCCCAGGTGACACTGAAACTCAAGGGAGTTACTGACCTGGGCAAAGTGGAAGGGTGGCCAGGGAGCCGGGCCTGGGGAGGCAGCAGACAATGCTACCTTCTGGTGCCGGCTGCAGGCCCTGACCACTCTCCTCTCTGCCCGGCTCCCAGGCCGCCCTGGACTTCGTGGTGGAGGAGGACCTGAAGGCCCATCTCACCTGCTGGTACATCCAGAAGTACGTCAAGGAGAACCCCCTGCCGCAGTACCTGGAGCGCCTGCAGCCGTAACCCTGGCCTGCAGGCGGGAGCGCTCCCTGCCGGACTCTTCCACGTGGCCTTTGCCTGGCCCCACGTGCTCTCAGGAACCTGGTCCCACTGGGAACAGACTCAGAGTTATTTTTGTAAGGACACTCATCTGTGCCCCACGTCCAGATCCCTGGAGGCAGCTGACCAATGATGGGCGGTGACCCGGTAACCGAGGCGGCAAGGAGGCCAGGTAGTCCCGGCACCTCTCACTCTGCAGAGACCAGCGGCTTCGTGGGAGGCCTGTGGGTCACACGTAGGGGCTAGAGCCAGCCTGCATCCTGCCCACCGGGCTCCACTTGGAGATCAGCAGGAGGGCCAGTGTGGGACCCCTGCTGCCACCTCTCCTGGGCCTGTGTCCTTTCTGGAAATTAAGAAGGTGTGCTCCAGAGCCAAGAGGAGCAATAAGAAACCTCGTGTGCCAGCTTCTGAGGGTGGCAGTGCCAGACCCCACCTGCCAGCGGTGCTGCCCCTTTCTCAGACCCCCATGCCCAGTGCAGGCAGGGCCCTGGAAAGGGTCAGCTCTCCCTGACAGAGACCAGCAGAGTGAAGGACTGAGCACTGGCCAGGCTCAACCGTACGTGCGGTTCACACATGTGAACACACAGGATGCAGTCTACAGGCGGGCTGGTGGTGGGTGCCGGGGGTGTTTTCCTCTCCTTGGTACCCCCATCTTTTTTTTGGCCTCTCGTGTAGGTTCTGCAGGAAACCAAGGCCCCATCCCCATGGGCTGCTATCCCCTATACCCCTGTCTGCCAGGAGGAGATCCAAGGGGGCCTGAGCAGCTGCAGGCCCGCCCCTTGCTGGCCTTGGCCACCTGCCTGAGCCTTCTCCGAGGAGATGCCTTGGGGCTGGGGTGGGAGTGAAGCTGACTATTCTCCAAAAACCACCCTCAGCATCCAAGAGGAAGAAACATCAGCCACAGGGGTTTCTGTGCTGCTGCCAGACATCAGTGTCCTCTTTTGTGGCTGGCTACAGCCGGATACACTTTGCTGCCCATCTGGCCCTGGGCTCCTCCCCAACCCAGCCTTCCTGGGTGCAGCCTGGGAGACACACTAGCATGCTTTGGTGGGACCAGCCTTTCCAGGGCATGCTGGCTTCCCCTGGGGCTGACTCAGGTCCCGCCCTCTTGTGTCAGTGCTAACAAGGATCAGATTCGTCCCTGCCCTTCTGTAGAGCTGGAGGGTGACCTGGAGCCAGGGGCCCTTTAGGGCTGAGACATTTGTTAGTCGGAGTGATGCATCCCTACCCGGCTTCGGGGGGAGTCAGGCTGGGCTCTGGGCAGTACAGGGAGAGGTTCACCAGGACCCCCATGCCTTCCTCCCCCGGTGCAGGGGCAGTGGTCACCATGCTGACTCCTCCCTTTGACTCCATGCACGGGCGCTGGCTGGCCTGTGGTTGCATTTCCCACTCACCTCCTTGCTATCCCCAGTCTTGGCACCGAGACCCCCCACATTCCTTCTCCAGCAACAGCAGCCCAGGGGCCTTCCTGCCTGGACGCAGGACCACGGAGACCTGCATGTGCAGGGAGGCCTGGCAGCCTGCCGATGGGGGTCCCCGAGCCCCGGAGTCTCCTCGAAACCCCTGCTGTGGGTCACAGCATGGACCAGGAGGGGTCACCATCCTGAGTACCCCCGACATCCCTGCCCCTTGACCTGTGGCAGATGCTCCTGCCCTGGCCTCCAGGAAGTCAGCTCTTTTGCAAAGGGCTTGTGTGAGAGGTCGGAGAAAGCCCTGGGCCTCCAGGGAGATGCAGCTGGCAGGAGGTGGGCTGAGCTGCTCCGGGGCTAGGGGTGGCCCATTGCTGGCAGAATTTAAGGAAAGAGCAGGTTGTAGGCACAGAGGATGGGCAGCCAGGCCTGGGCCTTCCCCTTACTGTCCCAGGGCAGCAGAGCTAGGGTCCTCTTTTACCCTCCCTAAGGTCACCCCCTTCCCATCTACACGTCCCTCCCCAAGTTCAAGCACATAGTCAATCATGACCACTCAGGAGCTCAGTGAGCTGGGGCCATGTCCCTGTGGCCTCCAGCCCATCCGCAGGAGGGTCCCTTGCAGTGACAGCACAAAGAGTCCCCCACAGGAAGCCCCTGAGGGCCAGCATGGACCTTGAGAGCCAGGAGGGAATGGGCCTGGTGCCACTCTGTTCCCACTCCCACCTAAGATTCCTACCCCTGTGTTCTAGCAGGTGACTCTTGATCTGGCCAGCCCACAACAAATACTTGAACTAGGCAGCATGGGGTGGTGGAGGCCTGCAGAGGCCCCGGGCCCAGGAACTGAGACTAGGGCTTTCTCATGAGGCCTCATCAAGCTCCCGCAGGTATGACCTGGCCTCCTCGCCTCGGGCTGCCTTAAAGCACCGCTAACCCACGCCAAGGGGCTAGGCAGGGCTTCGCGGGGCCTGGCCCAAGGTCTCCAGCAGAGCAATAACATCTTCCCAGGTTGGGTTGCCACAGACACCGTGCCCTGGAGCCCCCAGCCCATCCCATCTGGTGCTACCCTGTCTGCCTGGCAGCCTAGCCTCACCCCTCCTGTCCGGTCACCTGGGGGTCCTTGGTAAGGATGCCGCCACATGGGGCCGGTTTATGCACCTGGGCGAGAACCTGACTGGGGCAGGGGATGCTCAGGGGCCTGCAGGTCTCCCACAGAGCTGCTTTTCTGCCCGCCTCACCCTGTGGGTTTGTATTTCTTGCCGGGTCAAAATAGGCAGTGACTCGTGCCTTCCCTCCTCAGGGCCGGCGGCAGGGTGTGGACCCAGCTGGCCGCTGGACCGTCCCCTTCCTCATTCTCCAAGCTCATCAACAGGTCTCAGAGGAACATTTCCATAAAAGGTGTGGCCTGGCATGCAGTGCTGTCTGCACGCTGTCGCTTCCCCCACAGCAACCTGCCGGTCAGCCTTAACTGGTGTGGAGGTCGAGGTGGGGAGGGGGAGGCGGGCTTCCCTCCCTGGTGTCTGGCCTCTTTTTGCTCAGCCCTCAGCACAGCCTTCAGCGTGGAGAGCGAGACCCTGCGTGTCACTGGGGCTTGGCTGAGGTCTCCCTGCAGGATAACAGTGACTTCAGGAACCCAGACCCCAGTCTGGGCGGCTCTACCTTCCCGGCTGGCCCAGCCCCCACACCACAGTTCCCTGCCACCTCCAGGCACAAAAGCCTCTGAGGCCACAGCCCAGCTATGAAGCTGAGTGGCTTTGTGCGGTCTCCTAGGGAAGGGGCAGTGATGCCATGCATGAGATCCGCTGTGCCATAAGAAGTTGCTTCCTTTAGAATTTCTGGTCCAATGCAGGGAGGTGAGGCCCAGCCTCATGATAACACATGCCCATCAAGGAAAAGCTGTGGCTAATGCTTCCAAAACAAGTGAAAATCTTGCACCAGGCCCAGGGCCATATCTCATTCCGCCCCAGCTACTGAGGGAGGGGACAGACTGCTGGAGGACAATTTCTCCTAGTTACCACTAGGGGTTACATGGCTACTCAGAATGAAAGATAAATTGCCAGGCCTGTTGCAATCTTTTTTTTGAGATGGGAGTCTTGCTCTGTCGCCCAGGCTGGAGTGCAGAGGTGCGATCTCAGCTCACTGCAACCTCCACCTCCCGGGTCAAGCAATTCTCCTGCCTCAGCTTCCCGAGTAGCTGGAATTACAGGTGCCCACCACCATGCCTGGCTAATTTTTGTATTTTTAGTAGAGACGGGGTTTCACCATGTTGGCCAGGCTGGTCTTGAACACCTGACCTCAAATGATCCGCCCACCTCGGCCTCCCAAAGTGTTGGGATTACAGGCGTGAGCCACCTCACCAGGCCCCGTTGCAATCTTACTCCACTTCGTTTTCACAGCAGTCCCGGGACATGCCCATTATTAGGCCTATTTGATAGATGATACTGAGGCTGAGTCGGGGGTCACAAGCCAAAGCCACACCGCTAGAAGGGCTCAGGACCCAGCCCAGCTCCCGTCCTCTTGGTGGCATCAAGCTTGTGTGATATGAGGTCTTATGTCTGCTCATGACAGCCTTAAAAGCAATAAACAGATACAACTTCCAGCAACTTCCCACTCAGCTGCAAGGCTGCGGGGGGGTCCTGCCTCGAGCCATAAGGTGAGCAGCTAGCCAGTGCCGGGCCAGTGTGGAGAAGGCTGAATTGCCTGTGAAGCTGGGGTTGCAGGCAGGAATATTCATGGAGCCCCTGACCATGTACTCACACTGCTCTTCCTCAGTTCAGGGTTCTTGGATTTGCTCAAGTCCACCCAAATATCCCTTTACGATTCTCAGGGTCCCACTCCTTCCAGATCCAATGCCCTAAACTTTACATAAGAGTTCCGGCAAGGCTGTGACTTCAACTTGTGTTGTAACTGCAACCTGCAGAATCAAATTTAGGGTTATGTTTTCAGTTGTATCAGTCTTACGGCTACAAGATATTAAAGAGATTCTTTTCTGGTTATCAAAGATGCTCTCTGGTTTTCTGTCCATGTTTTGAGCTGGGTTTATCACTTCTGACTCCAGTGTAGTCAGAAGCCACCAGTCTCTCCAGCTGTCCCCATGACATGAAGGGCTGCAGCCATTTGGTCTCTCAAACTTTGCCTTCAAGAGACACTTCACGCCAGGCACTTAACATAGGTGATATTGTGAGGACTAGTTTTGCCACTGAATGCTGTGACTTTCCAGGGTACCACATCCCCTCTGACAGTGAGGTCATTACTGCGTTCCAGCCCAATCCAGGCAGATAACCAGTCCCCGATTTCCAGCATTAAGGCTCTATTTCTAGGAAGTCATTCCTGCTACCAAGGACATTACCAGTCAGTGAAGAGTCAGGAAAATGGAAATTGCCCAGGCACTTCAGAGTGGATTTAATGCAGGGGACTGGTTATGAAAACTGTTGGAAGGATGAGAGGAGTGAGAGTGGAGGTGAGATTGCCAAAATATTGGTAAGTAAGTGCAGGAAGCTGCTTTTACATGGAGGCTGGAGGAACAGGTGTCACCCAGAAGCGTCTGGGGATCACAGGGCTGCTAGGGTACTCCTGGTAGAAAGTTGATGGCTGAACAAGACCCAGGTGTGCATGCCTGCTGTTGCCACCACTAAAAAAACCCCCAGATCCAGGAACTTTACTGCCTTCTGATTGATCAGTGCTTCCTACCAGCAGAAACAAATTGGAAGCCCACTGGTAAGGGCTCTAGCAAATGTAGTTTGCAGGCTTCCAGCTTCTCTGTGATCAGAGAAGGGAAGGGCTGGCAACCAACAGACAATCAGGGCAAGGAGAAATATTCTTGCCTGCAGGGGCTGTGGCATATGACATAAATGCCAGTTCATTGATACCAAGGCTGAGGCAAAGCATCTAGAGGATGACAGACCCCAGAACCAGGCAGACCAAGAATGGATGGATAGTGGGTAGATGATTGGGTGATAGATGGAGGGGTAGATGAGTGGGTGGATGGGTAAGTGGGTGGATGGATGTGTGGACGGGTGAGATAATGGTTATTAGCAATACCAGCTCATCTGCCATCACTAATACCAGCACATCATGCACTGGAGTGCTAAAAGTAAAAGGTCCCTTGTCTTGGGAAGAGCTTGTCTGAGGGTCGAGGGAGACACTTGTAGGCCATTAAACATGGAGTCAGGTGGGAGATCTGGCTGGGTGAGATTCTATCATTTTCTGAATTAGGGAGAGGGTGGAACCCAGGAGTTGAAAGACGGGGCCCCTTGAGCGGTTTGTTCCTGAGAGTTGTCCTGATTCAAGAGGAAACTTGATGGGGTCATACATTGGGTGTGGAAAGACACTGAGACTGCAGGAATAAGCCTCTGCATGGCCATTCTGGAATCTAGGAAAGGAGAGCCAGAGCATAAAAATGTATTGGTGTTTCATCTGCCAACTAAGACAAAAAGTTCAACTAGGTGCCCTGGACTAGGTCGTCTCATTTAAACTTCCCAACAAGCCATGAGGAGAGAACCTGCATCCTGTTCAGGTGGAGCCACTGCCCTTTGGAGATATGTCATCCACACCGTGCTCAGTGAGGGTGACCCAGGCAGATGGGGCTCTATCTTCACAGGACCCGAGTTCAGGGGAGGGGGATGAGAAAGTACACACGTAGCAAGAAACTTTGTGACCAGACTATTGGTGCACACGCAGGCGACGCACCCAGTCCCAATGCGGAGAACTTGCAAGGCTCTCTTGAAGAAGGAGATGTGGGCTGGGGCCTGAAAGATGAGGGAGCTTTGCAAGGGGCACAGCCTGCAGGCCCCAAGGGATCCAGGCCTCATGGTCTCTGACCTCATCTCCCACTACTCTTCTCCTTTCTCACTCCACCCCAGCCACATGGGCCTCCTGCTGGTCCTCGTATCTGCAAAGCTGCTCCCACCTCAGAGGCTATGCCCTCTGCCCAGAGTACTCTTCCCCTAGATATGCTCATGACTCCGTCCCTCACCTCCTTCAGGTCTGTGCCCAATGATCACCTTCTGGATGAGGCCTTCCTTCCCAGTTCTCCCCTGCCTAACATTTAAATTGCCGCCTCCTCCACTTCTGATCCCCTTACCCTGCCCCATTTTTTTCCAGCCATTGATTTTTTCTTACACAATGTATGATTTATTTATTTTATCTGGTTTATTATTCATTGTCTCTCCCAGCTAGAATACAAGCTGCATGAGAGCAGGAGTTTGTTTGTTTTGTTCATTGCAGAATCCCAGCATCTGGATCAGTGCCTGGCACACATTTAGTGCTCAAAACATTTGTTGGGTGGGTGGGTGGGTGAACTAGTGGATGGGTGTGTGGATAGGTGGGTGGATGGATGGATGGGTAAATGGATGAATGAATGGATGAGTGGGTGGGTGAATTAGTGGATAGGTGGGTGGATGGTGGGTGGGTGGATGGATGGATGGGTGGATGGGTGAATGGCTGGGTGGATGGGTGGGTGGATAGATGGATGGGTAGATGAGTGAGTGTATGGATTAAAGGGTGGATGGGTGAGTGGGTAGATGATTGGGTGGATAGATGGATGGGTAGATGAGTGGATGGATGGAAGGATAGGTGAGTGGGCAGATGAGTGGGTGGATGGATGGATGGGTGTGGGTGGATGAGTGGGTGGACAGATGGATGAGTGGATGGATGGATTGGTGGATAGATGAGTGGGTGGATGGATAGATGGACGGGTGGATGAGTGGGTGGATGGATGGGTGGGCAGATGAGTGGGTGAATCAGTGGATGGGTGTGGGTGGATGGATGGCTGAGTGGATGAGTGGGTGGATGGGTGAATGAGTGGATGTGTGGGTGGATGAGTGAGTGGGTGGATGGGTGGGTGGATGAATGAGTGGATGTGTGGGTGGATGGGTGAGTGGATGCATGAGTGAGTGGGTGGATGGATGGGTGTGGGTGGATGAATGGCTGGGTGGATGAGTGGGTAGATGGATGGAAGAGTGGATGAATGGGTGGATAGATGGGTGGGTGGATGGATGGGTAGATGGGTGGATGGGTGGATGGGTGGATGGGTGGGTGACTGGATGAATGGGTGAATGGATGGCTGGGTGGATGGCTGGATGAGTAGGTGGGTGGATGGTTTGGTGGATGAGTGGATGGCTGGCTGGCTGGGTGAATGGCTAGAACAGTGAGGGAGAGAGGGCTCCAGGTGGACTAACCAACATGAGCAAAGACCTAGAGATGAGAGAGTCATGCCATCCTTGAGGAATCGAATGAAGATGAGTGAGGCTGGCAGGGGGAAGGTCAAGGGATGAGACTGGAGAGGTGGGATGGCTGGATGATGGACAGCCCTGAAGTGTGGGAGAGATTGTTAGCAGTTCAATGGGTTTTCACTCATGGGCACACAGCTGCACCTCCTGCCACCCACACAGCAGATGGGGCCTGAGGTCTGCATTCTGCAAGGAGTATGGATATGGGCTCTCTCCAGGCTCTCTCTTTCCCGTTCCACCGCTGAATACCATTGGTTACTAGGCCTTGGGAAGGGTGAATCTACTAACTGTAAAGAACACGGGTTTCCGAATCACTGCATTCAGCTTTTCAGGAGAAAAGCCACGTGCCACTAATGAGCTCTCACTCTGGCTTGTTATGTGAGAAACACATCTCTGTGGTGTTTTAATCATTCTGCATTTTGGGGTCTATTTGTTACAGGAGATAGTGTGCACTAATGAATACCTCAAAATAGAGTGCCGCCATAACTTGAAACCTAAAATATGTACCATTGGCTTAGTGGCCAGGCAGCAGGGAACATGAAAATAGATGTTGCAGAATGGAAAGTGGGAGACTTATGTCATGCAGAGGTGAAATGTTTGTTAGACCTGTAGCCTACAATAGCTTGAAGGGAAGACTGGGAGAAGTAAGCCTGTAGCTCCAGAAGAAGGTGGCTGAGTGAGCTGCAATAAAAATGTATGTTGGGCTGGGTGCGGTGGCTCATGCCTGTAATCCCAACACTTTGGGAGGCCGAGGCAGGCAGATGACGAGGTCAAGAGATCGAGACCATCCTGGCCATCATGGTGAAACCCTGTCTCTAATAAAAATACAAAAATTAGCTGGGCATGGTGGCATATGCCTGTAGTCCCAGCTACTTGGGAGGCTGAGGCAAGAGAATCACTTGAAACCAGGAGGCGGAGGTTGCAGTGAGCCGAGATCGTGCCACTGCACTCCAGCCTGAAGACAGAGCGAGACTCCATCTCAAAAAAAAAAAAAAGTATGTTAGTCATTCCTTTGGTGTACAGTAAGGTATTGTGAGACAGAGACGCACTCAAGCAAGATATAAACAGTGTGGAAATAGAAGAAAGGGAAATATGAAGAGTTTGAGGCCTTGTAGTGTTGGAAAAGTGAACTGTGAATGGATCTCAAATAGCAGGAAATAAAAATAAAAAGGTTTTAAGTAGCAAAGGCTCATTAAAACTCTCAGGTCTACAAAGGCCTTAATCCTGCAGCAAGGATCAAATGAAGTGGGTGGTCTTGCCCCACTAACTGTTGAGATGTTCTCAAGGTCAGTGTCAGTACACAGACAGACAGAGACAGCAGAGACAGAGACATGGGAAATAAGGAAGCAAAGAAATAAAGCTGCTGGAAGATGACAGTAGAAAAGTACCTCGGGTGTGGTCACATGGAACTTATTGGAAGGAAAACTCCCTAAAATCTGGAGGGAATTGTATTGCCAAAGACACCACAAGCCTGTCATTGTAGAACAAGCCTTGGGCCTCCACCCTTGTACAGGCAGGAAAAGAGCTGCAAAAACCATGTGGTCCCCACCTCAGATGTTGCCACGGAGAATACTGGATGAGGAGGGGCCTCCCAGAAAGCAGAGATGGGAAATCCCTCCACGAGTAGGACAGGGAGCTTCACAACACCGCCAGTCAGATTCTGCAATTGTGGTGTGGGGGCTGCTGTGTGTCCCTGTTCCCCCTTCCCTAATGAGAGCTTTAACTGCCCCCAGTCAGTTCAGAGGGAGCAGGAACTGGATTTTACTTGGAGATCACGGGATGGTACTAGCGGAGAGCATGGAATGTTCCAGGAGATGCAGGGCCACAGGCAGAGACAGATGGAGTCTGGGGTCATCCCTCTGGGGGAGGGTGTGATAGAAGAAAGAGCACACTGCTATCTCGTTGCCAGAAAGAAAGACTGTTGTGAGACTCATAGTGAATCATTAAAAATCCATTTTCTGACCTCCCTGGATACACAGACTATTTCATAGTCTCCCCCTGCAGTCAATTGTGAGCAGAGGTGGACTGAGGCTTCTAAGAGTGGGAGGGCTCCTCCCTCACCTCTGCTTCCCTTAAACTGGCTGGATAGAGAAGGGGAAGAAGACAGTTGGAGCCTGGGTCCCTGAATCACCGCGTGGAGGAAAGCTATCCACTGGCAAGAGACACCTACTTCACACCACAGTGAGGAAGAACCAGACTGAACTGCATCTTAACTATGAAGCATTTCTCAGCCCATTTGCTCCAGCAGCTGACAACGCCCTGACAAACACACAGGCCATGGCCAGGGATCTAGACTTGACGCTGAGGCTCCACTAGAAGATTCTAAGCAGAGAAGCAGTATGGTTACATTTATTGTTTTAAAAGAATTATTGTGGCTAGGCCAGGCACAGTGGCTCTCGCCTGTAATGCCAACACTTTGGGAGGCTGAGGTGGGAGGATTACTTGGGCCCAGGAGTTGGAGACCAGCCTGGGTGACACAGTGAACCTCTATCTGGAAAAAAAAAAAAAAAAGAGAAAAGAAAAAATATATAACTGTGGCTGGGATGTGGAAAAAGGATGGGAGGGATGAAGGCTAGAGGTAGGAAGGCAGATTAGAAGGCCGTGGCAGATGCTAGGTGAGAGACGATGACGTCCTGCACTATGATTGGGGCAGTAAGGAGAGAGAAAATGGGTAGGTTTGAGAGCTGACAAGTGGCAGGGTCAGGACTGGAACCTGGGTCTGCCTGGGCAGAAGGGGGTGTATTGAGGTGTGTGTGGTGTATTATATGCGTGGCCCCCAGACTCCATCTCTGCTGTGGCCGAGTCAGGCCAGAGTCCATCACTCCTCACTTGACCTTTTGGCCTGACTGCTGTCTTGCCCCCTGTGGGCTCCATGCAGCAGCCAGAAAGAGCTTTCTAAAACCTCAATCACATCGTGTCTCTCTCCTGCTCAAAAGTCCCCAATGCCCTCTTATTTACTGCATGAAGGATAAAACCCAAGGGCCCCAATGCTGCCTCTGCTTACCTATGTCCCTCCACTTCATCACACTTCAGCTGCACTGACGTTATGTTCATCAACTCTTTCAAGCTCATTCCTGCCTCAGGGCCTTTGCACATGTGTTCCCTCTACCTGAAATGTTCTTCTTCTACATATTCTCCTAGTTTGCTCTTCCTTGTCGTTTAAGTCTGTTTTAGTTAAAGACATGTTTAGCTGCTAGAAAAGCCTAACCCACAGGGCATTTCATTTATCTCATGTATCATGAAGCCTGGAGGATGAAGGTCCAGAGTTTGTGCAGTGGTGCAATGATGTCATCAAAGGCCTAGGCTCTTCTCAACTTCCCTCTGCAGCATCGTTGCTATGTTGTTTTTTGTCCTCATGCTTCTTGCCTCATGGTCACAAAATGGCTGCTATGTCTCCAGGCATCACACCCATATTCCAGACACTGCCTTCCCTGACCTCCCCATCTAATGCTGGCTCCCTAGGCACTCTATCCTATTACCCCATCTTATTCTGATCCCATATCACTACTTGGAAGTTTCCTACTTGTTTCCTTGTTTGCTGACTATCTCCTGTCACTTCAATAAAAGCCCCACTAGGGCAAGGGGTTTGATTTCCATCTTGTTCATTGCCAAATTGCCAGACTGCCAAATTGCCAAAGCAATTTCATTTCCATCTTGTTTACTGCCAAAGCCCAGCCCTGGCACAGTATCAGGCACACAGGAAATGCTCAATAAATATTTGTAGACTGCATGAATAATAAAGTCCCCCAGCTGGCTTGGTGCCAAAGGCAGGACTCAAACCTGGGTCTCCCACCTTATGGTTCTGGGAATTTCCTGGTGTATCCTGATGCCTCCTTGCCACTCTCTGTGAGGAATCCAGGCGGTCCTGAGCAGCAGCCAAACCCTCGGCAGTCTCCAGCCATGTGAACAAAGAGCCTGTGTTTTGAGGCCCAGTGGAGAGAGGGAGAATCCCACCACTAGCGTTTAGGGAGCGCTCCCTGCTCACAGGTGAGCATTTCTTCAGAGGCACGCCGGCTGGCAGGCCTTCCTAGATAGAGCAAAGCCCCAAGTTCAATGGCACCCCTCACCTGCTGGGAAAGAGCCTCCCTCTTCAAGGATCTTCCAGTCACCTGTGTAGGTGAAGTAGGGCTCAGCTCCAGGCCAGCACGCCCCTAACTCCAACAAATGCAGAGCCCAGGCACCGAGATGTAGGGAGGCAGCCAAGTCTATCTGGAATTTTATAATATTTTGGCTTTGGTCTTCATTGTATTTACTTTTGCAGTTACCTGCACATGATACAGGTGTTCCATTTAGGTGGCTGCACAGAGCTTCCTTTTCTAAATAAAATATTTATTTTTTGAGATGGAGTTTCACTCTGTCTCCCAGGCTGGAGGATGGTGGCACAATCACAGCTCACTGCAGCCTCAACCTCCAGGGCTCAAGCAATCCTCCCACCTCAGCCTCCTGAGTAGCTGGGACTACAGGCATGCACCACCATTCCCAGCTAATTTTTTGATATTTTGTAGAGACAGGGTCTTCCTGTGGTGCCTGGGTTAGTCTTGAACTCCTGGGCTCAAGCAATCCACCTGCCTCGGCCTCCCCAAGTGCTGGGATTACAGGCATGAGCCACCACGCCCGGCCAGTTTCCCTTTTAAATAATATGTTTCAGTGTTCAAAGAATGAACCCACTTAAGAAAAATATTGAGTGGATGAAGGGTCCAGCGTGATGGCAGGGCTCATTTCTAAGCAGAGAAAGAAGGCGCAGAAGCAGGGGTGGCTATTCAGGGCCACTGCAAGCGCATGATGTCACTGGGGCCAGAGCCCAGACCACCACTTACTCTTCATCCAGCGCTTGTCAGCCCTAAGATCAGAGATGCCTGGGCCAGTCTTGCGCCAGATGACCCATGCAGCTGACCACCATCATACCATCCATGGCAACGTGTTCCATGTGGACAGGCTGCCTCCCAGAAATGGCCTGTCCTGCTGAGGTCATGTTAGTTTCCAGGGGCAGGGAGGAGGGTGCTGCTGCAACAAGCTTCCATGCCTGCCCCACTGGGTGCCCTGGCGCAAGCATACAAGTGACAAGTGACAGCACTCATAGCCCTGGAAACAGGACCCTTTGCACTTTCCACAGGAGCTCCACCTGCACTGGAGAGTAAGGACAGCCAGGCCCCACAGCTGCACAGCCAGGAGGGAACCAGGCGCTGCTCACAAAATGCCTGCATTTCCGTACGAGCGTTGCTTTTAGAATTTAATGCACAAGGCCCGGCGCGGTGGCTCACGCCTGTAATCTCAGCACTTTGGGAGGCCGAGGCGGGCAGATCACGAGGTCAAGAGATCGAGACCATCCTGGCTAACACGGTGAAACCCCGTCTCTATTAAAAAATACAAAAAATTAGCTGGGCATGGTGGCGGGAGCCTGTAGTCCCAGCTACTCGGGAGGCTGAGGCAGGAGAATGGCGTGAACCCGGGAGGCGGAGCTTGCAGTAAGCCAAGATTGCGCCACTGCACTCCAGCCTGGGCAACAGAGTGAGACTCCGCCTAAAAAAAAAAAAAAAAAAGAAGAAGAGAGATAATCTGGAGTCTTGCCATAACATGATCAACATATTGAGCACCCCCGCCACACTTTTTCCTAAGATGATGATGCTTTTTACTTTTCTTGAGGTTTATGATGGGATCAAATGGAGATGGAAGGAAGGGTCATGACTGGGCCTTGGCCAGGGGTGACCAGTAAGACTGACAGTGCTCCTTTCTTCCTTTCTGCTGGGATTCCCCAGGATGGCATTCTGCTAATCCAAAAAGCAATGTGGTGAGGCTTCCAGATTAACAGTTGACTGAAGATTATATATTAGGGCTTCCTCACTCCAGCCTGGGCGACAGAGCAAGACTCTGTCTCAAAAAAAAAAAAAAAAAGAATTTACTGCACAAATAAGCCTAGCACAAAGCAGGTGCTTATAAGTATTAGCTGAAAGAAAGATTTTTGAATGAAAAAAATGGAGAAAACTACACTTTTTTTTCATTAAAAAATGGTTAGCTGGGTGTCGTGGGGCACACCTGTAGTCCAGTCACTCGGGAGGCTGAGGCGGGAGGATCACTTGAGCCCAGGAGTTCTGGGCTGTAGTGTGCTATGCCAATCAGGTGTTCACACTAAGTTCAGCACCAACATGGTGGCCTCCTGGGAGCAGGGGACCACTAGGTTGACTAAGGAGAGGTGAACCAGCCTCTGCTGGAAACGGAGCAGGTCAAAACTCCCATGCTGATTAGCAGTGAGATCATGCCTGTGAATAGCCACTGAACTCTAACCTGAGCAACACGAGACCCCGTCTCTAAAAAAAAGAGGGGAAAAAAAAGAAAAATGAAAATTAAAAAAAAAAAAGAATAAACGTATCAGATCACACCCTTCCTAAACTCGTTTTGGTCCCTGTAGCCGAAGGATGTCAGAGGGCAGCTCAGTGCTTCTCCCTACAACACACACTACCCTGTCTCAGCTGACCCCAGGATGGGCAGAAACCCAATCTGAGCTTATACCTAGGAGAGCAATTCCACCAGACACCACTGAGAACATTCCAGAACAAATAAGGATAGGAGTTTGCTGGGAGGATACAGTGACCTGACAGGCACTGGCCCACTCTATAGATAGCAGTCGCTGGCTGGGCCTTCCCTGCTCTCTCTGGCCCTGGGCTCCCCTCATAGTCTCTCAGGAAACCCCTACCTGCCATCACCTTCCTTTTCCTTTTCCTTTTTTTTTTTTTTTTGAAACAGAGTCTCAAAAAGTCAGGCTGGAGTGCAGTGGTGCAATCTCAGTTCACTGCAACCTCTGCCTCCCGGGTTCAAGTGATTCCCACGTCTCAGCCTCCGGAGCAGCTGGGATTACAGGCGCCTGTCATCACGCCCGGCTAATTTTTGTATTTCTAGTAGAGTTTCACCATGTTGGCCAGGCTGGTCTCAAACTCCTGACCTCAAGTGATCCGCCCGCCTTGGCCTCCGAAAGTGCTAGGATTACAGGCGTGAGCCACTATAGCCAGCCACCTTCCTCCTTAACTCTTGCCCACCACCCATGCTTGGCACAATCCCCTGTACAGAGGACCAAGCTGGAAGAAACCTTCCATAATTCAACTCCTTTTTAAAGGAGAGAAACCAAGGCCCCAAGGTGGGGTGACAGGTTAGGGGCAGGTGGGACAGAGACCCAGGTGTCCTGAGCCTCAATGCAGGACTCCTGGCCACAATGAATGCACGTGTGCTAGACCTGGGAGGCCTGGAGCAGCAGGAAGGAAGCAGGAAGAGCCAGCCGACTGGCAGGTCAGTACAGAGGCGGCCGCCCTGGCCTCACTGATGCACAGGCCCAAGGCAGCTCCTGAGGGCAATTCCAGGTTGTGCCCAACCCAGGCTGCTGTAGACAGGTTCAAAAATGTGCAATGTCAACACAGCTCTGACTCCTGCCACTCTGAGCTGCCAGGGAAAGTTCCAGAGTGATCTGGCTGGGGAGCCTGTGTCTGGGTGAGGAGAGAGTGGCCCCCAGGCAGGAGCTGACAGAGGTGACAGAGGTGGTGAACTCCCTTCTACTGAACTTTCAGACAATAGAGACACAGGTGTGAGGGCAACAGGGCCCCACTGCTCCCCTCCAGATGGGGGTGCTGAGGTCTGGAAGACTCTTGGGGCCTCTTAGGAAGGCCTCTGTAACCTCCTAATCTCATTCACTCCTAAGCCAGGCACCAAGGGCTCACTACGCTGAAACTCCCTGTTCCAAGTCACCTGCCTGAATGACTCCACAGGATACACCGTCTCTGATGGCACAGGGTCTCTCCTTACTTTTGGACTGATGTTCTCACTCTGTCACTTTGCAGTGCGTTGAATGGTGACCCTCAAAGTGACATGCCCACATCCTAATTCCTAGAACCCGTGAGTGCCACTATATTTGGAAAAATATCTGTCAATGTACTTAGGTTAAGGATCTTTCATTACGATGATGATTATTTTGAGACAGGATATCGCTCTGTCGCCCAGGCTGGAGTGCAGTGGTGTAATCTCAGCTCACTGCAGCCTCGACCTCCTGGGCTCAAGAGATCCTCCCACCTCAGCCTCGCAAAGTGCTGGGATTACAGGCGTGAGCCTCCACACCCAGTGAGATTAAGGATCTTGAGATGAGGAGATCATCCTGGATTATCTGGGTGGGCCCTAAACCCAACCAAGTGTCTTTATACGAGGGAGGCGGAGGGAGAGTTGAGACCAAGAAGGCTGACGTGCAACCATGAGGCAGAGGCTGGCGTGACAAGGCCACGAGTCCAGGCAGGCCACAGCCACCAGAAGTGGGAGAGGGAGGGAGCATCTCTCCAGAGCCTCTCAGGGAACACGGCCCTCCCAGCACCCTGATTTCATTCTTCTGAACAAATGCTTGCTGTTTGAAGCCACCCCATTTCTGGTCATTTGCTACAGTGGCCACAGGAAGCTAAGACCTGTCGCCCCCCCAATCCGTGGAAGCAAATCCCAAATTATTCCCATGCCCCCTGCTGTTCTCCCTCGCTGGCATCTTTCTTGCCTCTCTTCCCGCATACCATCCTCCTTCTTCTGACTCCGCCTTCCCAGGCTATGTAAGTCCAGGAGGCCTGGGGACCTGTGTCCCCTCATCTCCACCAATTCCTATCTTCTCAGGCATTTTCTTTTTTCTTTTTTTTTTGAGACGGAATCTTGCTTTGTCACCCAGGCTGGAGTGCAGTGGCATGATCTTGGGTCACTGCAACCTCAGTCTCCTGAGTTCAAGCGATTCTTCTGCTTCAGCCTCCCGAGTAGCTGGGACTACAGGCATGCGCCACCACGCCTGGCTATTTTTTGTATTTTTAGTAGAGACAGAGTTTCACCATATTGGCCACACTGGTCTTGAACTCCTGACCTCGTGATCTGCCCGCCTCGGGCTCCCAAAGTGCTGGGATTACAGGTGTGAGCCACCACACCTGACCTTTTCTCAGGCATTCTCTCCCAACTCCAACCCCAAACCACAAGATGAGATGCAGCCTCAAAAGGCAGCTTCTTTCTCCATCCGGAAGAGCAGAGACGCCTTGGGCCCTAGCAGGGAGGCGAGGGCTGGTGGGACAGGCATTTGGTCCTGGCTCCGCTGCAAGCTTACACTGGGGCCCCAGGGTCATCTTAGGACCTCCCTAGGCTTCGCTGGGTTTCCTCTGTGGAAATGGGAAAAGTCACACCAGATCCCCCCGAGGCCCCTCCGAGCTGCAGCGTTCTCTCTAAAGAATTGGAGAGAAGTTTCTAGGAGTCCCTGGGTTTCAGGATCTGTGAGATACTCTCCAAGTGCAAAACCCCACAGAGAATTTGGAAGAGTCAGTATGAAGAAAAATAATGTTGGCTGGGCGCAGTGGCTCACTCCTGTAATCCCGGCACTTTGGGAGGCCGAGGTGGGCAGATCACGAGGTCAGGAAATCGAGACCATCCTGGCCAACATGGTGAAACCCCGTCTCTACTAAAATACAAAAAATTAGCCAGCCGTGGTGGTGCGTGCCTGTAGTCCCAGCTGCTCAGGAGGCTAAGGCAGAGGAATCGCTTGAAACTGGAAGGCGGAGGTTGCAGTGAGCCGAGATTGCACCACTGCACTCCAGCCTGGGCGACAGAGCAAGAGTCTGTCTCAAAAAGGGGGAAGAAAAGGGGAGGGAAGAGGGAGGGGAGGAGGAAGGGAGGGGAGGGGAGACAAGGGATGTTGGCTGGGTGTGGTGGCTCACGCCTTTAATCCCAGCACTTTGGGAGGCCAAGGCAGGTGGATTACCTGAGGTCAGGAGTTCAACACCAGCCTGACCAATATGGTGAAACCCTGCCTCTACTAAAATTACAAAAATTAGCCAGGTGTGGTGGCTTGTGCCTGTAGTCCCAGCTATTCGGGAGGCTGAGCCAGGAGAATCACTTGAACCTGGGAGGCGGAGGTTGCAGTGAGCCAAGATCACACTACTGCATTCTAGCTTGGGCGAGAGAGAAAGACTCCGTCTCAAAAAAATAAAAAAAAAGAAAGAAAGAAAAAGAATGTTAAAATATCTCAAATTCCTTTTTAAATTATTATCATACTTTAAGTTCTAGGGTACATGTGCACAATGTGCAAGTTTGTTACATAGGAATACATGTGCCATGTTGGTGTGCTGCACCCATCAACTCATCATTTACATTAGGTATTTCTCCTAATGATATCCCTCCCACTGCCCCCGACTCCCACCGGCCCCGGTGTGTCATGTTCCCCGCCCTGTGTCCATGTGTCCTCATTGTTCAACTCCCACCTATGTCTCACTCATAAATTCTAATTGACATGATGAAATGATACTTTTTGGATATATACTGGGTTAAGTAAAATATATTATTAAAATTAACTTCAGGCCAGGCGTAGTGGTTTATGCCTGTAATCCCAGCATTTTGGGAGGCCGAGGCAGGTGGATCACTTTAGGTCAGGAGTTCGAGACAGGCCTGGCCAACATGGCAAAACCACATCTCTACTAAAAATACAAAAATTAGCCAGGCTTGGTGGCACATGCCTGTAATCCCAGCTGCTTGCAAGGCTGAGGCCAAAGAATCGCTTGAACCCAGGAGGCGGAGGTTGCAGTGAGCTGAGATTGCGCCACTGCATTCCAGCCTGGGCGACAGAGCAAGACTCTGTCTCAAAGAGAAAACATAATTTCACCTCCTTTTACTTTTTAAGTGTTGCTACTGGAAAATTGTGTTTGTTCTGGAGACAGTCTCACTCTGTCGCCCAGGCTGGAGTGCAGTGGCGTGATTTTGGCTCACTGCAACCTCCGCCTCCCTGGTTCAAGCGATTTTCCTGCCTCAGCCTCCCGAGTAACTGGGACTACAGGCACACGCTGCCACTCCTGGCTAATTTTTTGTATTTTAGTAGACACGGGGTTTCACCGTGTTGCCCAGGTTGGTCTTGAACTCCTGACCTAAAGTGATCCACCCACCTTGGCCTCCCAAAGTGCTGGGATTACAGGCATGAGCCACCATGCCCAGCCGCTGCTGGAAAATTTTAAAGGACCTTTGTGAGCAGCACAGTATCTATCCTGTGGCTCTCTGCGGTGGTCTCCCTCATCTCTGTCCCACTCATGCCAGGGCCCCTGGCATGTGCTCTATGGAAATGATGTGTGGATGCTGCCCAGATATCTCCAGGACCTGCTATTTGTTGGTCTGGGCTGGGGAGGTAGACCAGCAAGGGGCCAGAGAGTTCGGTTTAAGTGTACCCAGGTGAGCCCGGGGGTTTCCATGGCTGGGACAGATTTTGCTCTCATGGTCACCTTTTTCTTTAAATTTAGGTGAAATTCACACAATGTACAATTAATCATTTCAGAGTACAATTCAGTTGCATTTGGTGCATCCACAATGTGGCACAGCCATCGCCTCTATCTACTTCCAAAACATTCTCATCTCCCAAAAGAAACCTCATTCCCCCGAGAAGCCATCCCCATTTTCCCTCCTGCCCCCAGCCCCTGGCAGTAACACATCTGGTTTCTGTCTCTGTGGATGTGCCTGTTCTGGACATTTCCACATTGTTGTAACCATACAATATTTTATTTTGTGTCTGGCTTCTTTCACCCGGAACAATGTTCTCAAGGTGCCTCCGCAAGGTCCATGGACCGGAGCTCCACTCTCCTTTAGCTGAATCACATTGTATCATGTGGCTGCACCTCCTTGTGTGTATCCATGTATTCATGGACGCCTGGGTGGATGCCTCTCCTGGCAATGGCAAGTGGAGCACACAGTCTCTAAGCAAAACCTACGAGACCGCCTGGGTGCTGTCTCAGTGATGGCTGGCCCTGCCCATTCCTTTTGCAACCCCTAGGAATCCATCATCCTACTGGGGTTCCCTTGTCCCTCCAGCCATCACATAGGGTGGGACAGGATTGAACATAGCGTCAGACCCTCATTTCCATCGCCTTCTACCCAGAGTCAGCAATGTATCCAGCCCCAGCTCGTATCTGTGTGCTCTGCCCTCTGTGTCTTGGGCCTCGGGCTGCCAAGGAAGCTGCTCCCCTTCAGAACCCTTGAGCATGGTCCTCCACCAGTCTGCTGCCCCAAAACCTTGGGACACAGAGCCATGTCCTCACCCTGTAGTGTCCTTGTCCCAAATCAACCTATTATCTCCAGCTCCCTCTCAGTCTTGCAGCTTCTCAGAAGAGGGACAGGTGAGGTGAGACAAGCCTGTCTTCATTTTGAGGCCTTGATCCAACTGGGAACGGGGGTGCTAGGGACTGAATTGTGTCCGCCTAGAATTCCTGTGTTAAGGACCTAACTCCCAGGACCTCAGAATGGGACTGTACTTGGAAACGGGGCTTTTAGGAGGCAACGAAGGTGCAATGAGGCCACAGGGTGGCATCTTAATCTGACAGAAAGGGTATGCTTATAAGGAGAGAACTCTCTGTGTCTCTCAGCCATGTGGGGACACAAGAAGGCAGACATCTGCCTTCAGCCGGAACGGGATCTGCCAGCACCTTGATCTTGCACTTCAGCCTGCAGAACTGTGAGCAGGAACTGTGTTGTTTCAACCACCCAGTCTGTGGTATTTGGCTAGGACAGACTCACATACCTCCTTACCTAGGTAGACCTCCTTCCCCACTCACCCCTAAGTATGTTCAGTGATATCGCCTGCCTAGCACTCACCTGAAAATATCTCATTCTTGAATGCCTGTCTCCCCAGACATGGGTTCCTTGCGGATGGGGCTGACCCATGAGGCTGCCCTGGCTCCCAGCCTGGAGCACACATGCCCTAACTAGGAGTGGGCAGAAGGATGGACAGAAGGAGAGATGAAAAAGTGTGATGCGATGCATGGGCGCTTCCTAGAATCTGTTTCCCATAACGTTAACTACCAGAGCAACTGCTGTCATCTGGCCAAGGGTTCCCTGGAAGTGTCTGGTGTGAGCAGGGGCCTTGCTGTGGAAATGCTGGACAAGAACAGGGCCCTGTTTGAGCAACAGGAGCCGCAGCCTCTTGTGGCCACCATGAGACACTGGGCAGCGTGGGCAGGCGCCTCCACCCATGTGCGTTTCCCAGTTCATGAAGTCAAAATGCTGCCAGATGTCTCACCTTCCACATCGTTGTTGTCAGGATGACACAGGCTCTGCAGTGAGCTATGGGAAGTGAGGGGCTGCAATGATCAAACCATCTTTGCCTTGCTTGCCACACCCTCATGTGACCAACTTGGCCCAGTTTGCCCAAAACTCTCCCAATATTAAAACTAAAAATCCCATGCCCTGGGACTCCCCTCAGGCCCAGGCAAGCCAGGACAGCTGGCCACCCTTCCACATTCCTGCTCTGTTTTGGCCCCTGCCTTAGATGAGGGGCTGGCCACATGAGCTATGGAAAGGAGGGGCCTCGTCCATTCATCTCTCCACCACCAGGGTTGTACAAGCACGCGCTAAGGTTCTAGTGACAAATGCATCTCCAAGTCTGCACCACAAGCTCAGCATTCTTGCTGTTTCCATTCTCCGCCAAGGCGGACAATAACATAAAAGAGGGCTCATCTGTGCTTTCCTAGACTCACATTGTAAAACTATGGGACCAGTGAGGAGTTCCATTTGCATCTTGGGGCAATGGGGTGTGCTTGGGGTTCCCTAGGAGTACTGCCCATGCTCACACCTTGGTGCCTTTCCCATGTCTGAGGTGGAAATGTTGATGTGGTGGGATAGATCAAGGCTCCCCAAGGACATCCTGGCTGCATGGTAGCCAGTGGCTTTTTTGGCCAATGGCTGGGCTTCTCTGCTGCTGAGCCCTGTTAGGCTAGCTTTGGTCTCACCAAGTGGAGAATGTCTGCAGAGAGGCCTTTAGAAGGGGGTTGATTTCAGTGATCTACTGCTGCATAACAAGGAAACCAGGGGCATCAAATCACAGCCACTTCATTCTGCTTGTGGATTCTGTGTGTGGGGAATCTAGAGAGGGCTCCACAAGAAGCAGAGGGCCCTGTCCCTGCTCAGCTGTGATGCTCACTAGAGCTTTGACACCTGGCCTCTCCACATGGCTTGGGCTTCTTCAGCATTAAGACTTCAGACTTCCATCACAGCACAGGGAGCTCCAGTGACAGAGCCTCTATGGCCTTTTAGGAGCCAACCTTAAAAGTCATTCAGCATCACTTCCTCTACACCCTGCTGACTGAAGCAGTTATAGGCCCACTCAGATTCCCTGGGAGGGGACTTAGGCACCACCCTGAAGGAAGGAATGCCGAGGAGTTTGCTGCCATGCTTTTAAACCACCACAGGGGTGCTGGGGGAGAGTCTTCGCATATGGAAAAGGTGGGACAGGGGAGGCTGAGAGAGAGCGAGCGAGCAGAAGAAAGTGAACAGGTGAGAGACAGAGTGTGGCCACTGTGGTAAGTCCTGGGATTTTGGAGAAAAAGCCGTGCTATGTGTGATGTCACCATTCTCATCCATCTCCCTGGGCAACTTCCACCAAGTCCACACCATTTGTCACTGCTTCCAGCCTTGGATTTCTTTTTATCTCAATGATGTGACATATAGGACCAGCCTCTGAGGTGCCTGCCAGGTAAAGGCTACCTCCATGAGGGTGGGGCAGGGCCAGTCCAGAGAGGCCTGGGGATGCCCAGATGGCAGTGTGGAGCCCTGAAATGAAGTAATGATGACTGGAACTTCGATTCACTGCACACACACACTGCCTCACTGTATGCTGAGGCTGAGGCTTCACTTTATTTTTTGAGACAGGGTCTCACTCTGTCACCCAGGCTGGAGTGCAGTGGTGCAGTCATAGCTCACTGCATCCTCCAGTTCCTGGGCTCAAGTGATCCTCCCACCTTGGCCTCCCAAAGTGCTGGGATTATAGGTGTGAGCCACCTCCCCGGACCCGAAGAATTTTTTTAATCCTACGTGTTATGGGCTGAGTTGTGTGCCCCTGCCCCTCACCCTCACTTCAATTCAAATAACACAATCTTAACCTCCCAGTACTTCAGAATGGACTGCATTTGGACTTTTATTAAAGAGAAAATTAAGTTAAAATGAGGCCATGAGAGTGGGTCTTAACCCAATCTGACAAGTATCCATCTAAGAAGAGCAGATTAGGGCTGGGCATGTTAGCTCATGCCTATAATCCCAGCACCTTGAGGGGCCAAGGTAGGTGGATCACCTGAGGTCAGTTGTTCAAAACCAGCTTGGCATTTAGAACGAGGAAACATTTTAGAATGAGGAAAGGTAGGAAAGGATACACACCAACCTTTCAATATTGTTAGGATCACAGCAGTGCAGGGTGGCTTGTGGAATTATTAACTCTTATGACATGTCACTGAAGAACAAGATCCTGTAAGTGAAATTGCATATCTGGGGGAAAACATTGAAGCTGCACATTAATGGATGGAATGAGAAATACAATCTCCAGTAACAGAAATTTTAAATGTACTGTTAATGAATTTTTTTTTTTTTTCAGACGGAGTCTCGCTCTGTCCCCCAGGCTGGAGTGCAGTGGCGCAATCTCTGCTCACTGCAGGCTCCACCCCCCGGGTTTACGCCATTCTCCTGCCTCAGCCTCCAGAGTAGCCGGGACTACAGGCGCCTGCCACCTCGCCCGGCTCATTTTTTGTATTTTTAGTAGAGACAGGGTTTCACCATGTTAGCCAGGATGGTCTTGATCTCCTGACCTCGTGATCCGCCCGCCTCAGCCTCCCAAAGTGCTGGGATTACAGGCATGAGCCACCACGCCCGGCCTGAATTTTTTTAAAGTAAATAAACTCTGACTTTTTTCCTTAGTAAATACAAATTATTAAGGCCACCTTTTAAAAAGAGCATCATATTCAAAACGTTCCATTTCACTCATGAGAAATTCAAATTTTACAGAAAACAAGATGTCATTTTTTAAAGAAACCTTTTTAAGGATAATTTTAGATGTACAGAGAAGTCGCAAAAATAGTACAGTTCTGTATAGCCTTCATCCTGGTTCCCCTGACATTAACATCTCACATAGTCATGGTATGTGTCAAAACTAAGAACCAACATTGGCAGTTACTATTAACTGAACTCAAGACCCCATTCAGATTTCACCTGTTTTTTGTTTTTTTTTTCCTTTCTTGAGACAGAGTCTCACTCCATCACCCAGGCTGGAGTGCAGTGGCATGATCTTGGCTCACTGCAACCTCCGCCTCCCAGGTTCAAGCGATTCTCCTGACTCAGCTTCCCGAGTAGCTGAGATTACAGGCTTGCACCACCATGCCCAGCTAACTTTTTTTGGTATTTTTAGTAGAGACGGGGTTTCACTATATTGGCCAGGCTGGTCTCGAACTCCTGACCTTGTGATCCGCCTGCCTCGGCCTCCCAAAGTGCTGGGATTATAGGCATGAGCCACCACACCCAGCCCAGATTTCACCTGTTTTTCCACAAATGTCCTCTGCTACCATATTGCATTTAGCGAGATACCACTTTTAAATTTGCAAAAAGAAAACACTTGCTAACAGACCATGCTGGCACAGCTGTGGGGAAATAGGCAGTGTCATGTACTGCTGGAGGGAGTGGGGTGTAGTCTGGCAATATTTATCAAAACAACAAGTGCCTACACTCTGACCCAGCAAGTTCTCGTCAGGAAATTATCCCAGTTTTATTTGCAATGGGTACCAGGAAGTGGCGCAAACATGTTTACTGCAGCACTCCTTGAAATAGTAAAAGACTGTCCAGAGACTGGCTGATACAATTATGGCATATCCAAACAATGGATTATCATGTACTGCTAAAACAAATCAGATATATACTGATACAGAGTGATCTCCAAGATACAATTAAGTGGAAAAAACAAAAACAAACAAGAAATGGAGGAATGTGCATAATATGCATCCTCTGGGCCAAAGAAAACATTTGTTAATATATGTCTACTTTATATCTGCAGAGGATCCATAACAAAGGTACCAGTTATTGCCTGCAGAGGGTTGTGGACAGAGATGGAAAGAGCCAGGTCACAAGAAGATGAGCAAAAAAACCCCCTTATTTTTCACTGTATATTGTTTTGTAATTTGAATTTTATACCATGTGAATATACTGCCCATTCAGACTTAAAATTCTACTTTTAAAATGCTCATTTTGATGCTTTTAATGGTAAATTCAAACCTTTATGTAGAACTATTATACCTAAGATATTGTTTTGGAAGATTTGCCTTTCCCTGAATGCTACTACATGCTATGAGGAATAAAAATAGGCTGAGTTTTTACTCCTCAAAACAGCCCTGCAAGATAGGCGCTGTGTGAATGGCATCTATTTTCTCCCCTACACCTGCCTTTCTATACTCTCCATGGTCAGGGCTGGAAGCCAAACAACTACATTTCCCAGACTCCCTTGTCATCTGACTCAGCCAGTGGGAGGCACTGGTGGGAGTTTGGAAGATATGAGATGGGGAAAGCAATTCTAATCTCTGGCTTCTGGTGGCACCCCAGGCCACAGCGGTGGTTCCAGTTGTGTGTCAGTAGTACCAGGCAGCAAGTGTGGCTCCAGGCTCCTGCTCAGCAGCTGAGGAATCAGTCTCTGGAAACGAATTTTCCTGTTGCTCCTCTAGCCTTGTGGGGGTCAGGCTTTGGGTGCCCTTGTTCTCCCCTTGTTTCTCATGCCCTTCCAACACCTTTGTAAACAATACCCTGTATTAAATGGTTTTTCCTCTAATTACACACTGGCTAATACAGATAAAATTACTCATATTTTACAGGTGAGAAACTGAAATTCAAATAGAGAAAGTGACTTAACCAAAGGCAAGCTAAGTACCACGCTTGTCTCATGATGCTCCAGCCACCTTGGTCCTAACCTTATTGGACCACCCCAGGCCCATCTGCACTGCAAAGCCATTGCATTAATTCGCTCTGCACAGAACATTCTGTCTTCAGTCCTTCGCATGCACACTCTTTCAAGTCCCACTCAAATGTTACCTTTTGATACAGTCGGGTTTTCGTTTTTAAGAGACAGGGTCTCACTCTGTCCCTCAGGCTGGAGTGTAGTAATACAAACATAGCTCACTGCAGTCTCAAACTCCTGGGCTCAAGAGATCCTCTCACCTCAGCCTCTCCAGTAGCTAGGACTACAGGCACGTGCCACCATACTTAGTTAATGTTTAAATTTTTTGTAGAGTCAAGGTCTCCCCATGTTGCCCAGGCTGGCCTCAAACTCCTGGACTCAAGCTGTCCTCCTTCCTCAGCCTCCTAAAGTGCTGGGGTTACAGGTGTGAGCCATTGTGCCCAGCCTTCAAATGTTACCTTTTTAGAGTGACCTCTTACCACCTGTGATCTCCAAGTCACTCCATTATATCATCCTGTTCCTTTTCTTCTTGGTACTCCTCTCTGAAAATATTTACTTAAGTTGTTTATCCCATTGGAATGTAAAGCCCGTTAAGACCCAGGAACAGTGTTTGTCTTACTAAACACCGTATCTCTGTGCCCAAGAGTACCTGCAGAGTATGCCTTCAACGATTTAAGAATGAATGAATGAAAAGTGTAGTAAGAGAAGTAGCAGATTACTTTGAGCACCAGCGAGGACATGCCTTTCCACTGGCTGCCTTCATACAGCAGGACAGAGGGCTCACGGGAGTCTCCACCGCAGGACAGCCCCCAGGAACTAATTCCCACCACTCAGGCTGTGCCCTCCAAAGGTGCTCAGCTAATACATACTGAGTCAATCAGGCTGCCTATGAACCTTCCAGACAACCTCCGTGCATTAACAGTAATCAGGAGGAAACACCGTGAGGATCTTAGACCAAGTTGGCAGATTAGAAGCAGACGGTCATTCAGAAGTTAAGGGGAGAGTAAAAAGCTGGAGAAATGGGATGTTCATTAGGGCCACAGTTGTTTCAGCATTTACATTTACTCTATGCACTAGACCTACCTCCAGTGCTTCTGGAGAGGCACAATGGCAGAGTGTAATCTCTGTAACTGGACAGTCTGGGCTCAAATCCTAGCACTTTCCTGGCTGGCAGTGTGAGCAAGTCACTCAGGTCGTCTGTAAGTTGATTTCCTCATTTACAAAATGAGATTGTTGATTAAAAAAAAAAGTGATACTATTATTAAGACAGAGTCTTGCTCTGTCATCCATTCTGGAGTGCAGTCGTGCGATCTCAGCTCACTGTAACCTCCACCTCCCGGGTTCAAATGATTCTCATGCCTCAGCCTCCCGAGTAGCTGGGATTACAGGCGTGTGCCACGATGCCCGGCTAATTTTTGTATTTTTAGTACAGACGAGGTGTCACCATGCTGGCCAGGCCGGTCTTGAACTCCTGACCTCAGGTGATCCACCCGCCTTGGCCTCCCAAAGTGCTGGGATTACAGGCGTGAGCTAACGCACCTGGCCAACAGTATCACTTTTATACAGTTGTTGTGAAAATCAAGATGTAGATCACTTAAAATATAAAACAGCACTTGGCCTCCATACACGTATCACCTCATGAAATACCGCAATCCTCTGAGGGGAGATACTATCATCCCATGATACAAACCAGGCAGCTGAGAAACAGAAGTTACACAAGCAGCCCCTGAGCCAGAAGTGCGTTCTAGAATCCCTAGTATACCCTCTGAATCACCACACTGATACAAAGAAAAGACAGCCATATCCGCAGTGTCATACCATGGAACTGTTAAGAGGTCTCCAGCATGAACTACGCTGACACTTGGAGGCAGGGCTGTATGACTCAACAGGAAGGCCAGGTACTTTTTAGAGACCAGACAGGTACAAGGTCTTGAAGGACAAAAGTTGGCTGGGAGAGCTGGGCACCGTGGCTCATGCCTGTAAATCCCAGCACTTTGGGAGGCTGAGGGGGATGGATCATGAGGTCAGGAGTTGGACACCAGCCTGACCAACATGGTGAAACCCCGTCTCTACTAAAAATACAAAAATTAGCTGGGTGTGGTGGCACCACCTGTAATCCCAGGTACTCAGGAGGCTGAGGTAGGAGAATTGCTTGAACCTGGGAGGCGGAGGTTGCAGTGAGCCAAGATCGCACCACTGCACTCAAGCCTGGGCGACAGAGCAAGACTCTGTCTCAAAAAAAAAAAAAAAAGTTGGCTGGGAGGTAAAAGCATTTTAGGTAAAGCATAGAACATCTACGTATCTGCAAACCCTCTGAATTTACTAGCCTGGCAAGTTCCAGACGGGAAAGGTAGGCAGTTGAATTTGGAGAGCTAGGCAACTTCCAAACTAAGGAGGGGCTTCTTGATTGTGCTAAGGAATTTGAATCACACACTGTAGGTGATGAGGGACGGTGAGAGGATTGCAAGCAGCTAAAACTGTGGTAGAATGTCAGCTGGAAGGAAATCGAAAGGAATCCTCAACAAGGAGAGGGTCGCCTTTCCGTCTGCTGGCCCTCCTGCTGTGGCCTGCGGCGGGGTGGGAAGGGGGGTTCCACTACACAGAAGTGTGACGCGCAGGGCTGGGCTTCTTCTAGGCTGAATTCGGGACAGATTTTCGCATTTGTTTTGCTCAAGTATTTATGGGACCAATTAATATGTTTAGCAACGTTGTCTGTGGGAGCAGTAGAGGAACTGAGAAGTTCACAAACTGTAAGAGATCCTCCAAAGAGTCCACAGGTCTGAGGCAGCAGCACCTGGGAATCTCTGGGCTCCAGTTAGTCCTTCCTGACTTTGACTCGTTACAGCAGTGTCCAGACAGGGATATGTCGGGTCCTGTGGCAGGGTTCCCGTCAGGTGGGATGGTTTAGCCCCGCATCTGCCTTCAAAGATCCCGAGATTATGCCGTCGCAGCGGCCAGGGCAGGAGTGGGTGCGTGGCAGGGACTGAGTCTAAGAGGCCTGGAGGCCCTGTCTAAAACAGAGCTGTCGCTGGGCCCTCTCGCCTTCAAGCAGTTATCATACAGCTATTCCCCTTTCTTGTTTTCAGACCCTCTCCTCTAACAGCCTGCACCTGCAAGCAGGGACCTCCGTGGCAGCAGGGACAGCGTGTCTGTCTCGGCCTCCAAAGTACCCCGGAGTCTAAGAGAACTGGGGGAGGATGGTGCGGGAGCAGCGCCCGCCTCCAAGGAGGGCCCGGGCGGCGCCTCCCGCCCCTCGGTGACCTTATGGGCCAAGGCTGTGAAGGGCAGGCGTGGCGACGCGGAGGGGCCCGGCGCTAGTAGCCCGCAGACAGCGCGGCGGCCCCCAGCGGGAGAGGCAGCCTGGCGGCCAGGACAGCGCGGCCGGGCGCCTCCGCGCAGTGCTCTGGGAGTTGTAGGCACTTGCCTCTCCTCTCTCCTTCAGCTACTGGCTCTCGAAACTCAAGGACCTACCGGTGGGTGGGCGCCTGTGACTCCCAGGCTGCGAACGCCGGGAACTCAGTTTCTTCAGAAATGCTCGAACCAGGACGGCTCCTGGAGTCCTCGCGCCCTCGCAGAAGGACTACGGGCCCCGGCGACCCCGGGGGCGGGGCTTCCGGCGCGCTGCCTTGTGGGCACGGTAGTTCCGCCGGGTCTGGCTTCCGCCTGCCGAGCGGCCCCGGACCGCAGGCCGGACTACACTTCCCGTCGGCCCGCCTGCTCTCCCGATGCCGCCTTGGCGCGAGACGTTGGCAAGCAGAGTGTCTCCAAGATGGCCGCTTGGGGAAGGAGGCGTCTTGGCCCGGGCAGCAGTGGCGGCAGCGCCCGAGAGAGGTGAGATCCAAGGGCTTGTTGCCCCCAGTGCAGGCGGCTCAGCGGCCGGAGAGCCCAGCGCGGCCTCCGAGGGCTGCAGCAGCCTTCCTTCCCTGGTTTCCCCGCGCTCCCCCTACCCTCGCCGGGCATACTGGGTTCCAGTTCCGGAGGATCCGGGATCCGGGTGGGAGCGAGGTCGAAGGCCTCGGCGGAGAGCTTAGGGGAAGGGGCGTTAGCCGGGCTGAGTAAGGTAGGCAGCGGCCATGCGGGGCGGGGCCCGAGGCCGGGCCGTGCTGAAAGGAACTGGCGCCCAGCGCAGGCCTCAGGGACCCGCCTAGCTGCCCGCGGGCCGATCGGCTGCTGAAGCACCCTTCCCGCCTGGGCACGCGCGTGGCCATCTCGGCCGCGGCCCCAGACGTGTAGAGGAAGGCAGGGCCCCCGGAGAGAGAAAGAAGGGGAAGCCTTCACAGAGCAGGCCGGCCGCGGCAGGGGTAGTTTGATCTGCACGTTTACTAGGGAGCTTTAGCTCCCGCCAGATGTGTCTCTTCCGAGCCCAGAGCCGGCCACTTCCTCGAGGGAAGATTCTGAAGACTTTTGGATGGTTCTGTGCAAGCGCTCCTGCCGTAGAAGTCCTTTAAAGTGACCTTTCCTAATGAATGGTGTGTGGGCAGGGAGCTAGGAGCGTGTTTCTTCCAACAGGGACCTCCATTTGAATAACTGATTTCTAGAAGATGAGATTGGAGTAGTTTCCGTGTTTCATGTTCAAGTTGCAGTTTTTGCATCTGGGAAGCAGTTTCAGCTAGTGGAAACCACTAGAAGCTGTTCAGCCACTAGAAATTTGGGAGAAGATGTATTGGTGGAGCCACCTGGATTAACTGTCCGCTAAAGCTTGATTGTTATAGCAGCGGTCAGCAAAAAAGGAAAAGTTTTTGTTTTGCTGGTTCTCCCCCTCCCCGTCTTTTTGGTGAGGATTGTCTAACAGAAAAGTTATCTTCCTCTCAACTACTCTGCATTATTCCTTTTCTGTGACTGATTCCATCCCGTGTTCATTGCTATTGCTTGCAGATGGCTTTCCCAGCTGGGAAGATTCTTCCTGTTTGGCAGTTGTGATAGAATCCTTTAGCTTGCTTGCACTTTATTCTTTAGCCCAGTTATCCAGCGTTGCCCATTCTGCATTTCCTCTTCCTTGGAAAAGCAGTGGTAAACACACTTTTGTTTTTCTAACTCCCGCCTGGTATTAGATTGGACCATTTAAATAAGTTACCTCAATGGTTTTCAGATGCTCTTAAAAACTAGCAAACATTTTCAAGATATTCAATGCAAACAGTAATACGAAATAACCTGTTTAGAAAACAAAGTATTAGAAACATACGCCCTCTTGTTGGACTAAAAGCATCTGAAAAGAGCCGAATAGGGATGCCTCAGGCAGGGAACAGGAGCCTTGCCAGCACAGGTTAAGCTTTTATTGATCTAAGAAAATAGATGCTGAGAATTGTTTTTGTTTTGGCTTGAGACAACTGTTTATTCAAAATGGATCTGCAAATTAGCAGTGCATAGGCTGGATCCAGTCCTTGACTGTTGAACCTCAACAGTTTTTAAGAGAATTTAAATTAGTTGCCAGCAGATTTCATATAAAACGCTCCCTGAAAAGCTGGGTAGTGGCTGACTCTTTTTGGTCGGGACAAGTGCTTGGTTCCAGTTCTTGGTTCCTCACCTGACAGCTTGACTCAAATCACCTGACAGCTTGACTCAAATCACCTGTCAGCTTGACTCAATGCATTTGCCTGCTTGGTCTCTGTAGGTGTTCAGGTTGCACCTTTGGCCTGGAACTGAAGGCTCTACTCACACACGCAGATGTTGTGTGTCAGCAGGAATGTGGCATTTGGTTTTGTAGTTTGGATGTCACCATCTACTCTCCTAGATAACGTGGTATGGGTGGAGACTACCTGTCTGTTTGCTCTTGCTGTAAACCCCTAGCCAGGTTCTGTTGGAAGAGTCATTTCCCCGAGCCCAGCTTCCCTAAGCTCTTCCCATGCTGAGCAGGGGATGGAAACATAACCCGCTGTGGGGCTAGCGAGCTGACTTCTGGGCATCCCTCCATTCCTGCTCAGTTGGTGATGACTGTTCAGGTGGGGCAGGGCGGATTAGCTGATGGCCCAGCACTCTAGATTATGAGATCTGAGTGTATTATTGGCTCTTATGACTGAAGTAGGCTGTTTATGGCTCTCTAAAATGACTTTGTTCCATGTCACATTCGTGCTGACTCAAATCTCAGCTCCATGTTATACGAGTGCTCTCTCCCGTTGCTGCTCACACCTGGTTAGCATCTGCTTTTGCTGAAGCTGAGGGAAACATTATCTGGTTTGGGGAAGGGGCTAGAACAGAGTGACACTTTGGGCACACTTGCCAGATTTGCCAGCGGCTACCAACTCTGAAGCATGCATTGTACTTAAAGGTCCCACCCAGTGCCAGACTGCCTGCAGTATTACTGCCGGCGCTGTGTGTTGGATGGTCCAGTTTAGCACGTGTAGCGTGTGGGTTCTTGCTTTACCTTGTTGAGTCTAGAACCACAGCTCTAGAATTAGTGCTGAATTAACACAGCAGTTCAGTAGTCACCAGCTACATGTGGCAATTACATTTAAATTCATTAAAATTAAGTAAAATGAAGAATTCAGCTCCTCAGTCTCACTAGCCACATTTCAAGTGCTCAATAGCCACTTCCGGCCTGTGGCTACCATATTGGACAGCATAGGTGGAGGACATTTCCATCACTGCAGAAAGTTATGATATGGACAGTGCTGGTTTCGACTAAGATAGGAGGGGTGGAAATAGCAAAATGGTAGTGCTTGCATGTTGATTTTTCTCTCCACTCCATTAAATCTAGGGAACCAACAGTGTTTGTAATGAAGAACATCAGACTCTGAGCTGTAACCTGAATTCTTGTCCAAAATTCAGCACACTGGCAACGAGCACATCAAACAGATTGCCACTTGTCCTGTCGGCGTCTTTGAGACACACTTGCCCATCTAGGAAAGCACAGTGCAGGTATCTGTGTTCTGCCACCGTGTGCCAGCCCGGACCAGCTCACAGACAGCCCTGCCTGTCTTACTTGGGCTGCTCGGCTTCACTGTCTCAGGGCCCCTGAACCTCCCAGAGCCCTCCGTGATTGTTGGAATGTGAGTATAGCTGTGTGCTCTTGAGTTCCTGTTTTTATAATCACGTGAAGATGTACTTGATCTGCTTCTGAGCATGATATGAGGCAACCTGGGGTGTGCAGAGGGCCAGATGCACGGGGCTAAAAGTTCAGGTTTAGCGCGAAGTTATTTGTTGTGGCCTGCCCCTCCCCTGGCTTGCGCGGCCATCTGCTCCAGCGTTTTATAGGCAGCCAGTTCCCTGGGCTGACTTTCATGGCTTTCCTTGCCATGCTTTATTCCCCAGGACCTGTCCTCTTCTTTGTGAACTCAGGTGTGCCTGGTCCCAGGTGGCCCTTACACGTTCATCCAGTGAGCAGATGGAGCACAGGCCCCGGGGGCAGGTTGGGTCATGGTCCCGGGGTGACAGCTTCCCTTTCTGATCTGATCCTTCCCTTTTAGACTCTCAGGCTTTGGGAGTATTTAATCTCTCTTGAAAGACTCCATGCTTGCTTTTGTGTGTGGCGGGAGTTTTTGTTTCCTTCTGGCTGGGATGAGATGAGCAGATACGGGATCTGCACCCAAGTGTGTGGGGGTTTAGCCACTGGTTGTGGGATTCTGCTCAGCTCTTTAACAAAGGCAAAGCCACATGTTCTGGCCGCAGAAGTTGGATTCGTAGGTAAGGATGGGGTTCATCCTCTTCAGTATTGATGTGCCTTCAAGTTTTCAAGAATTTCTGTTTTCCTTGGTTCACTCAAGCAGCCTGGATTCCAAGTGCATTAATTTGTGTCTCAGTGGTTCAGTCCTTTAGGTCATGTTCCAGGGAAGGCTCCCCTTTCTGAAGAGGGGAGGGCTGCGCCTGGGTCCACGGAGGTGGGGAGGTGGCTCCTCTGCCCCGGCTTGTCGGTGTGCACCTGTTCTTCAATGAGCGAGGTGCGGGGGGTGGAGTTGGGCAGCACTCCATGACCGAGCACACCCGGGAACCTCCTGACTGCCACGGTGTTCCGCCCTGGTGCCAGCAGCCACTTTATGGGCACAGTTCTCAGGAAAAGCTGACAGCCATGTAGTAGTCATAACAGTTCTTCAGAGCAGGGCTGTCCAGTAGGAGTTTCTGGCATGACAGACTCCTGGCGTGTCCCTGCAGTCCATTAGGGCAGCCATTAGCCACGTGTGGCTCTGAGGAACTGAGGTTTCATTTATTTATTTATTTTATGAGACAGGTCTGGCTCTGTCACCCAGGCTGGAGTGCAGTGGTATGATCTCGGATCTCTGCAACCTCCGTCTCCCTGGCTCAAACCATTCTCCCACCCCAGCCTCCCGAGTAGCTGGGACCACAGGCATGTACCACCACGCCCAGCTCATTTTTGTATTTTTTGTAGAGGCAGAGTTTTCACCATGTTGTCTAGGCTGGTCTTAAAATTTGTGGGCTCAAGGAATCCACCCGCCCTGGCCTCCCAAAGTGCTGGGATTACAGGCGTGAGCCACTGTGCCCGGCCAGGAACTGAATTTTTTAAGATGTCTAATTTTAATTAATTTAAATTTCAACAGCCACATGTGTCTTAGGCAGAGGGGCAGTGCTTGGCGACTGTTCCCATCTTCACTGCAGTCCTCTGGGAGAGCCAGGGCCTCTGGCCCCGTTTGACAACATGGGAAACTGGCTCAGAGGGGCCGGGTGTTTTGCCCTAGGACACAAAGCCAGTAGGCAGCCGAGAGGGAACTTGAATCCACCCTCTCGACTCCCACACTTGGTGCGCCGTGTTCCTGCTCCCCAGATAGAAGGGCTGCTGAGTTACCAGTGCGCAGAATAGGAAAGTGTCCTCTGAAGCAGACGAAAGGGCTGGGTGTCCTGTGAAAGTTCCTTGGCCTGTGGGAGCCGTCCTCAGGCCATGGGGCCGCATGCCCGTGCCTTTGAGTCTGGGGCACGGGCTTTCACTGCTTCAGTCCTCTGCTTTCTGTGGGTCCCAAAGAAGCAGGGCTTAATTAGGCAGAAGCGGGTGGAGGTCCAGCCCAGCACCTCCTGTATCATAGGTGATCAAGTGACCCTTTCACTAAGTGAAAAGCAGCCTGACGGATGGGTTGACTTTTCTGGTACCAGTTCTCTTAATAACCATAATTGTTTTTCTCCTCCTGTGACTCCTGTGGCTCATGTCTGTAATCATTACAAATGTCCCTCCAACCTGTGTCTTTTGGGAACCTGTTACATTCAGGCCCAGTGCTGGGGAAACTACGATGAAAATGCAGCCTCTGCCCTCATGGAGCTTCAGGCCTGCCTGTGAGCCCGGGCCCCACTCCAAGAAGGGGCCTAATGTGGATGCTTCCACTCAGATTTGCCTCTGCTGGGTCTCTCAGAACTGGGAAGGTGATTGGTGGCTGGCCTGGCAGCTTAGCCAGTGTTTGCTCAAGGGAAACGGAGCTGGAACTGCCCTCCTCTTTTTGGGCAGGACTACAGGTACACACCAGCATGACACCTCAGCCATGAGAAGCTGCCCGCGTCCAGACTTCTGCCTTTCATGGACACCGAGAAGGTTCTGGAGCAGGAAGTGAGCCACCTCCCGCTCTTCTTGGCAGTGGAAGGAGGCCCTCCCACGGGTATCTGGTCCCTTTACCTCAAGGGATATAGGGTTGAACAGAATTTTTCTTTTTAAGAATAAGTTTATAATTATTTTTCCTGTTATAAAAGAAACACTTTGGCCGGGCGCAGTGGCTCATGCCTGTAATCCCAACACTTTGGGAGGCCGAGGTGGGCGGATCACGAGGTCAGGAGATTGAGACCATCCTCGCTAACACAGTGAAACCCCGTCTCTACTAAAAATACAAAAAATTAGCCGGGCGTGGTGGCGATTGCCTGTAGTCCCAGCTACTCTGGAGGCTGAGGCAGGAGAATGGCGTGAACCCAGGAGGCGGAGCTTGCAGTGAGCCAAGATCACGCCACTGCACTTGAGCCTGGGCGACAGAGCGAGACTCCGTCTCAAAAAAAAAAAAAAGAAACACTTTTTTTTAAAAAATATAGAAAAGCATGAAGAAATTGACAAGTCACCTATTAGGCCACCATCCAAAGAAAACCACTGTTGATCTATTTTCTTGTTTCTTTTGAGACAATGTCTCGCTCTTGTCCCCCTGGCTGGAGTGCAGTGGTGTGATCTTGGCTCACTGCAACCTCTACCTCCTAGGTTCAAGCGATTCTCCTGCCTCAGCCTCCTGAGTAGCTGGGATTACAGGCGCCTGTCACCACACCTGGCTAATTTTTGTATTTTTAGTAGAGACGGGGTTTCACCATGTTGGCCAGGCTGGTCTGAAACTCCTGACCTTAGGTAATCCGCCCGCCTCGGCCTCCCAAAGTGCTGGGATTACAGGCGTGAGCCACCGCGCCTAGCCTGATCTATTTTCATGTATAGCACCTTTGATACTTTGTCTTATATATCTTGCCTTAGGGGTTTTTAAAATTATATTATTGAGACGGACTCTCACTTTGTCACCCAGGCTGGAATGCAGTGGTGCAGTCTCGGTTTACTGCAGCTTCTGCCTCCGGGGTTCAAGCGATTCTCCTGCCTCAGTCTCAAGTAGCTGGGACCACAGGCATGCACCACCACGCCCAGCTAATTTTTGTATTTTTAGTAGGGACACAGTTTCACCACATTGGCCAGCCTGGTCTTGAAGTCCTGACCTCAGGTGATCTGCCCACCTCAGCCTCCCAAAGTGCTGGGATTACAGGCGTGAGCCACCATGCCCAGCCTTATCTTAGATTTTTTAAAGTTATATGTTAAACACATCAAAAGTTATGTTTACAATATGTGAAAAGTAATAAACATGCCACAGCATGATGGCCCTTAAAAACATAATGCAAAATGAAAGAAGCCAGTTGTTGAAGACCACGTTACAGGATTCCATTTAAATGAAATACCCAGAATTGGCATATCCAGAGAGTTGGGAAGCCGACTGGTGGTTGTGGAGGGCTGGGGAGATGTGAAGGGACCACTAATTGGTACAGGGTTTCTTTCTGAGATGATGAAAATGCACCAGGATCAGTTGTGCTATTGGTTGCACAACTTTGGGAAAGCCACTTCATCGTTCACCTCCGATGGGGGAGTTGCTCTGTGAATTCTATCTCAGTAAAGCTGTGAATTCTATCTCAGTAAAGCTGCCATTAAAAAATACAAATCAGGCCAGGCATGGTGGCTCATGCCTGTAATTCCAGCATTTTGGGATCACCTGAGATCAGGAGTTCGAGACTAGCCTGGCCAACATAGAGAAACTCTGTCTCTACTAAAAATACAAAGTTAGCTGGGCGTTGTGGCACGTGCCTGTAATCCCAGCTGCTTGGGAGGCTGAGGCAAGAGAATTGCTTGAACCCAGGAGGTGGAGGTTGCAGTGCTCCGAGATTGTGCCACTGCACTGCAGTCTGGGTGACAAGAGTGAAACTCCGTCTCCACAAAATAAATAAACAAATAAAAATAAAGAAAATGAGACCAGGTACAATGGCTCTTACTTGTAATCCCAGTGCTTTGGGAAGCTGAGGCTGGCAGATCACTTAGGAGTTCGAGACCAGCCTGGCCACCATGGTGAAAACCCTGTCTCTACTAAAAATACAAAAATTAGCTGGGCGTGGCAGCACATGTCTGTAGTCCTAGCTATTTGGGAGGCTGAGGCAGGAGACTCGCTTAAGCCCGGGAGGCGGAGGTTGCAGTGAGTCGAGATAGCGCCATTGCGCTCCAGCCTGGGCAATGGAGCGAGACTGCCTCAAAAGAAAAGAAAACGGAAAATAACAAGTGTTGGTGAGGATATGGAGAAATGGGAACCCCTGTGCGCTGCTGGTGGGAATGTACAATGGTGCAGCTGCTCTGGAAAACAGTATAGAGATTCCTCAAAAAAACTAAAAAATTGAACTGCTATATGATCCAGCAGTTCCACTTCTGGGTATATATACCCCCCCCCCAAAAAAAGCAGGGACTCAAAGAGATGTTTGTGCACCCATGTTCATAGCAGCATTATTCACAATAGCCAGTGGTGGAAACCGAAGTGTCCATCACAGATGAATGGATTAACAAAATGTGGTTTATGCATACGGTGGAACATTACTGAGCCTTAAAAAGGAAGAAAATTCGGATACATGCTACAATATGGATGAACCTTGAAGACTCGTTATGCTCTGTGGAATAAGCCAGACACAAAAGGGCATATACTATATATGATCCAACTTGTATGAAGTACTTGTATAGTCAGATTCATTGGGGTAGAAAGTAGAATGGTAGTTTGCAGGGGCTTGGGGTTGGTGGGGAATGGGGGGATCATTTCATGGGTAGAGTTTCAGTTTGGGAAGGTAAAGGAATCCTGGAGGTGGATGGTGGTGATGGTTGGTACATCAGTGTGCATGTGCTTAGTGCCTCTGAACTGTACACTTAAAAGTGCTTACGGTGGTATATTTTACGTGTATTTTACCACACTTTAAAAAAGGCAAAGTGATAGTTGTGTGGGCTCCCCACCCAGCGCGATAGAGAACTAGCGTTACCCTGGCCTGCCTCCTCCTGCAGCGGAGACCCTGTGCCCCAAGTGCACCACAGCACCCTTGCTGTCCTTATAGTTGGCTTTCAGTGGCACGTCCCTGAGCTCTGCCGCCTTAGAATGTGTGAGAGTTGTATCCCTGGCTCAGGCCACTGGAACTGATTCATGTCACTAATGGAGGAGGTGCGATTCTGCTCTCCCCGCTCCTGTCATCTTTTGCTCTCACCGAACAGTTCTGCTCTGAACCTTCTTGTGCGGCTCTTGCCTTTTGGGGAGACGCCTCCAGACTGTGGCTGCTGGGACAGGCACAGGCTGCCCACATCCCAGAGGGGCCGTGGAGTTGCCCTGCTGAGTTTTCACTGTGGCCGCCTTTTAACTGGAATGCTAGTGTTGCCAGGGGATTCCTTTGCTGACTGCGAGAGCTGATTGAGTTGGGCTCAAAAGTGGAGAGATGAGGGCCTGAAGGCTGACTCTGGTTGAAGGCTGAGGGAGGAAGTTCAAGATGCCCACTTTATGAGTGCCTGCAAGCTATCCTGAGGCGGCAGAGAGCGGTCCCATTCAGTGTCTGCAGCAGTCCCCCTGAGGTGCTGGAACGGGCTGACCCCTGCTCCCAGCACTAAAGGCTCAGAGAATCCAAAGCTTCCTCAGTGCTGGCATGATGTGTTTAGGATCATGACACTGATCCTTTTACTTTTCTTCTTCCATATGTTAAGACCCACTTCCGACAGTGATCTTTAAGTACCAGAGATCATGCCAGATTCAAAAGGATCAAAAGTCATTTACTAGAAAGAGCCTCCCTTCCTTTTCTTTCCTGAGCCCCTCAGTTCCCTCCCTAGTGACCAGTCATAAAAATCAGGTCTTTGTGTATCCTTTCAGAAGTGTTCTGTGCATATAAAAGCAAATAGAGACTTTTAAAAATACACTACGTATAGCATACTGTAAACACTCTTCTGAACCCTGCCTTTTCCCCTGAACTTGCTTTCAGTTGGAGACTTTGCTGTTACTGCTGCTACCTTTTTCTCTTTTTTTTTTTTTTTTTTTTTTTTATTGAGACGGAGTTTTACTTGTTGCCCACGCTGGAGTGCAATGGCATGATCTCAGCTCACTGCAACCTCCGCCTCCTGCGTTCAAGCAATTCTTCTGCCTCAGGCTCCCAAGTAGCTGGGATTACAGGCACGTGCCACCAAACCCAGCTAATTTTTGTATTTGTAGCAGAGACAGGGTTTCACCGTGTTAGCCAGGCTGGTCTCGAACTCCTGATCTCAGGTGATCCGCCTGCCTTGGCCTCCCAAAGTGCTGGGATTACAGGCATGAGCCACTGCACCTGGCCACTTTTTCTTTCTTTTTTTTTTTTTTTTTAAACATAGACTCTATTAATTGCTCTCTTACTGGTCATTTCACACCTGCAATGAAAAGCAAAAATACAGTCCCTTAGGAAGCCCAGGGCTCAAAAGATTCCAACTAGCTCTTACTTAAAAAAAAAAAAAAAAGTCCATATAATTTAAAAAAAAAAAAAAAAAGGAAAAAAAAAGATCTCCCATGCACCAGGGTTCAGATCACCCAGTTCCTAAAGCCCATGGCCTTACCAGTTAGGGGGCAGCTGGTGATGCTCTGCAGTGGTTTGAGATAACCTTCTGACTGGGTTCTTTCCTTCATTAGGTTTTGTTTGACCCACAAGCAGAAGCAAGCCATATACGGGTGGCTGCTGGGTGGTCAGGAGCTGGCTGGACGTGGCTGTCTCCTGGGAGTACTTGGCAGTTTCTTTTTTCTTTTTTTTTCTTTTTTTTCTTTCTGTCATTCAGGCTGGAGTGCAGTGGCACAATCTTGGCTCACTGCAACCTCTGCCTCCCAGGTTCAAGTGATTCTTGTGCCTCAGCCTGCTGAGTAGCTGTAATTACAGGTGTGCAGCACCGCGCCTGGCTAATTTTTGGTAAAGACGGTTTCACCTTGTTGGCCAGGCTGGTCTCGAACTCCTGACATCAAGTGATCTGCACACCTTTGCCTCCCAAAGTGCTGGGATTACAGGCGTGAGCCACCGCACCTGGTCATGGCCACGAATTTCTGAAGTAAGAGAAGTGCAGCAGTCCCTGTCAGCAGTGCAGACCTGAACCCAAGGGCCCAGCAGTGGCAGCTAAAAAACCTGTGTCTGCACTGACAGCACCCCACTCCCACCAGTGTACCAGGAAGTTGGAGTGCTGACTGCCTGGTCGTGGCCGGGTGAGCTCCAACGGAGGGATCCTGCGGCTTTGGGTGCGTCTGTGTGTGTTTTGGTTTGAACCTTACCGTCTCCATATAGGGTCTGTTGCCTTATAGAATCCTAGAAATCCACTTCCCTAGACTTCACGTGTTGTCCTTTCCCAGTGGAAACCGAGATTCCCTTTGCCTAACTGGCTTTAAAAGCAGAATTGGTGAGCCTCTGGCCTCAGCGCCGTTGTGCAGGACCCTGCCTTTGTTTGAAGGCAGTGTGGCTTATGTCCTTTGTGTTTCTGCTGTGGATAGGTGTCTTAGACAGTGGGCAGCAACAGTGCCCAGCCCATATGAAGACGCCGAGGCTGCAGGAGGCCGGGGCCATGGTTTGACAGGCAGGTGGGGGCAGACCCACGCCACCATCTCAGGATGTGTGCTGGCGAGTGCCCCCATGTCCACGTGCTTGCTTATGGCTGTGTCATTCACAGGACTGCCCACAGCCGAGGGCAGAGGATGCCCAGTCTCCTCACTCCCTGTGCTGGGGGGCGGGCCACACCTGGCAACAGCAGTGAGGTGGGAGGGAGCCTGGAGGGCCTTGGCTTCTCGCTGCTTCCAGGCTGGTTGGGACTCGTGGACGCACCCACCCATCCGTCCCAGCAAGCGATGGAGCCTGCAGAGGGGTCTGGGTGGATGTGGGTGCCAGCTGGGCTTGCAGGGGGGCCGGAGGGGGTGAGGGGGTGGGATCTGCCCACTGCTGTGTTTCCAGATGGGGCAGTCGGTTCCAGGACCGGGGTTTCCACTGGAATTTCCTCTGTGGGACCAACAGTGGTTTTCACTACATTCAGGATGGCGCTGGCCTGCTGGGCAGAGAAAGGTACCGCACTAGGGTGGATTTGGGTGTTGGCGAGAACATTGTGTAACCCCAGCTTGACACCTCCCTTTTGCTTTGAGTGTTCCTGAGGGAGGAAGCCCGCCTCTGGTGCCCGCCCCAAGGTGTCCCTGGCCTGGCTTTGACAGTCAGTAGGATGCACAGCTGACTTGGAAGCAACTCCATTTCCGTCTCAAGATTGGGACACGATTTGGTCCTCCACCCCTACCTTGTTATCTGGCCTCTCTGCTCCTGTTGCCTGATGGACTTGAGACCAGAAGGGAGTTCTCTTGGCCAGGAGTGCTCCCACCTGAGAGTGGAGGCCCCGCCCCTCCCCGCACACCCAGGGCCACAGCCAGCCCATTGCGCCACCGCCACTCATTTCTCATCTGAGCACGTGGGGGCACTGCTCGGCCTTCAGCTTTCCAGCGCCAGTGAAGACCCTGCTTTGGGTGTGCTTGTTTGCTGTAGGTAGCTTCTAAAATGCTGCATCTGGCTGGATGCGGTAGCTCATGCCTGTTAATCCCAGGACTTTGGGAGGCCAAGGCGGGTGGAACACTTGAGCCCAGGAGTTCGAGACCAGCCTGGGCAACATGGCATAACCCCATCTGTACAACAAAATTTTTTTAATTAGCCAGGCAGCCAGGCGTGGTGGCACATACCTGTAGTCCCAGCTACTCGGGAGGCAGAGGTGGGAGGATCTCTTGAACCCGGGAGGTCGAGGCTGCCATCAGCAGAGATCACACCACTGCACTCCTGCCTGGGTGACAGAGCAGGAACCTGTCTCAAAAATAAAAACTGTTGAATCCTACCTGGAAGTAACAGCTGGCCTCTCCCTTACCTCTCCTCTAAGACCAAATGGAAAAACTCCACCGAGAACTTTAGAAGGAAAACCCTCCTTTCCCCATTTCATAAGCTGCTCGTGCAGTCTTACAGTAACAGCTCATCATTTCATCCCTGGCGAGGCAGCCGTGACACTGGCACAGTCACAGGTGGCTTGGCAGCAACCCATGTTTAGGAGGCTCTTGTCCCACCCTCAGGGCACTGATTTCTCCCCAGTGCATGCCGTTTAATTAGGGCCTATGATTGAATTAGGAGGCTTTGCCTTAGCCTGGCTTAGTTACAGTGACTTTTTCAGGATAAAGAGTTCCGTTTGCCCAAGTCCAAGCCAGTGCCTTTTATGAAAGTGGTTCCCACCCAGGGGCGGGGTTAGGGTCCCCATGCTTGGGGGCACAGTCAGCCCATTACCAATGACTTTCATCTTTAATGTGGCCACATGAGATCGTTAACTAGTTGTTTATCCAACCAGAATGCAACCCTGCCTGTTAGGTTTGCTTATTTGTTTGCTGAAAGCTTTGAGCTGGGAGGAGTCTCAGTAGTAGGAAGAACTACGATTGCCTGTTCTTTTTCCTTGAAGTTTCCCGACAGTCCGATTTCCACCATCCTTCACTTGGAATTGCTCCCATCTTTGAAGGAGGCTGGAGGGAGTTACCTTCATGCTGGGCTGAGGTTCTGGGGTGGCTTGTTATGAATGTCTTCACTCGTCACTCCCATATTACGGCCAATGGCCAGGTGGCTCAGCTCCCCATGACTCTCCTCTGCACCGCAGCCAGGTGTGCCTGCCAGGACAGGCTGGGCGGACGGGACCTTCGCGTCTGTGCACACTGAGGGCTGTGCTTCTCGTTAGCCATGAAAGGAAGCTAGTTCCTGTCAGGCACATTCGGAGCTTCAGGTACATGGGCCACATTGACCCTTGTGTTGCCTGGTACAGTGTTCCAGAGCCTCCCAGTTGGAAGGGCATGGACTCCAGCAGGGGAGCAGTGACCAGCAGGTCCCTGGAGCCTTGTGTCCTTTAGTCAGATGGGTCCGACCATCCTGGGGACCAGGGTGTGCTGAGGGAAGGGGCAGCTTTTCCCTGAGGCATGTGACAGAACATGGCTCTGTGCAGCCTTGGGAGCCATGAGTTGGAAAACTTGATCCAGCCTCAAGAGCTATGTCTAGCAGTGTCCCCGTCAAGGCCCAGATAAAGACTTCTTGCAGATGAGCAGATAACGGAAAACTAGGATGTGGGGTGACGGTGCGGAGATTCAGAGAGATCTGTCTCAGCTGAAACCAGCCAAGGAAAGATGACAAGGCATGGATAGCCCTGTCTTCAGGCCTGCCCGCCACAGGTGAAGAAGATTCTGCTTTGGGTGGGAAATTTGTACCGCAGAGGCCTGAAACCAAGAAAAGCAAGACTGCCTGAAATGCAGCTTGGCCCACGGTCACTGCTGGGGCTGCAGCCGGGCTGCCGTCTGGCCTTGCTGCAGAGCTGAGCGTTCCGTGTGGTGGATTACTCTCCTGCTGGTTGGGGTCATGACATGCATCCCCAGTCCCGGGGGGGAAAGCCCCTTGTGTGGTCTCCGTGGCAGTGTTTCTTATGCAAATGAGTGGCATTTGCCGGTGGTGCAGGGGCCTGGGCCTACAGGGCCAGAATTGGTGGCATTGCTGGGCTGGATGTTTTGAAGCCCCTCAGTTGACCCTCCTGCTTACTAAATTTGGAGCCCACTACTGTTCTTGAAGCGTTGTCTTTTCCTAATTCAAGGAAAGGGTCGCTTTTCCTATGCAGTGGGCTAGTGTCCTGGGTCTCCTCTTCTCCCCTCCGCAGCGGGGAGGAGCTGGGGGCTGCTGCCGGCCCAGGAAGGGCACCCAGGGCTTGTGCAGCCTGGCCTCCAGGAGAGCCAAAGGAGTTTGGATTTCATTCGCCCAAGGCAAAGCTCTTCCTTTCTGCCTCTGTTCTGCAGGCCCAGGATGACTACTTAGGAAACGTGCGGAGGGCAAGGGCTTAGCATTATCTGTCCTGAGGTCTGTGGTTTCCAGTGAAGAATCCTCTTGCAGTTGCCCTGATTAACTAAGAATGGCTTTCAGGCTGTTGGCCCTCTGCTGCCGTGTGTGCTCCTGTGATTCTGTGCCGAATCGTTCTTTCCCCTTTAGGCTCCTTTGCTGACTCAGATCAGTTGGTCCACAGCCTTAGGCTAACCACCAGGCCTGTGTTTGTCATGTTAAACGTCGAGGCACTGCTTTTCCTGCCTTTTTATATCTTTTTTTTTTTTTTTTTTCTGAGACTGAGTCTCGCCCTGTCACCCAGGCTGGAGTGCAATGGCACGATCTCGGCTCACTGCAAGCTCCGCCTCCCAGGTTCAAGTGATTCTCCTGCCTCAGCCTCCCGAGTAGATTACAGGGATTATAGGCATGCGCCACCACACCTGGCTAATTTTTTTTTGTATCTTTAGTAGAGACAGGGTTTCACCATGTTGGCCAGGCTGGTCTCTAACTCCTGACCTCATGATCCGCCCCCCCGGCCTCCCAAAGTGCTAGGATTACAGGTGTGAGCCACCACACCCAGCTTTATTTCACTATTTTCAGGAAAAATCCTTTTTACTGATTATCTTGTGTTGGGATTTAAAGGAGATGAGGACCCAAGTGAGATGTGCTCTCCGCAGTGCAGGCTCAGACCTCCCCCAGCGCTGAAACACAGTTAAGTGCTCCTCAGCCTAATCATCCTGTCTCTCTCTCTCTCTCCCTTTCCTGCCCCCTCCATCAAAAGGGTGAGCTTGTCGGCCACAGACTGCTACATTGTGCATGAGATCTACAATGGGGAGAATGCCCAAGACCAGTTTGAGTACGAGCTGGAGCAGGCCCTGGAAGCCCAGTACAAGTACATTGTGATTGAGCCCACTCGCATTGGCGACGAGACAGCCCGCTGGATCACCGTGGGCAACTGCCTGCACAAGACGGCCGTGCTGGCGGGCACCGCCTGCCTCTTCACCCCGTTGGCGCTGCCCTTAGATTATTCCCACTACATTTCCCTGCCCGCTGGTGTGCTGAGCCTGGCCTGCTGCACCCTCTATGGGATCTCCTGGCAGTTTGACCCTTGCTGCAAGTACCAAGTGGAGTACGACGCCTATAAACTGTCGCGCCTGCCTCTGCACACACTCACCTCCTCCACCCCGGTGGTGCTGGTCCGGAAGGACGACCTGCACAGAAAGAGACTGCACAACACGATAGCACTGGCCGCCCTGGTGTACTGTGTAAAGAAGATTTACGAACTCTATGCCGTATGATTTCAGTAGAACAGGGAGCGAAGCAAAACCACCCGGCCCACAAGAGACAACAGAGTATTCAGATCGCCACACTCTGTGAGGCAGCAGAGCCTGGGCAGGTGTTTGGCTTAGTATTTGTTATTTTTAAAAAATAACAGATCACGGGTGTACCCAGGGTTTTTCAGCTCATTACACTAAGATGTGGATTTCCATAACCCAAGAGGGGGGTCTGAGGCTGTGGAAGTCCGACTGGGCAGTGGAATGCTGATGGAGGCAGACGCTGCCGAGGGGGTGTGGACGTGCTTTGGGGGAGGTCTTTAAGTCTATTGTTTAACTGTACCATCCAGAGCCCACCAGAAGCTATTGATCATTAAAATTATGAGAATTTCAACTCCCGCTGTTCTCTCTTTCCATGACTGCCCGCAGCTGCTGCTGCACATCTGCTCTGGGTGGCGGCTTGCACATGGAAGGAGCAGGTGCCATGGTAGCCACCCTGCCCTGCTCCTAGCTGCGGCCCAGTGTTACCACTTACAGCGACGACAAGCCTAGATCCAAGGTAGTCCTGGGGCCAAACCCCGCCCAGGAGCAGTCTCCTGGCTCACCTTGGCCTCATCATTCCGAAGGCCATCACTGCCACCATGCTGTTCAGGAACATGGTAGGATAAGGTGACGAGGCTTGGAGGCCTTTGGGTGTCCACTTGAGTTCACGTGGGGAACTCTGGGCTCCAGGATCGCTCTTCAGAGATCTGAACACCTGTGTTTTCTTTGAAGCACCAAAACTCTTCCTACTGTGGACCATGAGTTTATTAACCCATTGCCCTAGGCTGACAGAAGAGCCCTCGGAGCAATCTTGGAAGCACCCCCTGGCCTCAGTGCTCGCTGTTCCACAGGAGCCAAGCCGGTGCTTCTCCCTCACACCAGAAGGTAGACTGTGTCACCTGCCACATTTCCTCTAAGGCAGGGGTGGCCAATCTTGACTTCCCTGTGCCACATTGGAAAAAGAATTGTCTTGGACCACACATAAAATACACTAACGACAGCTGATGAGCTAAAAAAAAAAAAAAATCACAAAAAAATAATGTTTCAAGAAAGTTTACAAATTTGTGTTGGGCCACATTCAAAGCCATCGTGGGCTGCATGAGGCCCATGGGCTGCTGATTGGTGATTGGACAAGCTTGCTCTAAGGCTTTGGGTAAATGGGAAATTCTCTCTTCCACAAAAAGGCTGGGGTGCCTGTCTTCACTTCTGCCTTCCTAAAGCCCCATTCATCCCTGAAGAGCCACATGGCACCTCCTTCTGAAGGCCAGTCTTTTGTTTTGTTTTGTTTTGTTTTTGAGACAGAGTCTTGCTGTCACCCAGGACGGAGTGCAGTGATGTGATCTCAGCTCACTGCAACCTCCACCTCCCGAGTACAAGTGATTCTCCTGCCTCAGCCCCGAGTAGCTGGGACTATAGCTGTGTGCTACCATACCTGGATACTTTTTGTATTTTTAGTATAGATGGGATTTCGCCTTGCTGGCCAGGCTGGTCTCTAACTCCTGGCCTCAAGTGATCTGCCCGGTTCGGCCTCCCAAAGTGTTGGGATTACAGGCGTGAGCTGCCGTGCCTGGCCAGGCCAATATTTAAGAGACAGCCAAAGTGGTTTCTCACCTAGTTTTAAAGTCCCCATCAGGAAGACCTGATGTCACAGAGTAATGAAAGGGTGCATGGGAAGGATTCACGAGGGGTGATTGGGCCATTTTTTGTAGGGGAGATTCACACCTCTTAAGGATTTTAAAAGGGACCCACGGCCCACAAAAAGTTTAAGAAACTTTGATTTAATTCCAAGAGATTTAGAAATAACTTATCACTCAGTTGAGTGCTGGGGGCATGACGGTGTTGGGTGTGCACCACTGTTTACGTGGCAGTCTCTGGGCACCTGGAATAATGGTAAAGAGGGAACTGCCTTAGCCACACAACTGATCCCGTAAAAACATGCCTCATCTCGACAGCAGTGTGAGTTGAAATGCAGCTGCCCATGACCCCTCAGGTGTCTGAGTGCTGGCATCTGAGCCTGCTGGGCAGGTTTTTGGTTTTTTTTTTTCTTAATAATGCCCAGGTTTGGAAAGGGAGCCCCATACCTGGCCTGGAAGTGCTCTGCCAACAAGTTAGATTTCATGGGGGAATTGACTAGAAGGCACAAGCTGGACAAGCCAGACAAGTCGAGGCAACCTCAAGTCAGCTGAGCAGGAGCCCTCCCCCGAGGTAGAATCCAGCTGCAAATGGGTAGCTCTTCTACCATTTCCCAAGCTGCACTGAACCAAGTGATTCTTATTGGATGTATTAACCTAGATTCTGAAATGCCATCTTAGTTACATGGCCCCTGGCCAGGGAGATGGGGATGAGGTGCTGGTGTGGACTGCAGGCAGGGGTTTCGTGTGCCTGAGGCTGGCAGCAAGAAATGTGCCTCCCTTCCCACTGTCAGTGCTGACTTCTCTGTTCCTGCCATTGTCCTTGCTAGATGATCAGTCATGGCAGAGCTGCTGACAAGTTGCTTATGGTCATCTGTGATATGCGACAGTACTTCTCAAGAAATAGCATTTGAAGGCTGAGTGCAGTAGCTCATGCCTGTAATCCCAGCACGTTGGGAGGCTGAGGCAGGAGGACCATTAAACACTTGAGTCCAAGAGTTGAAGACCAGTCTGGGCAACATAACAAGACCTGTCTCTACAAAAAAAGACAAAAATTAGCCAGATGTGGTGGTACGCAAATGTGGTCTCAGCTACTCAGGAGTCTGAGGAGGGAGGATCATTCAAGCCTGAGAGGTTGAGAATGCAGTGAGCTGTGATCTTACCACTGCACTTCAGCCTGGGCAACAGAGTGTGACCCTGTCTCCAAAAAATAATTTTTTTTTTTGAGATGGAGTCTCTCTGTTGCCCAGGCTGCAGTGCAATGGCGCGATCTCGGCTCACTGCAGCTTCCGCCTCCCAGGTTCAAGCAATTCTCCTGCCTCAGCCTCCCGAGTAGCTGAGATTACAGGTGCCCGTCACCACGTAGAGATGGGGTTTTGCCATGCTGGCTAGGCTGGTATTGAACTCCCGGCCTCAGCCACCTGCCTCGGCCTCCCAAAGTGCTGGGATTACAGGCGTGAGCTGCCGCGCCTGGCCAATTTTTTTTTCTTTTTTTTAAACAGCATTCGGTAACTGCCAAGAAAAAGCAAAGACCAAGTTACCAGGGCCCTCCTGTGCAAAATCCACTTAAATGAGTCCTACATGGACCACTTTAGGGAATAGATTGTGTCATTAATCTAGTAAATTAGTTTTAGCTACCCATCCCCACCCAATTTCAGAGAAGAGCGAAGAGCTGTTATGTAAAAGGACAACTGATCAAACTGGATCTCCCCGTTCCAGTCTGTCAGCTGCCTCCAGAGTTTTCACATCTGGTGCAGCAGCTGCTGGGCCCTGAGGGAAGGAAGGGAGACTTGCTGGGAGGTGGGCAGGGTGCCCAGGGCTGTACACTATTTTCTTCGATTCACTAATCGGCTGTGGCCCCTCTACACTGCATGGAGATGCTGCTGTTTGGAAAAGCTAATTGGTTTTATTTTTCCGTCTCTGGTTTTGGCATGATGTGAAACACCAAGGGGCTTAAAGAGCAAAGTGGAAAGTGTCTTTGAACTTCATCAGATACCTGAAGGCAGAACCAAATAAAAATCGTGCTTTTTAGACCTCCCCAGCAGAATTTAAGGATGAAAGAGAAAGGGGCAAAAACCCTCTAAAGACAGAAAAGAGAAAGTGGAATGGCAGCATCGCTAACCCTGCTGGCAAACGTCCATATTCAAACACTGGTTTGAAAATCCAAGAGCAATGAAGGTTGCTCAAAGGCCATCAGCTGAACCGGGCTGTGGCTGGGCTTCTTGCTTTGGAGCAATGCACGTGGGGCTCACCCACAGGAAGTCACTTCAGCTGCTACGTTGGGACAATTCTAAAGGCTAAGTCTCACATTATCCAAACCATTGCTGTCTCCAGGAAGGGACACTGAACTCCAGCGACCCAAGACAACTGTAGGAGCAACACGGACATGAAAGAGCACAGCTGCAGGCCCTTTTAGTCCTCAGCCTCTGAGGCCAAGAAGAGCGTCTGTCTGGTGTTGGTGTGACTTTAACAGGTCCCCTCTGGGACTTGCCAACCTCCTCCTCAAGAACAGTGGGCCTCAGACTCTGCCTTTGGCAAACAGCTTTATTTAGCTAGATTTTAATAATTCTTCAGTTTGTGTTAGTTTCTATTTATATGGCAAAATTATAAAGTTTATAAAGTTAAGTTTTAGAAAGTGATTTGAGGTTTTTAGAATGTTGGGTAAGTAAACAACCAATAATATTGACATCTGGCTGGTCTAGCACGTCAATATCCAGTTGCTAACCACTTTAATTGGGAGGAAATAAACTTTAGAAATGAACTTGACCTACTCAGTAAGCCTCAACCATGTATTTTTAATAAATTAGAAAGGTGGTAGCCAGGCATGGTGGCACACACCTGTACCAGCTACTCGGGAGACTGAGGCAGGAGAATCACTTGAAGGTGAATCACAGGAGGTGGCAGTTGCAGTGAGCTGAGATCACGCCATTGCACTCCAGCCTGGGTGACAAGAGCGAAACTCCCATCTCAAAAAAGAGGCCAGGTGCGGTGGCTCACGCCTGTAATCCCAGCACTTTGGGAGGCTGAGGCAGGCGGATCACGAGGTCAGGAGATCAAGGCTATCCTGGCTAACATGGTGAAACCGCATCTCTACTAAAAATACAAAAAATTAGCTGGGCGTGGTGGCGGGCGCCTGTAGGAGGCTGAGGCGAGAGAATGGCATGAACCCGGGAGGCGGAGCTTGTATTGAGCAGAGATCATGCCACTGCACTCTAGCTGGGCAAGAGAGCGAGACTCTGTCTCAAAAAAAATGAAAAAGAAAGAGAGGCTGGGCACGGTGGTTCACACCTGTAATCCCAGCATTTTGGGAGGCCAAGGCCGTCTCAAAAAAAAAAAACAAAAAAGAAAAAAAAACGTGAAAGCAGGTGTTTGTTCTGGCTGCCATCCAACCAATTACAGCTTACAGGTGGTATGTAGGTTAAGCACTCTTTAATGCTAGCCCAAGCTCCATGCACCCCAGCTGTGAGTCAGAACACAACGGCCCCAAAACCAAAAACCTCAGCAACATATGTGATGTTCCCATCTTCTGATGACGGAGTACACAGTTGGTAAACCTGCATTCCTTTGAGGGCAGCCTATCACATCAACCTCCAGTTGCTAACCATGTTATATAATGGAGAGGAAAGGACAGCACCTGGACACCAGGTGTCTCTGAGTGTGGCAGCCAACAGCATCCAAGGAGAAATGTCCTCTCATTTCCATCTAAAGGGAGAGCGCCCTTCATTGCTGCCATTTCCTGGAAACCTGCTGTGTGCTCGGCACTTTCATTCAACCTTAGACTCGGGCTGAGCTTTAGACAGGTGCTGCTGCTGTCTCAGTTCCAGCTCTTGCCTGGGTCTACTGTCTCCAGTGTGAACACTAAGGAGACCCTTCTCTTCCATGTCAGGAGGGAGGTTGACAATTTACCTGGAAAATGAAGAACGACCCATCACATCTGTGTCCACATTTTACCCAGAGGCTCCTGGAACGTCCAGGAAGTGTTAGGAGCTGGGACAAGTCACCAGATCTAATCACCCATTTGTCCTCCTACCAACCAGGAAACCTGAAACCCTCTGACACCCTAACCAAAGACTGGCTGTGGCCATTTTTATCATCTGTCTAGGGCAGCTGTTTAAAATACAAGCTCAGGCCAGGCACGGTGGCTCACACCTGTAATCCCAGCGCTTTGGGAGGCCGAGACAGGCAGATCACGAGGTCAAGAGATTGAGACCAGCCTGGCCAACACGGTGAAACCCCCATCTCTACTAAAAATACAAAAAATAGCTGGGTGTGGTGGCGCGTGCCTGTAGTCCCACCTACTCGGGAGGCCGAGGCAGGAGAATTGCTTGAACCCGGGAGGCAGAGGTTGCAGTGAGCCGAGATTGTGCCACTGCACTCCAGCCTGGGTGACACAGCGAGACTCCGTCTCAAAAAAAATAAATAAATAAAATTTAAAAAAATAACATGTTGCTGACCATGTTATATAATGGTCATAAAATATAGGCTCAACGACGCCAGAGTTGGGATGTGGTGCAAGATGTCGGTATGATGTGCTAGGAGATTTGTAATCCAATTTGGGGAAGTCTACAGTGGACCTACATTTCAATTTTCAGTTTCAATAATAGGAAAAGTTTCCTCCTAAACACTAGAAATGAACTTGACCTATTCAGTGAGCCTCAACAATGTATTTTTAATAAATCAGAAAGGCAGAAACAGGCATTCTTTCTGGCTATGATCCAACTAGTTAGAGCTAACAAATGGCTCACTTCCACCAGACCAGGGGCTGCTGTAGAGTCTGCCCAGCTGGCCAATTTAATGGTTTCACTTCTAGAGGATGCACGGGGCCACGCAGGGTCCTCCTCTCCCTTTTGGCTGCTCTCTCTTTAGTAAGTTCACCTTCTGCTTGGAGTGGTGCCTGGCATCCTACAGGGATGTGGTGAGAGTTAAGAGAGAAACAGGAATTCCTATGAGGTGCTAAAGCAGGCATCCCTTGGGATACACCAAATAAGCCATTACATACTGGCCCACGTTTTAAGTTGGATGAGATATCATAGGGACCTGGAAATGGGCGTGACTGCTGACTTCTTGAAACTACAACTTTCTCCCCTCAGTACTGGAGGTGGTCTTTCTGCCACAACAATGAGGTTTAAGTCAAATACAGAAACAACTGGGTCAGGTGACATAACATCTGATTCCAAGATTGAAACTATTTCTAGGAGCTGGCAGGGCGAGAATTCAAAGGACACAAGGTTCTAGTCCTGGAAGACTACAACTCTTACTGTTTGAGATGTTTATTTCTAGTTTTTAGTGTTAAACCCCAGCTCCATATTTATTCCTTAAGTGTTTCCCCTCACCCTGGGAAGAAGCTTGTTGTCGTTTTTGATTGTCCTCTGCCAGCAGATCTGCACGAGATGTGTTTCTTCAGTCTTTCCCACTTGTGAGACAAATCTCCATTAAAGTCTCAACAAATGCAACTGTCCCTTGTAGAGTAAGCAAGCCTAAGAGTGCTGCTTCTCTGCCCTGGCCCTGGCTGGTCAGAGTACTAGGAGTTCTTGGATTTCCGCTCTTTTCTGGCCCTGGAGGCCATGAGGCTGAAGAAGAGCCCAGGAGCCAGAGTTCGAAGATAAACAGCCAAGGAAGGCAGTAAGTCAGCCAGGATCACATCTTTCTTCTTCTTCCCCACAGCAGCAAGAACATCCTGGGCCACCTCCACAGGGCTTCGGCCCTGGGCTGTGGTGGTGTCCATAACTAAAATAAATAAAACAAAAGAAACACATGAACTTGGAAGCAGAGGTCCCTCTTGAGGAGTGGAGCTGATGTGAGTCGTCAGGTCAGCCTGCTGCCTTTCCCACCATGAAGCTCTTCCCAGGGCCAGGAAGCCAGTGGTGTGCCACCATCCCTGATGATTCCATGCTCCAAGGAAAGAGGGAACCATTTTGCAGCTGGATGTGGGTCAGTGGGGGAAGCGAGAGGTGGGTGGGATGTGGAAACAAGGTAGACTGAGGATCCCAGTTAGGGCTTGGAACCAAAGTGAGTCTGTCTGCCTGGTGCTCCACAGCAAAGGCACAGGGCCAGCCCGGGGTGGGGGCTTCAGAGTGACCCCCTCACACCGCACCTGAAAAGCAGCTTCCTGACCTGGGAAACGTGTGCCTATTAGAACAACCAAAGACTAAGGGATGTTGTGCCACCTCATTTATCTTGGGTAGCTTGGCTTCAGGATGGCCAGACAGAGGTGGGTGGGGACTATTGACCCCCATATGCACAAGCTCACTGAGTCAGGAGCAGACAGATGTCCCTGTTCTCGATGTCAAGTATTAATTGGATGAGAAACAGGAAGAAGTCCTTAGTTTGTTTTAGGTGTTAGAAGGAACAGCTGGGAGAGATTAGGAGGCAGTGTTAGATTAACGGCAACTGATGTTCCTTCTACCCTAGTAATTTGACAATTTTGCCCGCAAAGTAGGACCAGCTGGCAGGCACACAGGAGCGGCCACTAGCACAGACCATGTGAAACCACTTTTTTTTTTTTTTTAAAGACAGGGTTTCGCTCTGTTGCCCAGGCTGGAGTGCAGTGGCACAATCATGGCTTACTGCAGCCTCGACCTCCTGGGCTCAAGCAATCCTCCTGCCTCAGCCTCCTGAGTAGCTAGACTACAGGTGGTGCCACCATGGTTGGCTAATTTTCGTATTTTTTGTGGAGGTTAGGTCTTGCACTATTGCCCAAACTGGTCTCAAACTCCTAGGCTGAAGTGATCCTCCTGACTTGACCTCCCAAAGTGCTGAGATTTCAGGTGTTGACCACAGTGCCTAGCCATATGAAACCACTCTTAAGTTGTCCAGATTGCCTGAGCTCCCTCACCAATGTCTGTTCTGTGTTTTTGTTAATGCAGAAAAGTAGGAAGTTTTGGATTACAGCTTATTTTTAAATGCCGCAGAGATAATTTTTTAAGTGGTATCTTCTAGGTATAAACAGGTGTAAAGCTGTATGAAGCCCCATGCCTCTGTATAGAGTCTACTGTGGGGAAAACAAGACTTGCTGTGTGAGAGAGCAGCTGCTGCCAGGACATGGGCAGTCTTGGTTCAGGCCTGGCTGGGCCGGGCGCAGGACCATGAGGCCCCTGGCAGACATCACAGCACAAACCCCAAGAGCTCACTTCAGGGAGGAGGACATGGCAGGACAGCACTGGAGGGGTGAGCAGGCCCTGTTCCAAGCATGGGGAGGCAGCACCAGCTCCAAGGGCTCCAGTGATCATGGGCACACTGGTCTCTGCTTGGCCTGAGCCTGCATGCTGGGGCCAGCTGCTCTGCCCGCGAGTGGTGACTGCAGGTCAGCTCTGCACTGTCTCCAAATGAGACAAGATGAAGGTGCTGAGACTGCTGCACTCGGCCTCATCCTGAAGACTGGCCCTGAATCAGTCATTTCTCAAGCCTATGGGACAGAGACAGACCATCAAACACCCTACACTTGCCATGAGGTCAATTCACTCAATCCCGATGCCGATAATACTCCTTGGACTCGGGATCTGCGAATGGGTTAGTTGGAAGTCTGTTGGCATTTCAGCTTGGCAACTTCCTTTTAGCCCTTGAGTCCTGCCCACAGAGGTCCTGTTCTGAATGCTGCAATGGTGACGTTCACACTAAGGGTAGGCCATGGTGGGGTAAAAGAAGATTATTCAATAGTCCATATCTAGAACCAACACCTCTGTCAAGTTTTTTTCACTTTAAAAGTTCTCTTCCAAATGAAAATGACCAAAGAATCACTGAAGTAAGAGCAGCATGTCTCACTGTGGCTGACCGACAGATTTTCATAGGAGAAAAGAGAAACCGGGCCTCACCTCCATACCTAGATCCATCCGCGGTGATGGCATTTACAGAGAGGTTGGTGTGGATGTAGCCGGGGCTGATGACGGTCACCTCAATTTCATACTGTTCCATCTCGGCACGCAGACAGTCAAAGAAAGCCTGGGTTGCGTGCTTGGAGGCTGCATCTACACATGTGGACGGAGAGGCAGGTGACTGAGTGCGCTGGGGTGGGCATGGCCTGGTGCCCAACTATTCACTACCATTCACGCTCTCTGTTTTGAAAACCTGGTTTTATTTGTGATCGTCTTGCTATGTTGCTTAGGCTGGACTCCAGCTCCTGAGCTCAAGTGATCCTCCTGCCTCAGCTGGGACTGCAAGCGTGGGCCACTGTGCCCAGCTTTAAAACCTGGTTTTATTATTTAAGATTACAGTATTATAACAATGTTCATTTCCTGACTTTGAGAAGTGTACTGTGCCCTTGTTCTTAGGAAACAAACTGAAATAGGAATAAATGAGCATCATGTCTCCAGTTTCCTTTCAAATGGTTCAGGAAAAAAATTATAAATTATATACACATATAGTTTTATATATATTATAAACGGTATATATGCATATACACAGAGAGAGAGAATAAGATAAAGGAAATAAGGTAAAAGGTTAACAGGGAATCTGCATGAAGGGTGCATGGGAGTAATTTGTGCTGTTCCTGCAACTTTAAGTCTGAAGTTATTCCAAGTTAAAAGTTAAGCTGGGCGCGGTGGCTCACACCTGTAATCCCAGCACTTTGGGAGGCCAAGGTGAGCGGATCACGAGGTCAGGAGATCGAGACCATCCTAGCTAACACGATGAAACCCCGTCTCTACTAAATATACAAAAAAAATTAGCCAGGCTTGGTGGCGGGTGCCTGTAGTCCCAGCTACACGGGAGGCTGAGGCAGGAGAATGGTGTGAACCCAGGAGGTGGAGCTTGCAGTGAGCGGAGATCGCGCCACTGCACTCCAGCCTGGGCGACAGAGCGAGACTCCATCTCAAAAATAAATAAATAAATAAATAAATAAATAAATAAAAGTTAAAAACAAAAAAAACTGAATGACTACTGGGTAAAACATTCAAATAGTACATTAAAGGACAGAAAGTACAAAAAAAGAAAGTCCTCCTGTCTTCCAAATTCCATTCCTAGAGATAATCAGTGCTAACAGTTTCCCAGAATTTTTGTTTAATTCTATTTTGGTTTTCTTTTTTTTCCTTTTTTTTTTTTTTTTTGAGACAGAGTCTCGCTCTGCCACCCAGGCGGGAGTGCTGGAGTGCAGTGGCACGATCTTGGCTCACTGCAAACTCCGCCTCCCGGGTTCACACCGTTCTTCTCCCTCAGCCTCCCGAGTAGCTGGGACTACAGGCACCCGCCACCACGCCCGGCTACTTTTTTGTATTTTTTAGTAGAGACGGGGTTTCACTATGTTAGCCAGGATGGTCTGGATCTACTGACCTCGTGATGCACCGACCTCAGCCTCCCAGAGTGCTGGGATTACAGGCGTGAGCCACCGCACCCGGCCTTCTGTTTTGTTTTTTTAGAGAAGGCATCTTCTCTGTTACCCAGGCTGGAGTAGAGCTATGATCATAGGATCATAGCTCCTTGCAGCCTCGACTTCCTGGCCTCAAGCAATCCTCCCACTTCACCCTCCCAAAGTGCTGGTGGGATTACAGGAGTAAGCAGCCATGCCCAGTGATTTTTTAAAAATATATTCTACGTATATTCATGTGATTTTACACATTTTATATATTTTATATATATATATATATATCTTTTAATACAGAAATGAACTCTTACCTATTCTACTGTTCCTGCAAGTAGCTTTCTTCACCTGGTGGCAGGTTGGACAGCTCCCATGCTGGCCCTGCAGACCTGCCATGTAGCTGTGGCTGCCTAGTCCTCCCCAGTGAGTTACCAAGTGACAGAATTGGCCCCATCAGTGGGCCTTCATGGGTGTAAAAAATCCAAACCTGCCTTCTTATGTCTCATTTTGACAAATGTCCAGGCAGTGGCTTTTCATCTAGAAGAGCTATAGAGCTTACTCCACCTGCAAGAAACAGAGCTGTGCCTGCTCTCGAGCAAGGGCTTCACAACCCGGTAAAAGGTGCTCTGAATGGGAACACAGTGACCCTATAATGACATTCCTGGGAAACACACCAGCGTCTCCACAGTAAATCAGTTTCCTCCAATTCAGAATTGTAAATGTTTTAGCCTTAGGAAAGAAGGGGCATCCGTCAGCTAAGGAAACAGGAAGACAGAAAGAAAGGAAGTGTCGCAGCAAGTCACATGAGGCAGTTCAGCAGTGTCTGAGCTTGCTGCAGTGCCTTGCTGGGCCTGCTCCATTGGTTTGGGGCACAGTTGCTGGGGGCTGGATGAGTTGGCTGTGGGTGGATGGAGAGGACTGCTCCTATCAGCCATGATTCCAAGAGTACAGCCCAGGCTTGGGGACAGGGAAGAGTGGGTTATCATGTAAGTCCCCAAAACAGAAGGCTACACTCTGACAGCTGGGTCTCCCCAGAGCTCTCAGGCTGTGAGTTCTCAGCCAGGCTGTGCTGACCTCGCCGCTGGCCACATCACTTACCCTGCCAGTGTGAGGCCCAGTACTAAGGACACTGTGGACCACGTGACTTGGTCTTTACTTTAGCAGTGTGACAGAGAAAATGCCGTTCTCCTCATTTTATAGGTGAGAAGGCCACTACTTATCTGAGTTAACCAACTTGCCCAAGAGGCACTCCATATTCAGCCTGGTCATTATAAAACTGAATACGGAGACCAACCATTGTATGCCTTACTGCAGTCAGCAGGCCAGACAACAAAAATCAGTGGTATTATTATAAATCAAAGTAAAACTTGAAAATAATTTAGTATAAAGAACTCCAGCTGGGCGCGGTGGCTCATGCCTGTAATCTCAACGCTTTGGGAGGCTGAGGTGGGCGGATCACTTGAGGTCAGGAGTTTGAGACCAGCCTGGCCAACATGGTGAAACCCTGTGTCTACTAAAAATACAAAAGTTAGCCAGGTGTGCTGGTACACGCCTATAATCTCAGCTACTCAGGAGGCTGAGGCAGAAGAATCGCTTGAACCCGGGAGGCGGAGGTTGTAGTGAGCCGAGATCGCACTACTGCACTCTAGCCTGGGCGAGAAGAGTGAAACTCTGTTTCCAAAAAAAAAAAACCTCTTTACCCTGATTTACCTATTATTAACATTTTAACTCATTTGCTTTATCATTGATGATTCTATATATAATTGTTTTTTCCTGAACCATTTGAGAAGCCTTAGATGGCTGTCCTATCCAAAGCTGAAAGAGAATATTAACAAACAGGGAAATCATGCATGTACAAGCATGTATGATGATTGTAAATCTCACTAATATGTAAGGAAACAGGATCAGAATAGTTAAGTAATGTGTCCAAGAAAATACAACCAGAACCAAAAGGTAGAGCTGGGATCCAGATCTTGGAAGAAAGAATAAACTGTGTTACACTCTCAGTTCACAGCTGGCCCTATAGTGTCATGGAACTGGATGTTTGGGGCTGCCCTTGCAAAGTGCTGCAGCAGCTCAGATTTCCCTGCCTTTGCTGACCAGGCTGTGGCTGGGTCTAGCCCTTGGGTGGCTGAGAGGAGATGAGGCTGGTATAGGCAGTATTTCCTTTCGGGAGATGATGCAAAGAAAGGACAGTTTGTGAAATTACCTTAAAACCCTTTTTATTGAAACCTTCCCATTTGAGTGCCCAGAGATATAAATATTTGAGAATGTTCTACACAGCACACTGCTGCTAATGGTCAAAGACTGAGGGGGAAAAAAAATCCTCAAGTGTCCAGGAAAATGGCTAAATCAATTATGTCACACTCATTCAATGGATTACTGTATTGAAAGGATGAGGTAAATCCATACATGCTGATGTAGAAAGATACATTAAGTGAGATTAACAAGCCACAAAGCAATATGAATAATGCCATTCCATTTTTGCATGTTTGAATTATACGTAGAAAAAACTGTGGAAGCATATGCCCCAAAGTGATGGCATGGTTATATCTGTGGGACAAGCTAAAAATCTTAACAGTAGGAGTGGCTAGCACATGCCTAGTGCTTAGTGTCTGGGGCAGCTCCAAGCACAGCGCTCACAGCAGTCCTCCGGGCTAAGACTGAGGCTGTCTCCATTTACACTTGAGGGCAGGGCACAGAGAAGTGGGGATACTTGCCCAAGGTCACACAGGGGACAGAAAGTAGAGCTGGGATTTGATCCCAGGCATGTGGCTCTGGAGAACACATTCTCAAGTGCCTTTGCATTCTGGATAGTTTATTTCTACAATGTCTAAATTCTAGATAGTAAATGTGTTATTTTTATAATCAGGAAAAAACAATAAAGCCAAGCATTTTGTGGGAGAGAGAAGTACTCACATGCTGATCGAAAAGGAATGCTCATCTTGCCCTGGATGCTGCTGATGGCGACAATGTGGCCTTGCCTCCTCTTGATCATGGAGGGCAGGAGTGCTGAGGACAGATGCAGAGGCTTAGGCAAGCGCCCTACTTCCAGTCATTGCACCCGATGCTGATGGAAGGCGACCTTGCTTTTGATATTTAGTCAGAATGAGGGAGAATGGTGAAAACCCCTTAGGGTAGAGGACTATGTTGGAACTTCCAGCCTCCTATGCCCAGCAGAGTGCCAGCAGGCCAGCAGGAGAGAGGAGAGAGGCAAGGAAACAGGGACAGAGGTCACTGCAAATGGTTAGCTCAGTTCCCTTTTCCTGCTGGAGCCTCTCCCCTGGACTGAAATCCATGGTGGGACATAAAAATATCCCCACCTTGTAGGGGTTTGCAGGCACCATGAAAAAGACATGTAGGTAATGCTGCACAAATGTGGCTGTCACTAAAGAGAACATCTTGATTGGAAGCTATAAAGCAAATACCCAAACTGTAACAATAACACCTAACACCCACTCCAGGGCAACAGAGAGGATGGAGATGGGGAACGTTTAGCTGAAAAGGATCCAAGTGAAGTAAAAAGAATGCCAACATATCACTTATCACTGCTCTTTTCTCAAGACTGTTACCTTTCGTTAGAGCAACTGGGCCAAAGTAGTTTGTCTCCATGACCCTCTTGTCCACATCCACTGTGGTGTCCATGATGGTACCACGGTAGCTGATCCCAGCATTGTTGACAAGTATGTCGACATAGCCAAAGCACTGCAGGATCTCAGCTGCTGCTGCAACTATGGCCCCAGAGTCTGTGAGGTCGAAGGTCACCAAGTAAGGCTTGTGTGTCTGCACCTGGTCAAATACAACAGATACAAATTCACTTTCTGAGTGGCAGGCCATCTGAGCTATGTGTCCCACGGATCACTTAGCCTCAAAACAATAATGTAACTTTATATTTTAAGGAACTAGAAAAAGAATAGCAAACTAAACCCAAAACCAGCAGAGGAAGGAAACATTATAATAAAGATTAGAACAGAGATAAACAAACAGAATACAGAAAAACAATAAAAATCAATGAAGCCAAAAGTTGGTTCTTTGAAAAGATCAACAAAATTGAGAAAGCATTAACTAGAATGACAAGGAAAAAACAGAAGACACAAATAACTAAAATCAGAAATGAAAGTGGGACCACTGACTTTACAGAAATGATGAGATGATAAAAAAAATTATAAAGATTATAAAAATGATTATAAAAGAATACTATGAACAATTATTTGCCAACAAGTTAGAAAAACTAGAATAAATGGATACATTCCTTGAAAAACACAAATTACCTAAACTGACTCAAGAAGAAATAAAAAATCTCAGGAGACTTCTAACAGATAGAGATTGGATCAGTAATCAAAAACCTTCCAACAAAGAAAAGTCCTGGACCGGATGGCTTCACTGGTGAATTCTGCCAAACATTTAAAGGAGAATTAACACCAGTCCTTCCTGTACTCTTCTAGAAAACTGAAGAGGAGAAAACATTTCCTAATTCAGTCTGAGGCCAACATTACTTTGATACTAAAGCCAGATTAAAGATATCACAAGAAAATTATAGAGCAATATCTCTTATGAATATAGATGCAAAAATCTTCAACAAAATACCAGCGAATTGAATTTAACAGCGTATTAAAAGGATTATTCACCATGACCAAGTGGGATTTATCCTAGGAATGCAAGCAAAGTTGGTTCAACATAGGAAAATCAATCATGGCCAGGTACAGTGGCTCATGGCTGTAATCCCCAGCACTTTGGGAGGCTGAGGAGGGAGGCTTGCTTGAGCCCAGGAGTTCGAGGCCAGCCTGGGCAACATGGCGAGACCCTGTCTCTTTAAATTAAAAAAAAGAAAATTGGCCGGGGGCAGTGGCTCATGCCTATAATCCTAGCACTTTGGGAGGCCGAGGTGGGTGGATCACCTGAGGTCGGGAGTTCAAGACTAGCCTGACTAACATGGAGAAACCCCCGTCTCTACTAAAAATACAAAACTAGCTGGGCATGGAGGCGTATGCCTGTAATCCCAGCTACTCGGGAGGCTGAGGCAGCAGAATCCCTTGAACCTGGGAGGCGGAGGTTGTGGTGAGCCGAGATCGCACCATTGCACTCCAGCCTGGGCAACAAGAGCAAAAACTCCTTCTCAAAAAAAGAAAGAAAAAAAAGAAAATTGAACATTATAATATATCACATTAATAGAACGAGGGAAAAACCCCACTTGATCATCTCAATTGATGCAGAAAAGAGATCTCACAAAATCTAACACCCTTTCATGGTAAACATACTCAATAAACTAGGACTAGACCAGAAATTCCTCAACACAGCAAAGGGTGTTTATGAAAAACCCACAGATAACATACTCAGTGGAAAAAGATGGAAAGCCTTCCTCTAAGATCAGGAACAAGACAAGGACGCCTGCTTTCACAACGGCTACTCAACATTGTACTGGAAGTGCTAACCAGAACAATTAGACAAGAAAAAAGTGACCCAATTTGGAAAGGAAAAAGTAAAACTACCTCTGTTTGCAGATGATTCTATATATAGGAAATTCCAATAAATCCACAAAAAGCTAATAAGAGTTAATTAACAAATTAAGCAAAGTGGCAAGGTACAAGAGCAACATCCAAAAATCAGCTGTGTTTCTATATACAAACAATGAATAATCTGAAAAGGGAATCAGGAAAGCAATTCTATTTACAGTAGCAGTTAAAAAAATTAAATATGCTATGGTTTGAATGTGTCTCCCAAAACCTATGTGTTAGAAACTTAATCCCCAATGCAACAGTGTTGAAAGGTGGGAACTTCATGAATGGATTAATGCTGTTATTGTGGGAGCTTCCTTATCAAAGGATAAAATCAGCCCTTTTCCCTCTCTCTCGCCCATGTGATGCCTTCCTACATGTTAAGATGTGGCAAGAAGGCCCCTGCCAGACACCAGACCCTTGCCAGATGCTAGCCCCTCTAACTTGGATTTCTCAGCCTCCAGACTTTGAAAACTAGATTTCTTTAAAAATTACTCAGTCCGGCGAGGCGCAGTGGCTCACTCCTGTAATCCTGGCATTTTGGGAGGGTAAAGTGGGCAACTCAGTTGAGGCCTGGAGTTCGAGATCAGCCTGGGTAACATAGCAGGACCCTGTCCCTACAAAAAATGAAAAAATTAACCCAATACAGTGGCATGTGCCTGTAGTCCCAGCTACTCAGGAGGCTGAGGCAGAGGATTGCTTGAGCCTGAGATTTTCAGGCTGCAGTGAGCCATGATTGCACTACTGAACTCTAGCCTAGATGACCGAGCAAGACTATGTCTCTAAAAATAATAATAAAATAAAAATAAAAATCACCCAGTCTCTGCTATTGTTACAGCAGCATAAAACAGACTAAGACAAACACTTGGCAATAAATCTAAGGAGATAAAAGACTGTAAAACACTGCTGACAGAAATTAAAGAAGATGTAAGTTCATGGAAAGACATCCTGCATTCATGGACTGGAAGACCGTGTTGTTGATGTGAGAGTACTCCCCAAAGGGACCAATAGATTCGATGTTATTCCTATCAAAATCCCACTGGCAGTTTTTGCACAAATATGGGATTACAATGGGCCTTGAATAGCCAAAACACTCCTGAAAAAGGACAGATGGAGGACTCACACTTCCTCACTTCAAAACTTGTACAAAGCTACAGCAATTAAAACAGTATGGGTCCTTCCCCTCCTCCTCCCCCTTGCCTCCCCCTTCCTACCCTCATGCTCCACCCCGTCCCTCTAAGGGGGAGAAAACCCAGTATGGTACTGACATAAGACAGACATATAGACCAACTGAATGGCACAAGGAACCTAGACATAGACACTTCAAATATGTAATCAATTGATTTTTGTAAGGATGCCCATTCAATGAGGAAAGACAGTCTTCAACAAATGGTGCTGGGAAAAGTAGATAATCACGTGCAAAATAATGAAATTGGACTCTTACCTAATACCATGTATAAAAATTAACTCAAATGGATCAATCACCTAAATGTAAGATTTAAAATTATAAAACTTGGCCAGGCGTGGTGGCTAACACCTGTAATCCCAACATTGTGGGAGGCTGAGGCAGGTGGATCATGAGGTCAAGAGACTGAGACCATTCTGGCCAACACGGTGAAACCCAATCTCTACTAAAAATACAAAAATTAGCTAGGTGTGGTGGTGCGTGCCTGTAGTCCCAGATATTTGGGAGGCTGAGGCAGGAGAATCACTTGAACCTGGGAGGCGGAGCTTGCAGGGAGCCAAGATCGTGTCACTGCATTCCAGCCTAGGTGACAGAGCGAGACTCCCTCTCAAAAAAAAAAAAAAAAAAAGAAAGTGGGCTGGGCATGGTGGCTCATGCCTGTAACCCCAGCACTTTGGGAGGCCCCAGGCGGGTGGATCGCCTGAGGTCGGGAGTTAGAGACCAGCCTGACCAATATGGAGAAGCCCCGTCTCTACTAAAAATACAAAATTAGCCGGGCGTGGTGGCGCATGCCAGTCATCCCAGCTACTTGGGAGGCTGAGGCAGGAGAATCGCTTGAACCCAGGAGGCAGAGGTTGTGGTGAGCTGAGATCGCACCGTTGCACTCCAGCCTCGGCAACAAGAGTGAAACTCCATCTCAAAAAGAAAAAAAAAAAAAAAGAAAGTGAAAAGATACTGAGTGAGAGAAAATATTTGCAAATCACATATCTTATAAGGGATTAATATCCCGAATACATAAAGAACTCCTAAACTCAACAACAACAAACAACAACCTGATTAAAAAAACAAGCAAAGGACTTGAATAGACATTTCTCTTTTTTTTGAGACAGAGTCTCGCTCTGTCACCCAGGGTGGAGTGCAGTGGTGCGATCTTGGTTCACTGTAACCTCCACCTCCTGGGTTCAAGTGATTCTGCTGCCTCAGCCTTCTGAGTAGTTGGGACTACGGGCATGCACCACCACACCCAGCTAAGTTTTGTACTTTTTGGTAGAGATGGGTTTCGTCATGTTGGCCAGGCTGGTCTCAAACTCCTGGCCTCAAGTGATCATCCACTCACCTCGGCCTCCCAAAGTGCTGGAATTACAGGCATGAGCCACAGTGCCTGGCCTTGAATAGACATTTCTCCAAAGATTAATAAATGGTCAATAAGCACATGAAAAGATGCTCAACATCATTTTTAATTAGGGAAATACAAATCAAAACCACAATAAGGAGGCTCAGGTAGGAGGATCACTTGAGGCCACAAGTCCAAGACCAATCTGGGCAACATAGTGAGACCGTGTCTCTACATAAAAGTAGAAAAAAAAAAATTTAGCTGGGTGTGGTGGCACATGCCTATAGTCCTAGCTACTCAAGAGGCTGACGTGGGAGGATCACTTGAGCCCAGGAGTTCAAGGCTGCAGTGAGCTATGACTGTGCCACTGCACTCTAGCCTGGGTGACAGAGCAAGAGCCTAAGAAAATAAAACAAGGGCTGTACTGGTGGCTCACGCCTGTAATCCCAGCACTTTGGGAGGCTGAGGCGGGCAGATCATCTGAGATCAGGAGTCCAGCCTGGTCAATATGGTGAAACCACGTCTCTACAAAAAATACAAAAATCAGCTGAGTGTGGTGGTGTGCACCTGTAATCCCAGCTACTCAGGAGGCTGAGGCGGAAGAATCGCTTGAACCCAGGGGGCAGAGATTGCAGTGAACCGAGATTGGGCCATTGCACTCCAGCCTGGGTGACAGAGCGAGACTCCGTGTCCCAAAAAAAAAAAAAAAAACACCTTTTAAAGTTATCACCATCCCCCACTCCCACCCAGTAAGTAGAGCTTAGCCAGGTAAAAGGAAAGGGAGAAAAGAGAACTTTCTCAACTCACAGTGCTAGCCAGTAGGGGCATCAGGATGTAAACCACTGGACAGTTCTCTCTCCCTATGCAGTGGGCCCGGTTCGCTATGGAGACCTGCTGCCTTCCCTGGGACAGTGTGACGCATGGATGTCCTACAGCTCAGCAGTCCAGGAGTGGGCCACTATCTCCTCAGTGCCTACAGAAGACGGCCTGCACTCCTTCCCCATGGAAAGCACGCCCCTGGCTCACCTTGGTGGCATGAGAAGCGGTGAGTTCTCTGATGAGCTCTTCTAGGGCCCCACCATTCCGGCCACAGAGCACCAGTTTAGCACCCGCAGCATAGAAGACTTTTGCACATTCTAAGGGAAGAGAAAAGAGCCTTGACAGCCATTCTTCCTCAGTGCCGTTCAGTTTAAATTCACCCAGCGTTGCTGTTTGCTGCTTCACACCCTTCACAGGTCTGTGTTGGCCCCTGCTGTGTGGCCCAGCATGAAGCTGGGAGCTAGGGCCCAATGCCGGGCTCACGCCCAGTGCTACAAACATCCACAGGGCAAAGAGAAAGGAGGGCCGAGGTGGACAGATGTGTTAAGTATCATGCTCAGAACACCCCATGATGTTCCTGTTCACCTGGATCAGCTGTGAGCATCACCTATCTTCACAGCTGAGGGAGCTCACCAAGGTCACTCAGGCAGGGTCTTGTCCTGATTGGCAAGGTCAATGAGGGCCAGCTATTATGGTGCTGTGCCCTGCCAAGACTGTGTGGTGGCACTACCCAGGCACAGCTCTCCTGGAAATACTCACACAGTCCTGTAGAAAAGCTGGGGCAGGGGACCGAGGCCCTTCCCAGATCTGATGGGCTGTTTCCCAGGGAGTGCTTGAGGCAGAGGGAGCAGAGTGCCTGAAGGGCCACAGGCAGATAGAGATGGGACAGAAGGTGGAGGGTCTAACAACCTCACTGGCTGGGGAGGGGTCAAGTCAGTGCACGCAAGCACCTGCCACACGCAGGACTATTAAGGGTGCCTGCCTTTGAAAAGGCTCAGTCCTGCTGGGCGGGAGGGAGTGGGGACACTGGAGGAAAGCAGGCTCCACCAAGCCCACCACACTATTCCAGGTAACAATCGATGCGGACTTCAACTACGACCACAGCAGGGACAGTCCAAAGCTAGTCAGACACGTGCTCTATATTCTTTTGGTGGCAAGAAACAGAAACTAAACTCACACTGGGGCAAAGCAAAAAGAGAATTTGCCAGAGGGATTGTGGGGAAGTTCAAGAATGAAGAGGAGAGCCGGATGGCCGAAACCTAGGAGGGACCCAAGTGCTGGCTGCCCGGGTGCTCTCACGTGCCTGGGTGCTCTCACACGCGGGCAGGCCCCAGAGCTCACATGCACAGTTTTGTCTTGTCTCTTCCCAGCTCTGATCAAATCCCAGGGAAGGCCGTGATCAGCCTTGAGTGGGGGGCCCAGCAAGGGTCACAGGTAATTCTCCTGTGGCTAAGCAGGAGGGCCTGACGAGAAACCCCCTGGACGCAGCAGGGTAAACCATGAGAACTGGGGGTGGAGGACTACTCTATGAGGAGTCAGAAAGGAAACGGAGTGATGGGAGGAGAGGAGGCAGAGGGTGGCGTCGTTGCTTCTTGCTTACCCTCCCCTGCAACATATCCTATGTAAATGTTCAGTGCCCCAAAAATGTACATACAGCTTATGAAAAGCAGGACAGCCCAGCAGCCAAGAGAGTGGACTTGAGCTAGACTTCCAACTCCAGTAAGTTAGAACCTCTTTGTTTCTGACTTTCCTCTTATTTAGGATGCTTTTTATCTATCAAACACGGTAGTAAGAGACTACCTACCTTAACTCATTCAGTCCCTCGGGGTGTGACCGTGAGATTGAATGAGTTAAGGTAGGTAATCTCTTACCACAGTGTTTGATAAACAGCACTACAGCGGTGTCAATTGTCATTTTTGTATTTCTATTTATTAAAAATATTTTTTTTAGAGACAGGGTCTTACTCTGTTGCTCAGGCTGGAGTGCAGTGGCACAATTATAGTTCACTGTAGCCTCGAACTCCTGGGTTCCAGTGATCCTTCCACCTCAGCCTGCAGAGTAGGTGGGACCACAGATACTCGCCACCATGGCTGGCTAATTTTTGTATTTTTGTAGAGATGGAGATTTTGCCATGTTGCCCAGGCTGGTGTCAAATTCCTGGGCTCAAGCGATCTTCCTGCCATGACTTCCCAAAATGCTGAGATTACAGGCATGAGCCACTGTGCCTGGCCATATTTCTGAACTACTTTGTAAAAATGTTCTGGCCGGGCATAGTGGCTCATGCCTGTAATCTCAGCATTATGGGAAGCTGAGGCAGAAGGATCGCTTGAGCCCAGAAGTTTGAGACCAGCCTGGGAAACATAGGAATCTTGTCTCTACAAAAAATAAAAAATTAGCCAGGTGTGGTGGCGCATGCCTGTAGTCCCAGCTACTCAGGAGGCTAAGGTGGGAGGATCCCTTGAGCCTGGGAAGTCAAGTGAGCCATGATCACACCACTGTACTCCAGCCTGGGTGACAGAGCAAGACCTGTCTCAAAAAATAAAAATATGTGTAAATAATAATGTTCTAAAAACTGATGATGAAAACTGAAACATAGTTTTTTACTTTTTTTTTTTTTTTTTTTGATACAGGGTCTCGCTCTGCACCCAGGCTAGAATGCAGTAGTGTCATCATGGCTCTCTGCAGCCTCAACCTCCCAGGCTCAAGCGAGCCTCCACCTCAGGCTTCCAAGTTGCCGGGACTACAGGCACATGCCACCATGCTTGGCTAACTTTTGTAGAGATGAGGTTTCGCCATGTTGCCCAGGCTGCTCTAGAACTCCTGAACTCAAGCGATCCTCCTGCCTGGGCCTCCAAAAGTGCTGGGATTACAGGCATGAGCCACTGCACCTGGCCACATGCTGGTTTAAAGAGGCACTCCTGTCCTCACCTGAGGCATAGTCTCCCTTAAGTGCTCACCAGCAGATCTGCACAGGATACCTTGGCCCCTGGCTGACCCTGACCTGACACCAGTGAGCCACTGACTTGGTTCCAGACCGAATCTTAGAGGCCCAGGTGATTAGGTGGCACCCTAGCTCCTGGTTCATGAAAGGGAATGGCCTTTGCAGGCTAATTCCATCTCTGGTAGCCATGTGGTGATGGGCCAATACTGCAGGGTCAGAGGATCAGGGCTGCCATCTCCTCAGCTGGGAAGGAAAGGTCAGAGGGGCAGGCGGTGTGTACTGGTCTGAACAGGCCTGCCCTTAGAGAAGTGTCAAACTTCCTTAAAGCTAGATGGGTTCAAAACATGGGAGGAGAAGAAACTCCTTCAGCACCAGGGGTCCTGAGAGGTCTGAGGGAAGGCTCCCTGACGTCTGTCTCATGGTGTGAAGCCTCCGTGTGCTCCACAGCTTCTTGTTCAGCTCCCCACACAGCATTTGCTCATCCCCCAGGCGCCTCTCCATACACCCGACAGTCTTCGGGAAAGAGGTGCTAAGTAGACTCAATCTAGACACACTATCTTCTTTGAAGGAGGTGAGGTTGGTGTGTTCGTTGGCTCATCCCAACAAAGGGCAAAAGCCCGGAGAGAGCACCCACCCTGGGTAGTGAGGCCTGGTCCCAGCGCCCCAACCCTGCCTCCCTGGTGCGCTTCTCAGCAGAGCAGCAGAGCCCCCACAGGAATGAGGGGGGTGATGGCTGCACTCCAAGCCAGATGCCAGCATTCCTGAGGCTAGAACTGCTCATCCGGTTTATAAATCATTCCCAAAGGCTAGGAACCTTGGGCCCTGCTGGCTTCCTCACCCCATTTTGTCTTGTCCTGACCAATACATAGGACATTTGTGAGGTGCCACCAAAGGGTGCAGACACAGAACCCTTCAAAGGTGGGAGTCCCGCTGGAGTCTAAACAGCTTTGGGGAGATGACTGCCTCAAACCTGTTTGAGTTTTGCTTCCTAGCAAAGCTAAAAAGAGAGGAAATGAAAGTTTGTGTAGGGAGTGACAGAAATGAAAACAACAGATTGGAAGGATTCCATTTTCATTTATTGAAAAGCTGATATTGGAAGGTAGGAGGGTCCAAGGAAAACAACTCCAAGGTACGATATATGAAGGGCTGCAGATGACTGTCCAGTGCCGCTGGCACGCCTGGCTGGAAATCAACAGAGCTGTGCACAGCCCTGTGGCTAAAGCTGGAGGAAGGAGATATCCAGAACGTTCTGTTCCTTTAGTCAGTGGTCCCACACTATTCTACAAGGACAAGCTCAAGAGGCTTAAGTACACAAAACAAGAGACAAGATAGGAGAAACACGGAAAACTGAAGACTCGTTGCATAACTCCAAACCTTCCGGGTGGCTGACACGGCAGGCAGAGCCACTGAGGACAACATAGCTCTGCCTCCTCACAGAAGCAAGGCAACATCAGAACGTCCTTGGTGGCATCAACAGTGGCTGTACTTGACATGGCCAGTTAAGAACCTGCCCTACTTTATCTGGATGGAGGGACTCTTGTTCCCAAAAAGTTAAATGGGGCAGAATATAAGCAGTGACTGGAATCCAGGAAGGGCCTGACATCTTATGATACATAGACAGGTCTGGTGACCTCCGTGACATTTTCTGTTCCCTTCATAGTCTTGGTGTCAGGAGAGGAGATGCAGAATGAAGATGACAGCATGCTTCTCAAACATGCATGGATGGGAGCACTTGCGACTCAGAGCTCCACCTCTGCCAGCCCTCAAATGCTCTTCAAGGACTTTCACAAAATGCTTCTCTTTGAGCTCAAGAGAAGTGGCTGCTGACCACCCTATATATAGTAACTGAGTAAGGTCAGAGGACTGACGATGGCAAAGGGCCTGCAGACAGCTGTCCCTGCAAAGGTCTGGATATCCAATGACAGATATGGTGTTCACCCCTGGAGACCTCACCTAACATCCACAGTGGTGCACAAATGAATCCATACTCCCTAAAGCTTTCCCAGGCCACCCCTGGCCAACTGCAAGCCACTTCCACCACAAAGACCCACCTGCCTCTCTGTGTTCATGCAACACCCAACTGTATAAGTCCCTACAGGACCGTGCTTCTCCCCTACCTCTGGGCCTGTCTGGAATGTTCTGTCTACTAGCCCACCTATTCCTTCTACCTGGCCATCTCCCCTGCTGAAGCTTTGAGACTGTGAGTTCTAGAGACAGAGATGTGGGTTTGACTCTAGGTTTTGTACCTTCTGGCTGGAAGTCCTAGTCATTCCTTCTCTGAATCTTAGCTGTGAGAAGTCAGTGAGATCATGCATGTAAAAGTGCTTAGCACAAGTCAGCACATATACATGTGCCTTGTTGCCACCAGGCTGGTTTGAGAGCATATGTTACTGCAATGGCAATATATTGAGATAAGTCCTTGCCTTTCTCCTTACAACAGACGACCGTGACCTCCTTGAAGGAAGGGACCCTGTCTTTCATCTGTTTGTTCTAGAACCTGACCCAGAGCCTCCCACTTTAGCAGGTGCTCCATCAGCTCCAGCTGAGCTATCACCAACCAGAAGATGTAGCAGCGGGTGGGGTCACCACAATTCAGGGAACTCCTCAGCTTTCTTCCATGGAACTCAGAGTAAGCGTGGATGGCAGATGGTATGGTGTGTGCATGTGCAACGTGCCAAGTCAATATACGTGTGTGGCAGGAAAACAATGGAGCCCTGTAACTCAGAGGCTTCCAGAAATGGGAGAAGGGGGAACCCAGGTTTTGACACTCCAGGCCAGGGTCCCGGTACACCATTCCTGAGACTTAGAAGCTCATGGTGTTCACTGGGTTGGAATGGACCTAGATTGGAGACCCTGGAACAGCTGAGGCACCATTTATCTGTCTTTGACCTTGTCTAGACCATGCTGAGGGGACAGCTGGGGGCCTGGCCTGGGATGGCAAGGCCCAGAGAAAGCATGCACCAAAGCTGTGAACCAGAGGCCCCGGCTGAATCTAGGAAAGGACATGTTTCATTTGGTCCTCATAGAGGTAAAAACACGTTTTAAGTTAGCTGTCCATATTTGGAAATTGGGATATTTCACATAAAATTCCTACCTCAGCAAGCAACTGAGGCTGAGCAGGGCTGCCCTGTGAGGGGCAGGTATCCCATCCCACCCCACCCCACCCCACCCCCGGGGCCAGGCTGCTTCTCTCACACTTGCCTCCCACCCTGACGCTGAGTCATTTCTCACTGTGCCTTGGCTCCTGCTTTTTCCACTTGTACCAAGGACAGTGCCATCCGGCCCACTTCCCTTATCTGGCCTTCTGCTGCCGCTTCGGGCATTTGCGCTGGTGGTCCCTGTGCAGCTGGGCCGCTCCTCATCCCTGGCTGACTTACCCCCGCCCCCTGGCAGCACTGCCTCCAGGACCCACCTTTGCCCAGCCCTGAGGTGGCGCCTGTGATCACCACCACAGCATTCCGCAGGTAGGCCTTCCCGCGCACCCACTGCAGCAGCCGGAAGAGGCCGAAGACGCCCAGGCAGCCGAACAGCAGGGGCAGGATGGCTGTGGAGGTGATGAAGTCCATGGCCTTCACCTTCGGCAGACTCTTCCTGGAAGAACCAAAACCAAACACACCAGTGACAAAGTAGCAGAGTTCAGGGGACTTTCCTAGGCTCTTCCTCTCATCTGATATGAATCCCAGATCTCCCTCTGTGGACTCCAGCTCTAAGCCCTAGCAAGCATTGACCCAGGCCCTGCACCCTCGGCCGACTGTTCAGCATTGTAGAACTTTCTTCCTCTCAGTACTGACATGAGCGGACAGAAAAGCCACAGGCCTCATGCTGCCCCTCAGGGAACAAGCGGAGATTGCCATTCAGCCTAGGACATAGTCACCCACAGTGTTACAGGAAGAGGTGGTGTGTCAGTACTCACCTGCCTCTCCTTCGGAAACCTGTGTTGGCCTTACCTCAAGTAATGCCTGTTTTCATTTTCAATCCCTGAATACTTGTGAAACTAGAAAGGGGTTTTTTGAGGAAAGGAAAAAGGAAGTCGTACCAATTCTTATCCTCTTCAGAGCAGACACTCAGAGGACGGACGTTTCTGGGTGGAGCAGCCCCTAGACTGTTACAGTGAGGGCCACAGATGGACTTCTGACCACAGGCCTCACAGACACCCAAAGGGGATTCAGTGCAGGGCCCTGCCCCAAGCACCAGCATGGGCTCCGGCCGGTGAGCGTGCTGCCCCGCTGTGCCTGTGGCATGTTCCTGCCCAGCATTCCCCAGTGAGCCATGAAATCTGGAGGCTGTATGAGTGTCTGTGCAACAGTGTGCAGTTGATTCTTAGAAAATGTGTGTTTTTCCCCATCTGCCCTTATTTCCCCTGAACCTCCCCCATTCCTCCGCATTCACCTGTCCTCCTGTGCCCAAAGCAGGAGATAAGAGGGGGACACAGGGTTAAAGGAAGGCTGAGGAGGAGCTGGTGAGGACCGTGGTGAGCACCATGTGCTGTCGCTGGGAAGCAATGCCCTGGAAGGCCACTTGACGAGCGAGCCAGAGTCTATGAGACAAAAGGCCCCCCCCGAGTCCACCTCCAGGGCTGTGGTTTACGAGCACAGAATCCTTCTCAGGAAGGAAGAGGCTGGAATCCAAGAAGAGAGTTCTGGCAAACCAGACTGTAGCTCTAAATTATTCATAAGCTTGGAGCAATAATGTAAAACCCTCAGCCACCTACTTAATATCCCATCTCAAGCCCACATATAAAAAAAAAATTCTGCTTCCTTTCGTAAGAGGACATCAACTCTGGATGCCAGAGTGAAGCCAGGAACACTGTGGACTCCCAACACACATCCATCTATGCACCAAGTCGCTTTGATCCTGAAGTTCATGTTCAGGGTGGCTGTCCTGATCTATGCTAAATTGCCCCCTACAAGAGGATTCTACTGCAACGGAACTGTCAACTGAACTAGATTAGCATTTACTTTTTCACCTGCTTTTCCAGATACACCTGAATTCTTAACCACCATAAAAAACAGCCACATTCTTGGACTGTAAAAATGACAGTTTCCCATCAACTGCCACTTAATCCACCTCTGAAAACACCTCAGCTACTATCTGCTGCATGGATAAAGCTCCCTCTTGCCCTACACTATGCCAAGCCTCCATTGTATGAACTGGGGATTAAGGTGGTATCTAAAGCACCAAGCTTTTCACCAGGCACTACTGGTACCATCCCTGCCCCAAGAGGAAGTTCTGACCAGGTGTTCTTGCCTGCAGGCTATGCTGGGTCCCAAGGACCCTTTGTGTGGAATCTGAGAAGTGCTCAGGAAAGCTGTAGAGTAGGCACCGAGGCCTGTGCCACTCCAGGGTTCTGTGGGTGCTGCCTGGAGTCCTGCACGGGACCAAGATCCTGAAAACAGGGAATGTGGGAGGGTTTCCTAGGGGAAGGAGGGATAAACAGTGGGAGGCAGGAATGGTTGCCATTTTGTTGATATAGCTTTACCAGAAAATTACAGCAATTGACAAAAGGCAAGAGAAGGCTCCAGGCAAGGATAGCTTAAAACTTGCATGTAATAAGCTGGTTGAGGGGTGGGGGCTTGGGAAGAGTTCAACCCGGCTGGATGGCTATTTGGTAAAAGCTTTTTTCTCACTGCAATCCCAGGTCTTTGTACCAGGTAGGTCTCAGGGTAGGACCACCCTGCCTTGTCCAGAATGGCCCAGGGCCCAGCCACTGCCCAGGATGAGCTTGAGGTATGAAAGGGGTGGGGGCCTCAGCTCAGGGAAGGATAGTAGGGCTCAGCCTCTGGGGCCGGGACCCAGAGCCCCACTAGGCGTGTTGGGTGGAAACCCCTCCGAACACTCCTCCGTGGGCCCCTGGAGGCCAGTGCCTGTGAAGTCCACCCAATTTCAAATTGACAACCTGGGGCTGAGGCACAGTGCCACCGAGGTCATGGGGGTCAAGAGCCAAGTATGCAGCCTGTCGCTTCTCAAAACTCAGAGACCACTTGAAAAACACTAACTGCAGCACAACAGCGGCAGTGCAGGGGTCATGAGGATGAACCCTCAAGCCAGCCTGGCTTGGGTGACACCCTGGCCCAGTCACTTGGCAGCCTGGCAAAGGGGCCTCACTGCCCTGGGCCTCAGTGTCCTCGCCTCTGAGCTGAAGTTGTGAGAGGACCTCCCTCCTGGGTTTGTTATGAGGTTGGATGAATTCATCTGTACACAGAGGGAACACAGCTGCCACCAGCATCATAATGACCACCATTAACTCAAAGTTCCTGGATCAGGACCTCACCTCCCAGCAATCCGACTCCCAAGACTGTCTGAAGGGACCCCTGGCTTGTGAAGTGTGGTTCTTTCCAAATAAAGGAAGCTCATTAAATGTATTAAGTGTCCAATGTTGTTTAACTTCTATATTTTCATAAACCTTTCAGTTTAATCAAATTAACAAATAGGAAAAAACTCCACAACATTGGCAGAAGTCAGGCTCTCATGTCCCAAGTTTTGTGTTAGAAAATGTGGTTATCAAGGCCAGCAAAGCAGGAGAGAGCAGACAGGTACTAAAATGTCCCTCAACCCCGTCTTCACACCCAGGGAGGAGCAGGATGAAAATAAACCAGCCCAGCAAGGCTCCCCAGTGGAAGATGATTAAAGTTCCCAACAAATTGCACTTTCATGCAACCTAATTAAAACTCAAGCCAGCAATCCATGACATGAAGAAAAGAGCGAAAACTACACACCGTCTTGTACACTTCTGGGATTCCTTGAGCACCTGACACAACATCACAGGCCAGCCTTGGTCTCCTGGCCCTGGAGACCACTTTGCCTGAGGCAAACATGGCGCCGGGTGAATGGGATCCATCCTTGGCCCGGGCCGCTGTCTGTGGGGAGAGCGCATGTCTGCATTCAGTCTGGTAAAGTGCTATCGAATCAGAATGCAAAGCAAATTAAAAGCCAGTGCCAAGGCCAAACGCAGTGCCTCGCGCCTGTAATTCCAGCACTTTGGGAGGCTGAGGTAGGGGGATCGCTTCAGCCTGGGAATTCAAGACCAGCCCGGGCAACATGGTGAAATCCCGTCTCTACAAAAAACACATAAACTAACCAGGTATGGTAGTGCACGTCTGTAGTCCCAGCTTCTTGGGAGGCTGAGGTGGGAGGATTGCTTGAGCCTAGGAAGTTGAGGCTACAGTGAGCCAAGATTGCACCACTGCACTCCAGCCTGGGTGACAAAGTGAGGCCCTGTCTCAAAAGCAAACAAAAAACAAAATCCAGTGCCAACTCTCCCCTGCTAACAAAGAATGACCATGGTGGGAAAAGACACCCCAGAGTGAGCCATTTATCTGAGAATCAGGTTCAATTCCAGCATAACTTTCCTGACTAGATGAAGTTGTTCATATTGATAATCCCGACTCTTTCCAGAGTTTTTCAAACTCTGAAAGCCCTCCTAATAGTTCTTCCACTATGCAGGGCATGTGGCCACACTGCTGGGCCTTCTTGGGTTCTTAGAGACAGCTGTGCCAACACTTTCCTAGCTTGTCTTTGGAAGTCAGGATGACCATGAGAGCTAGCCATGGAAAGCCCCACCACCTTGCTGTGGTGTCCAGGGCTTTCTACCAGCTAAAAGGACAGCTTCACAGTGGAAGAAAGGAACAGTGTTCTAGCTGGCCACATTTCCAGATTAGGAAATAAATCTACATAAAGCAAGGTCAAAGGGAGGCCTGTTTTCTTTGAAAATGGCATACAAGAAGGATTTATATATATGTATAAACTTTAATATATTTATCAATCATGCATTTTATACCAAAATCCTTATTAACTGCTAGTTTCAGATATATAGCCAGATCATGGACTGAGAAGGCAAGATTGATGGTATAAAAAGGGACTGGGAAAAAATATCTGGCTCACGATTTTCAGCATTTGGAGATCAGCTTGTAGAAAGAAGGGACAGAGTCTGTCTAGCACCACTGTGAGCCATGGCAGAAAGCAGGACAGAGACATGGGGAGAGAGAGTGAAGCCAGAAAAAGAAGGTGAGAGCCCCTCAAATAGAAACCATAGTGCACACGGCATCTGGAAGCAGAGGGCACCACCTACACATGGAATGTGTGCAGTCATAGTCACACTCTTAGTCCTTGGGCAAGAGACCTGAAACACAGTCTCACACTGATGAGACTCACGAACTGGCGTGAGGAAGGGAGAGAGCTCAGGGGCTCACATATTAATACTGTCTGCTTATATTTTCATCCCTTGCCAGATCCATGAGCTCTAGACCCAGGTTAAAAGAGTGCAAAGGTAGCAAAGTCCCGCTAAGGGTGAGGGTTCCTTGGGCCCGGGCAGCCAGAGTTCGGGGCTTCTCTCTGTGATTCTGCTGCTCCTTTACTTTCTGCTGAACCCACCACTGTGTAACTCCCTCACATCCATTTGTGCAGCTCATCCACCCTTTAAAGGGCTTCTGGAACCTCAAATTAGACATGAGACTATCACCAAGAAATCAACTCTGAGCACAAATGTCACCCTTTATGTCATCCATTCCATTCCTTCTACTTTGGCCAAAATTCTCCCTTGCATTTCACAGACGGAATCCGTTCCTAAGATTCCTTTCTCTCGAGCATTTTTTTTTTTAAAGAACTGTTAACAAAAATAGGTTGTTGGAAGCTACTCAGAAACCACATACAGAAATTAAACTACTAACAGCCACATCTGAGAATCAAAGGAGGGGATCTCAAAACCCACCAAAGTTTTTTTTAAAAAGAACAATTTCAGGTCTGTAAGAAGGATTAGCCATGAAATAATTTGCCATGTTACACACAAGAAAATCAGGCTAAAGGGCAGAGAGGAGTTCCAACTGGAAGGAAAGACACTGAAATCACACGGCAAGGAGTGGCTTAGTATTGCTAAAGCAGTTAGGATCCTGCTCCCACAAACCTACACGTACTCTTTTATTTTATAACCAATGGCCAGTTCTAATCAGCTGCTCTATTTAAGGTGACATAAACTATGGGTCATGCTTATGACCCATATCTTGAAATATATCTGAAAGCTTCTGTCATTTTCAGAAAGTAAAGGCAGGGTCAAACTGCCTTTTTTTTTTTTTGGTCTCAAATGTCTGAGAAGCCACATTAAGGCCGCCTTCGACTGGAAAAAAAAAAGAACAATATCCTACCTCAGATGGCAGCTACCTTGCCAGTGGCGGTTCCTGGCGCCAGTGTCTTCTCTGGTCTTTTGACCTGGGCCAGAGGACACCTTCAGGTCAGCAAGCCCTCCCTGGAATGCCTGAACAAGCCACGGCAGAGTGGCCTGTGGGGTGTATTTTCAGAAGCCAGCCTTCAGCTCCCTGGTTTAAAAGAGTACAGGCTGGCTTTAGTAAAAATAAAACCTGAAGGAAGGCTGGAGATTTCAGACCAGGCTCCTGAGTGTTCAATCCTGGGAAGAGCAGCCACATTGAAGTGAGCTCTGCTCTCCAGTAAGATGCCAAGCACATGCTTCCCGGCAATCCTGTGAGGGGGGGCGGAGAAAGGTGCCAAAGCCCAGCCCCGGGCCCTGTAATATGATGGCACAGGAGTGCGGTGACAATGAACAGGAGGCAGAGCCCGCGCCAAGTCTGTCTGTTCATTATGGCCTAAAGCCCTCCTTATCAATTATAGCACTTACTATGGCTACCTAGGAACTTGGACACACACAATTTTGGTTTTTAATGTGGTTTTTTTTTTTTTTTTTTGGAGACGGAGTCTTGCTCTGTTGCCCAGGCTGGAGAGCAGTGCCGCGATCTTTGCTCACTGCAACCTCCACCTCCTGGGTTCAAGTAATTCTTCTGCCTCAGCCTCCCGCGTAGCTGCGACTACAGGCGCACGCCACCACACCTGGCTAATTTTTGTATTTTTAGTAGAGACGGGGTTTCACCATACTGGCCAGGCTGGTCTCGAACTCCTGACCTTGTGATCTGCCCACCTCAGCCTCCCAAAATGCTGAGCCACCACGTCCGGCCTTAATATGCTTCTTAAAGTGAATTTAGATCAGGCGCAGTTGACTCACACCTGTAATCTCACCATTTTGGGAGGCCAGGATGGGTGGACTGCTTGAGCTCACAAGTTTGGGACCAGCCTGGGCAACAGCGAAACCCCATCTTTACCAAAAATTAAAAATTAGCCAGGCATGGTGGCACGCGCCTGTAGTCCCAGCTACTTGGGAGGCTGAAGTGGGAGGACAGCTTGAACACAGGAGGTGGAGATGGTGCCATTGCACTCCAGCCTGGGTGACAGAGTGAGACCCTGTCCCAAAAAAAAGAAAAAAAAAGTGAATATAGTGTTACCAGAAGACACTGGAATAATGTCACTCTCTTTCCTAGAAAACACACCAGAGCCCCAGGCCCCCCGCACCCACCCCTGACAGAAACTGGACAAGGCACTGACTGTGGTGGTGAAGAAGAGAAAACACCAAGCCAGCATGGGGGAGGGGGACAAGACCACCATGCTGCATACTTGCTGTGCAACACAGGCAGATTCATTCACTACTTGAAACTAAGCACACTCACCTCAGAATGGGGATGATCGCTCCAATAGGAAAATGCATAGGAAAGCACTTTGTAAATATGAAAATCTTGAACAACTGTGCTGTTGAATCATAAACTGACTGAAAAAAGGCAATTCCCAGAGAGGATTTCAGAAACGTTCCAAGCAATAGCAGCCAAGCTGGCAGCTTTAAGGGCTCGTCATGTTTGAGTATGTTTGGTAGAAAGACCAACCGTATTCCTTCACACCCACACCAGGGATCACCTCAGATCCTGGATGTCGTGCACTCATCCACTCAACTACACTTCTCAAGTGCCCTCTGGTACCAGGCACTGGGCTAGGGCTGGGGTGGAGGGCAATGAACGAAGGAGAAAAGCTGTCTGACCTCATGGAGGCAGCCCCTATGGAAGACTGACAATATACAAAGAAACACAAAAATTAAATAATTGTGATAATGAAAGAAACAATCAGTGTGAAACAACACAGAGTAGTGGGCTGTCCAAAGTACAAGCCTTGCCTGAAGACTTCATTCAAAGTCAAAACAATTCAAACTGCTGTGCTGGCCGAACACCGCACCTGGCCGAGGCCACTGCTGGTTTGTGACTCCTAAATCAGATTATTGTCTTTAAAAATTACATATAACAACAGCAACAAGACAGACAAGATGCCAACATAAATATGAGGTCAGAAATCTAGGAGTTCAGGAATCTAGTTTAAAAGGAGATGCTACAGCGTCAACTAGAGTATCTAAGAGGAACTATCTACAGGCATCAGTTTCAGAAACTTAATTAAGCAAGGCTGGCCCAGTGGCTCATGCCTGTAATCCCCAGCTACTCAGGAGGCTGAGGCGGGAGGACTGCTTGAGCCCAGGAGTTTGAGACCAGCCTGGGCAACAGAGTGAGACCCCGTCTGTATAAAAAAAGTGAAAAAAGTAGCCAGGTGTGGTGGCATGCACCTGTGGTCCCAGCTACTCAGGAGGCTGAGGTGGGAGGATTGCCTGAGCCCAGGAGTTTGAGGTTATAGTGAGCTATGATGATGCCACTGCACTCCAGCCTAGGAGACAGAATGACACCCTGTCTCAAAAAAAAAAAAAAAAGCACAACAATTGACAATATCTGCACTCAAGATTGAGCAGCATAGCCAGGTGCTGTGGCTCATGCCTGTAATTTCAGCCCTTTAGGAGGCCAAGACAGGAGGATCACTTGAGCTCAGGAGCTTGAGACTGGCCTGGGCAACATGGTAAAACCCCGTCTCTACCAAAAATACAAAAATTAGCAGGGCATACTGGCACATGTCTGTGGTCCTAGCTACTTGGGAGGCTGAAGTGGGAGGATCACTTGAGACCCAGAAGTAGAGGCTGCAGTGAGCTGTGATCACACCCTAAGGATGTGGAGCTTGGATATCAGTGAATCAACAAGACCCAGCCCCTGATGCCACTGTGTGTGTGGACTAAGCCAGTGAGGAGAACAATCAGTAACAAACATTTAATTACCATGTGGCAAGGGCTACAAGGAGGCCACCTGATGCAATTTTAAGCACCTAGGTAATCTGGTCATTTATATTGCTTTTCCATCCACTAAAATGCCTTATAACATTTCATGGGATTTTCTTCACGGCGGCATTGAAGTGGGGACAGAAGAGACCTCATTACTAACACTTCACTGCAAGCAGACTCTGGGAGATTTGTAGCTGAATAGAAACACAACAAAAGCAGTTTTACTTTCTGATATGCTTTTTAAAGGGAACTCAATTCACTGAAATAGAGTGGTCAGCACAAAGACTCAAGAAGTAAAATACACAGAACTGAAAAAAACTCCAGAAGTAAATGTCCCCCTAGTGTCCTGACAATGTACCAAAGCCGTTTCTAATTTAACTTGATTATTTAGATTATACCTGTGTTTTTTGTTTTTTGGTTTTTTTTGGTTTTTTTTTTGAGACAGTCTTGCTCTGTCACCCAGGCTGTAGTGCAGTGGCGCGATCTCGGTTCACTGCAACCTCTGCCTCCCGGGTTCAAGCGATTCTCCTGCCTCAGCCTTCTGAGTAGCTGGGATTACAAGTGCCCGCCACCACAACCAGCTAATTTTTGTGTTTTTAGTAGAGACGGGGTTTCTCCATGCTGGCCAGGCTGGTCTCGAAGTCCTCACCTCAGATGATCCACCCACCTCAGCCTCCCAAAGTGCTGAGATTACAGGCGTGAGCCACTGTGCCCGGCCTAAACCTGTATTTTAAATGGTACCAAGCATGTTCAAGAAATATTAAATAATAATTTTAAGAGCCTTCATTATAGAAAACACTCTCAATGCTAAATACTTTTTGATAAGTAGAAAGCAGAAGAAAAATTGGGTCTCTAGAAGTTCGTTCTTGCCTGCTGTCCTCTTTGATAACTCCTATCCAATCTTCAAGTCCTGCTTGGGCACCATCTCCCTGAAACCTTTCAAGCCACCCAGCAACCCTGCCCTCCATATCTGGACAGGGTTAATCACTTCCTTTTCAGTGTAGCCTCCATAGCATCTCACAAAACATCACAATGATTTCCCTTCACTGCCACGTGCCTCCCAAGACAGCAGTTCTCTGAGGGTCTGGCCTTTTATTCTGACTCCCACACCATCTATGTGGTGAGAACTTCATAAATGTTTGTTGAATAAGATTGTATCATGGAAATAATCTAATCCAATACCATCAGATTACAGAAAAAAACAGAGCCCAGATGTGTTGTTTTATTTGCCTACACTCAGTATTAAACAGAATCCTGAAGAACAAATGTTCTCACAGTCCATTTTAACTATTTGCCAGTTGCCATAAGAAAAGCAAACATTCCTGCAGCTTTATCTCAGCAAAATATCACTAAAACGAATTACGGCAAACAAATCACATCCCAGAGCAAAAGTATGTCATTCGCTAGGGATTAAACATTAAATGTTGCTTAATTTCATGTAGTCTCATGGTTGAAATCATAATACTTTGAATTCTAACAAATTCCTGTCTTGGTTTCCTCACAAAGTTAGATAAATCATCATGTCTCTGTTGGCTCCCTTTCTCTCAGACAAATGTGCCTTACTGTAATTTATCTAGGATGATGGCTCACCCTGAATTCCAAGTTATTTTTAGAGCTGTGTGAAAAACATTTTTGTGAAATTTAACTAGAAAATGCTCTTTATTCTAAGGGAGGTTTTGAAAGTTTATATAACAACTCTCCTGAAAACGTTTAGTACACTGACTTTTAATGCCAGCAAACACAGAGGAGGAAGGGCACATGTGGGAAGAACTGACTGGGAAGCAAAGTGTCATGAGCTGAGAAGGCTGTGCCACTCCCAACATCTATGATTTCATTTAAAAATAGCCTAGCAGGTGCCCTATCACTTTCTTTTACCAAGCGTCCTAGCAAATATTTCCTGAGGACACGGCTGTGTCTCTTTCGGACAGTCATACAGTAAGTAATCAATCTATTTCACCCACTGTTAGATTTCCCACTTTTCTTCACAGATACATGTCTTCTCTTCTTATTTCTCTCACAAGGCCCTCTTCCTGGGGATTCAAGATAATGTCTGGAGTCATTTCCTTTTAGCCTAAAGGACTTCCTTTAATACAGCATTTCTTGAAGGACAAATCTACAATCTACCAATTATCTCAGTCTTTGTTTATATGGGAATGTCTTTATCTTACCTTCAATTTTGAAGGATAGTTTTAGATACAGAATTTCATGTATATTCTTTGAACATACTGTTCTACTGCCTCATAGCTGCCATTTTTTTATTAATAAAATTTCTAAGACAAACTTTAGGTACACAGGAAAACTGAGCGGAAAGTAGAGTTCCCATACACCCCTGTGTCCACACAAGTACAGCCTCCCCCATTATCCACATCCCTCACCGGTGTTACACTGTTAAAACCCATGCGCCTATGCTGTCACATCATTGTTACCCAGAGGGCAAAGTTTACATTAGTGCCCACTCTCAGTGCTATGCATTCTCTTGGTTTGGACAAATGTATACTGACATATATCTATCATTGTAGTTTCATACAGAATAGTTTCACTGCCCTAAAAATCCTCTGTGCTCCACCTATTCATCTCTCCCTCCTCCCCAACCCATGAACCTTTAACTATCTCCACAGTTTTGCCTTTTCCAGAATGTCATATACTTGGAAACATATGGTACATAGCCTTTCCGGATTGACTACTTTCACTTAGTAATATACATTTCAGTTTCCTCCATGTCTTTTCATAGCTTCATAGCTCATTTTTTTTTAGTACTGAATAATATTCAGTTGTCTGGATGTACCAGAGTTTATACATTCAAAGACATCTTGGTGGCTTCGAAGTTTCGGCAATTATGAATAAAGCTGCTATAAACATCTGTGTGCAGGTTTTTGAGTAGATATAGGTTTTCAGTTTATCTGGGTAAATATCAAGGAGTGTGATTACTGTGGTGTATGTTAAGAGTACATTTCATTTTGTAAGAAACTACCAACTGTCTTCCAAAGTGGGTATAGCATTTTGCATTCCCACTAGGAATGAATAAGAGTTTCTATTGCTCCACTTCCTTGCTAGCATTTGGTGATGTCAATGTTCTGGATTTTGGCCATCCTATTTAGTGGTGGTATCTCACTGTCATTTTAATTTGCATTTCCCTTATGAAATATGATGCAGAGCATCTTTTCATATGCTTATTTGCCACTTGTATATTTTCTTCACTCAGGTCTCTTCAGATCTTTTGTCCATTTTTTTTTGTTGTGTTGTTCATTTTTAATTTTTTAAATTTTTTTATTTTTGAGACAGAGTCTAACTTTGTCACCCAGGCTAGAGTGCACTGGCATGATCTTGGATCACTGCAACCTCCGCCTCCTGGGTTCAAGCGATTCTCCTGCCTCAGCCTTCCGAGTAGCTGGGATTACAGGCCCACACCACCATGCCCGGCTAATTTTTGTATATTTTTTAGTAGAGACGGGGTTTCACCATGTTGGCCCAGCTGGTCTCGAACTCATGACATTGTGATCTACCCACCTCGGCCTCCCAAAATGCTGGGAATACAGGCGTGAGCCACCACGCCAGGCCTAATTTTTGTATTTTTAGTAGAGACAGGGTTTCACCATGTTGGCCAGGCTGGTCTTGAACTCCTGACCTCAAATGATCCACCACGTCAGCCTCCCAAAGTGCTGAGATTACAGGCATGAACTACCATGCCTGGCCCTATTTTTCATTGATGAGTTTTAACAGTTCTTTGTATAATTTAGACAATAGTCCTTTTTTTTTTTTTTTTTTTTTTGAGACAGGGTCTTGCTTTGTGACCCAGGCTGGAATGCAGTGGCTCACTGCCACCTCAACTTCCTGGTCTCAAGGGATTCTCCTGCCTCAGCTTCCCAAGTAGCTAGGACTATAGGCACACACCACTGTGACTAGCTAACTTTAAAAAAATTTTTGCAGAGACAGGGTCTTGCCATCTTGCCCAGGCTGGTCTCAAACTCCTGAGCTCAGTGATCCTCTCATCTTGGCCTCCCAAAGTGCTGGGATTATAGACATCAGCCACCATTCCAACTGATAACAGTCCTTTAAAATGTGTCTTTCGAAAATATTGGCCGGGTGCGGTGGCTCACGCCTGTAATCCCAACATTTTGGGAGGCCAAGGCAGCAGGATCATGAGGTCAGGAGCTTGAGACCATCCTGACCAACACAGTGAAACCCCGTCTCTACTAAAAATACAAAAAAAAAAAAAATTAGCCGGGCGTGGTGGTGCACTCCTGTAATCCCAGATACTCAGGAGGCTGAGGCAGGAGAATCACTTGAACCCGGGAGGCGGAGGTTGCAATGAGCCAAGATCACGCCACTGCACTCTAGCCTGGGCGACAGAGCAAGACTCCGTCTTTAAAAAAAAAAAAAAGAAAGAAAGAAAAAGAAAATATTTTCTACTAGTCTGTGGTTTGTCTTCTCATTCTCTTGACACAGTCTTTCTCAGACTAGAAGTTTTTAATTTTAATGAAGTCCAGTTTATCAATTATTTCTTTCATGGATCATGCCCAAAAGTCACCACCATACCCGAGGTCATCAAATTTTCTCTTATGTTATCTTCTAGCAGTTTCATGGTTTTGCATTTTACATTTAGGTCTATGATCCATTTTGAGTTAACTTTTGAGAAAGTTGTGAAGTCTGTGTTTAGATTTTTTTTTTTTTTTTGCATGCAGATAGTGTTTCAATCTGCTGAAAAGACTATCTTTTCTCCATTGTCAAACATCAGTTGGCTCTATTTATGTGAGTCTATTTCTGGGCTCTCTATTCTGTTCCATTGATCTACTTGTTGTTTCACCAATATCACTGTCCTGATTAATGTAGCTTTATACTAAGTCTTGGAGTCAGGTAGCGTCAGTCCTCTAACTTGTTTCTCCCACAATATTGAGTTGGTTATTCTTGGTCTTTTGCCTTTCCACATAAACTTTATAATCAGTTTGTCAATATCCATAAAATGACTTGCTGGGATTTGGATTGGGATTGCATTGACTCCATAGATAAGCTAGGAAGAAATTATATCTTGACATTATTGAGTTGTTCTATCTGTGAACATGGAATATCTATTTAGTTGATACATTTCATCACAGTTTTATAGTCTGCCTCATTAAAAAACCTGTTCATACTTAATGTCTTTTTAATTTCAAATTCTACTTGTTCACGGCTGGTATACAGAAAAGTGATTCATGTTTATACATTAACCTTGTATCCTGCAACTTTGCTTAGTTTCTTATTCTTTCAGAGTTTTTACATAAATGATTGCCATCTGTGAACAAATACATTTTCATTTCTTCCTTCCCAATCTCTACAATTTTTATTTCATTTTCTTGTCTTACTGCACTATATAGGACTTCCAGTATGATGTTAAAAAACAGTAATGATTCAATATGAGATTTGGGTGGGAAAAATTTTTTTTAAAGCAGTGGTGAGAGGGAACATCCTTGCCTTGTTCTTGATCTTAGTGGGCAAGCTGAGTTCTTCACCATTAAGTATGATGGCTGTAGTTTTTTTTAAGTATTTATCAAGTTGAGGGAGTTCCCCTCTACTCCGATTTGCTGAGAGTTTTAATCATGAATCAGAGATAGATATTGTCAAATACTTTCTCTGCAGCTACTGATATGATCATGTGACTTTTTTTCCTCTTTAGTTTGTTGATGTGATGGATTATTATTATTTTTTTTTTTCAGACAGGGTCTCACTCTGTCAACCAAGCTGGGGTGCAGTGGTGCAATCTCAGCTCATTGCAGCCCTTACCTCCCAGGCTTAAGTAATTTTTCTGCCTCAGCCTCCTGAGTAGCTGGCACTACAGTAGTGTGCCACCACACCTGGGTCATTTTTGTAGAGATGGGGTTTCACCATTTTGCCTCCCAAAGTACTGGGACTACAGGAATGAGCCACCACCTCCAGCCAGATTACATTAGTTTTGTTTTGTTTTGAGACAGGGTCTCACTTTCTTGCCCACACTGGAGTGCAGTGGTATGATCACAACTCACTGCACCCTCAACTGCCCAGGCTCAAGCAGTTCTCCCACCTTAGCCTCCTAAGTAGCTGAGACCACAGGTGTACACTACCACACCTGGCTGATTTTATTATTTGTAGAGATGAGGTCTTGCTCTGTTGCCCAAGCTGGTCTTGAATTCCTGGCCTCACGCAATTCTCTCACCTCAGCCCTCCCAACGTGCTGGGATTACAAGCATGAGCACTGTGCCTAGCCTGATTTGAATATTGAACCAGACTTACACATCTTGGATAAATCCCACTTGGTCATGGTCTTGGTCATTTTCATACATTATTGCATTCAATTTGCTAATATTTTTTGAGGATATTTGCATCTATGCTCATGAGAGACATTGGTACATATTTTTATTTTCTTGTAATATCTTTGGTTTTGGTATTAGGGTAATGGAAGTCTCATAGGTTGAGTTAGAAAGTATTCTCTCTGCTTCTACCTCCTGGGAGAGATTGTAGAGAATTGGTATAATTCTTTCTTAATTATTTGGTAGAATTCATCAGTGAATCTATCTGGGCTTGGTGCTTTCTGTTGGGAAAGTTATTATTATTGATTCCATTTCTCTAATAGATACAGGCCCATTCAGAGTGTCTATTTCTTATTGCGTGAGTTTTGGCAGATTGTCTTTTCATGGAATTGGTCTATTTCATCTAGGTTATCAAGAAATGGGCACAGAGTTATTCATAGCATTCTTTTTTTTTTTTTTTGAGACAGAATTTTGTTTTTGTCACCCTAGCTGGTGCAATGGGATGATCTCAGTTCACTGCAACCTCCACCTCCCAGGTTCAAGCGATTCTCCTGCCTCAGCCCCCCGAATAGCTGGGATGACAGGTGCATGCCACCACGTCCAACTAATTTTTGTATTTTCAGTAGAGACAGGGTTTCACCATGTTGGCCAGGCTAGTCTCGAACTCCTGACCTCAGGTGATCCACCTGCCTTGGCCTCCTAAAGTGCTGGGATTACAGGCATGAGCCACCACGCCCGGCTTATTTTTTTTATTATAATTATTTTTTGAGATGGAGTCTCACTCTGTTACCCAGGATAGAGTGCAGTGGTGCAATATTGGCTCAATGCAACCTCTACCTCCCAGGTTCAAGCGATTCTCCTGCCTCAGCCTCCCAAGTAGCTGGGATTACAGGTGCACAACACCATGCCTGGCTAACTTTTGTATTTTTGTAGAGATGTGGTTTCACCATGTTGGCCAGGCTGGTCTCAATCTCCTGATCTTAGGTAATCCACCTGCCTCTGCCTCCCAAAGTGCTAGGATTACAGGCGTGAACCCCCACGCCCGGCTACATTTATTATTCTTTTGATGTCCATGGGCTCTGTGGTGATGTCCTTGCTTTCATTTCTGATATTAGTCATTTGTGCCTTAGTTTTTTAGCTAACTTTCTTAGCTGGACTAGAGGCTTATTGATTTTATTTATTATCTTTTCAAAGAACCAGCTTTTAGTTTTGTTGGTTTTCTGTACTGATTTCCTATTCTCAATTTCATTGGTTTCTGCTCTAATTTTTATTATTTTTCTTCTGCTTACTTTGGATTTAATTTTCTCTTCTTTTTCTAGTTGCCTAAAGTATAAACTTAGATTGTTGATTTTAGATCTTTCTTCTTTTCTAATACATACATTCAATGCTATAAATTTCCCTCTAAGCACTGCTTTTGCTGCATTCTACAAATTTGGTAAGGTTTTCATTTTCTTTTACTTCAAAATATTTTCAGTTTTCTCTTGAGATTTCTTCTTTAACCCATGTGTTATTCACAAGTATGTTGTTTAATCACTAACTATTTGGGGGATTTCCAGTTATCTTTCTGTTACTGATTTCTAGTTCAATTCCATCGTGGTCTGGAAGCAGACAATGTATTTCTGTTCCTTTATATTTATTAAGGTGTGTTTTGTGGCCTAGAATGTGGTCTAAGTGAATGTTTCATTCACTTGGGAAGAATGTATAATCTGCTGTTGTTGGACAAAGTAGTTTATACATGTTAACTATATCCAATTGACCGCTGTTGAGTTGAACTATGTTCTTACTAATTTTCTGCATGCCAAATCTGTCTTTCTGATAAAGGAGCATTGAAGTCTCCAAATACAATAGTGGATTCATCTCTTTCTCCCTGCAGTTCCATCAGTTTTTGCCTCACATATTTTGATGCTCTATTATGTGTATATACATTAAAGATTATTGTCTTATTGGAGGATTGATCTGCGGTCATAATGTAATGCTCTTTAACCCTGATAACTTTCCTTGCTCTGTAGTCTACTCTGTGTAGAAATATAGCTACTCCCACTTTCTTTAATTAGTGTTAGTATGGTGGATCTTTTTTCATCTCTTTATGTTTAATCTATATGTGTCTTTATACTTAAAGTTGGTTTCTGGTAGACAACATATATTTGGGTCTTATTCTTTGATAAACTCTCACAATCTCTGCCTTTTAAATGATGTAACTGACAAAACCACTGACATTTAAAGTGATTATTGACATAGCTGGATTAATAGCTACCATATTCGTTAATTTTTTTTCATTTGTTACCCTTGTTCTTTGCTCCTCTTTTTGTCTTCCACAGTTCTTCTGCCCACTGTGGTTAACTGAGCATTTTATATGATTCTATTTTCTCTCCCTTCATAGCTTATCAACTATGCTTCTTTTTTTAAAAAAACTTTTTTTAGTGGTTGCCCTAGAGTTTACAGTATACATTTCCAATGAATCCAAGTCCACTTTCAAATAACACTATATCACTCCACAGGCATTGCAAGTATCATATAATAACAAAATACTCCTGATTCTTCCCTCTCTTCCCTTACACTGTTGCTGTCATTCATTTCACTTATAACTAAAAATACATAAACACATATTTATGTTCATTTATATACATAATGTATTGGTATATAAAAGCATACATAATAAAATACATTGTTGCTATGATTATTTTGAACAAACTTTTATCTGTTAGGTCAATTAGGAATAAGAAAAATAATGCTTTTCTTTTACCTTCACTTATTCTTTTTCCAATGTTGTTCTTTTATGTAGATCAGAGTTTCTGACTCATATCATTTTCTTTCTCTCCGAAAAACTTTTTACATTTCTTGCAAGGCAGGTCTACCAGCAACAAATTCCTCCAATTTCATTTATTTATTTTTGGTCTGAGAAAGTCTCTATTTCTCCTTTGCTTTTGAAGGATAATTGTGCAGGGTACAGAATTCCAGGTTGGTGGGTTTTTTTTCCTCTCTCAACGCTTTAAATATTTCACACCATTCTCTTCTCATTTGCATAATTTCTGAGAAGTCAGATGTAATTTTTTTTTTTTTGGAGAGAGAGCTTGGCTCTTGTCTCCCAGGCTGGGATGCAATGTCACGATCTCGGCTCACTGCAGCCTCCACCTCCTGGATTCAAGCAATTCTCCTGCCTCAGCCTCCAGAGTAGCTGGGATTACAGGTGCATGCCACCATACCCAGTTAATTTTTGTATTATTAGTAGAGACAGGGTTTCACCATGTTTGGCCAGGCTGGTCTCAAACTCCTGATCTCAGGTGATCCACCCACCTCAGCCTCCCAAAGTGCTGGGATTTACAGGCATGAGCAACCATGCCCAACCTAGATGTAATTCTTATCTCTCCTCCTCTATAGGTAGCATTTTTCCTCTCTGGTTTTTTTCTAGATCTTTTTCTTTATCTTTGATTTTCTGTAGTTTGACTATGAAATGTCTGTATAGTCTTTTTTCCCTTTATCCTGTGCTATGGTTTGAATGTTTTTGTCCCTTTTAAAATTCATGTTGAAACTGTATCCCCAATCCAATAGTATTAAGAGTTGTGACCTTTTGTAGGTGATTGAGTCATGAGTGCTCTGCCCTCATGAATGGGATTACATGCCCTTCCCCCTTTTTTTCACCCATTCTATCCCGTCTGCCACGTGAGGACACTTAGATGGCACCTTCTATAAGGAACAGGCCCTCACCAGACAGTGAACCTGCCAGTGCTTTGATCTTCTACTTCCTAGCCTCTGGAACTGTAAGACATTTCTGTTTTTTTATAAATTACACAGTCTACAGGACTAAGACATCCTGCTTGGTGTTCTCTGAACTTCCTTGTTCTGCGATTTGGTGTCTGAGATTAATTCTGGGGGAAATTCTCAACGTTATTCCTTAAAATATTGCTTCTATTCCTTTCTCTCTTCTTTCTGGCATTCCAATTATGTGTATGTTACATCTTTTGTAGTTATCTCACATTTCTTGGATATTTTGTTCCTGTTTTTTTCAGTCTTTTTTCTCTTTGCTTTTAAGTTTTGGAAGTTTCTACTGTCATATCCTCAAAGCTCAGAGATTCTCTCCTCTGCCATGTCCCGTCTACTGAGCCCATCAGAGGCATTCTTCATTTCTGTTGTATCACTTTTGATTTCTAGCATTTTGTTTTTCTTCTTAGATTTTTCATCTTTCTATTTACATTACCCATCAGTTCTTGCATGTTGTCTACTTTTCCATTAAAGTCCTTAGCATATTAATCATGATTTTTAAAAATTCTTGGTCTGATAAATCCAGCATTCCTGCCATATCAAACTCTGGTTCTGATGCTTCTTCAGTCTCTTCTGTGTATTTTCCCTTTTAGTATGACTTGTAATTTTTTAATCAAAAGGTGGACAGGATGCACTGGGTAAAAAGAACTGTGGCAAACAGGCCTTTAGTAACGTAGTGGTAAGGTGCTGGAGGAAGGGGAAGTGTTCTACAGTCCTATTAGGTCTCAGTTTTTTGGTGAGCCTGTGAACTATAAATTTCACCAGTGCCTCTCAGTGTTCCCCCTTCAGGTGGGACAGGATGGCTAGAGAGGGCTGGAGTTGGGTATTAATTTTCCCCACATGAAAGAATAGAGTGAGCTGAGGTTGAGTATTACCCTTCCCCAAAGTAAGTTAGACTCTGGTAAAATAGTTTCTCCTGAGGGCAGGCATTGTTAAGATGAGCAGAATGCTCTGGCATATTTCAAAGTGATGATTTTTTTTCCCCTCCCTCTGCTGGAAGCACAAAGGGATGTCTCTCCAATATTCATTGTGAGGGGCTGGTAGAACTCTTGGAGGTAAAACTTACGGAAAGCATGAGCACCCCCCATGACTGGGTCCCACTGAAGTTTATAACTTTCTGTGTTACACTGTTCTTGCATTGCTATAAAGAAACACCTGGGCTGGGTGTGGTGGTTCACACCTGTAATCCCAACACTTTGGGAGGCTGAGGCAGGCATATTGCTTGAGTCCAGGAGTTCGACACTAGCCTGGGCAATGTGGTGAAATCCCGTCTCTTCAAAAAATACAAAAATAAGGCAGGTGTGGTGGCATGTGCCTGTTGTCTCAGGTACTCAGGAGGCTGAGGCAGGAGGATCACTTGAGCCCAGGAGGCTGAGGCTACAGTGAGCTGAGATCAGGACAGTACACTCTGGCCTGGGTGACACAGTGAGATCCTTTCTCAAAAAATAAAAATAAAAAAACAACACCCGAAGCTAGGTAATTCATAAAGAAAAGAGATTTAATTGGCTGATGGTTCTGCAGGCTTCACAGCAAACATGGTGCTGGCATCTGCTCAGCTTTTGGGGAGGCCTCAAGAAGCTTACAATCATGGTGGATGGTGAACAGGGAGTAGTTGAGAGTGGGAGCGAGAGAGAACAAGGGGGAAAGATGCCACAAACTTTTACACAGCCAGATCTTGTGAAAACTCACTCACTGTTGCGAGGACAGCACCAGGAGGATGGCATTAAACCATTTCATAAGATTCCTCATGATCCAATCACCTTCCACCATACCCCATCTCCAACGTTGGGGATTACAATTGAACATGAGATTTTAGTGGGAACAACATTCAACTAAATCACTCTCAGACTTGTCCACACTGAGTCTCCAGCAATTTGTCAATTACACTTCATGTTTTCCTACCACAGGACTGGTTCCCACAGAGGTTTCTGCTCCAGTAAGTGTGATTCCATGTATCCACCTATCTGTCTTTTATTTTGGGGGCAACTGTGTGCGGTATGATTTCATGTCTCTGATGTATCAAAGAAGAGTTGATTTTTCAGTTTGTTAAGCTTTTTACTTGTTAGGAACAAGTGGCAACTTCTTTTTTTTTTTTTTTTTGAGACAGAGTCTCACACTGTCATCCAGGCTGGAGTGCAGTGGTGTGATCTCGGCTCACTGCCAACTCCGCCTCCCAGGTTCAAGCAATTCTCTGCCTCAGCCTCCCAAATAGCTGGGATTACAGGTGCCTGCCAACACGCCCAGCTAATTTTTTTTTAATTTTTTATTTTTAGTAGAGACAGGGTTTCACCATCTTGGCCAGGCTGGTCTTGAACTCCAACCTCATGATCCACCTGCCTAGGCCTCCCAAAGTGCTGGGATTACAGGCGTGAGCCACCGCACCCAGCCTAGAAGTGGCAACTTCTAAGCTACCTACCTGCTGGACTGTAAATTCAAAGCCCTGCGGCCATTTCTTATAATGAGAAGCCAGACACTAATCACATAACTGTTGTTCCCTTGTATCTGATGCGTAATTTTTCTTTTGCTGCTTTTGAGCTTATGCCTTTGGCTTTCAACAGTTTGACTACGATGTATCTAGATGTGGTGGATCTCTTTGTGTCTGTCCTACTTGGAGCTCACAAAGTTTCTTGGATATGTATATTAATGTTTGTGGTAGCCTAAATAATACCTCTCAAAGATGTCCACATTCTAATCCTAATATCTAGAATCAGTGGGCATGTTACTTCAGTTATATGGTAAAAAGAAACTTTGCAGCTGTGATTAATTTAAGAATCTCGAGATAGGGGAGTTATCCTAGACCCTCCAGAAGAAATCAAGCACTGCTGATGGCTTAATTTTAGGACTTCCAACTTTTAGAACTATAAAATAATAAATATGTGGTTTATTAAGCCACTAAATTTGTGGTAATTTTATTATAGCTCTCGGCATGTCTGTCACAGACTCCTACTGCTCTTACTCAAAGTTCCATGTTTTTTCATGAATAAATGCTTTTTTAAAAAACGGAGTTTTGCTCTTTTGCCCAGGCTGGAGTGCAATGGTGCAATCTCGGCTCATTGCAACCTCCGCCTCCTGGGTTCATGACATTCTCCTGCCCCAGCCTCCCAAGTAGCTGGGATTACAGGCATGCACCACCACGCCCGGATAATATTTGTATTTGTAGTAGAGACGGGGTTTCACCAAGTTGGCCAGGCTGGTCTCAAACTCCTGACCTCAGGTGATCCACCCGCCTCAGCCTCCCAAAGTGCTGGGATTACAGGCATGAGCCACCATGCCCGGACAAAGAAATGCTTCTTGATTTGTTGCATGTCTTTGGTCAATTTCTACACCCATGAAGTGGTTGTTTTTAATAATTTCATCCTGTTTCATACTTTTTTAATAGGTTGGTTTTCTAGGAGATTTACCAGCCTCCTCGTCTGCCATACCAGACACCTTGCCCCTTTTCCAAGGACTTTTTATCCATTCAGATACTCTATGCCTTAGTTTTTTTTTTTTTTTTTTTTTTTTTTTAAATAGAGATGGAGCCTTGTTATGTTGCCCAGGCTGGTCTTGAACTCCTGGGCTCAAGTGATCCAGTGATCCTCCCACCTCAGCCTCCCAAAGTGCTGGAATTACAAGTATGAGCCACCATGCCTGGCTAAAGAAAATTCTATGCTATTTAATTGGAGAACTGAGTTCATTAACATTCAGTGTTATTATTGATAAGAACTTACTACTGCCATTTTGTTCCTTATTTTCTGGTTGTTTTGCAACTCCTCTCTTCCTTTCTTCTGGTCTTCCTTTGTGGTTAAGTGATTTTCTCTGGTAGAATGTTTTGTTGCTTTATATTTTTAGTAAACCTATTACAAGTGTTTTGCATTGTGGTTCCCATGAGGCTTACAAAAAAATATCTCACAGATGTAATAAGTCATTTTAAAGAGATGACAACTTATCTTAAATAACAAAGAAACAAAGAAAAATATGTTTAAAAAACTCCCTCTACACTTTATCCTCGTCCCCCCACATTTTGACTTTTAGTTGTCTTAATTTACATAATTTTATATTATCTACCTCTTAACAGGTTGCTATACCTATTTTTGTTTTGATAGATTTGTCTTTTGGGCTCCATACTAGACTTATGAGTGAATTGAACACCACAATTACAGTATTAGAGTATTCTGGGTTTGTCCACGTACTTAACTTTATCAGTGGGTTTTAGACATTCAAATGTTTTCCTATTTGCCCATGAGTGTTTTCTTTCTGTTTGAAGAACTCCCTTTAGCATTTCTTGTAAGATGGGTTTAGTGGCGGTAAATTCTCTCAACTTTGGTTTATGTGGGAAAGACTTTACCTCTCCTTCATATTTGAAGGACAATTTTGCTGGACACAGTATTTTTGAATGGCAGGTTTTTTTTTTCTTTCAGCACTTTGAAAATATCGTTCCATACCTCCCTGGCCTGTATGGTTTCCTGCATGCTTTTTTTGCATCATGGTTCCCATGAGGCTTCTTCATTGAGAAGTCTGTTGCCAGACAAATTGGAGCTCCTTTATATTATTTGCTTCTTTTTTCTTGCTGCTCTTAGGATTCTCTCTTTGTTGACCTTTAAGAGTCTGATTATTATATGCCTTGGGGTCTTATTTGGGTCAAATCTGATGTTCTCTGATTTTCCTGTTCCCAAATATTTATATCTTTCTTAAGTTGTGTAAAGTTTTCTGTTGTTATTTCTTAGACTAAGCTTTCTACCCTTTGCTCTTGCTCAACTCTCTCTTGAACACCAGTAATTCTTAGTTTGGGCCTTTTCAGGTAGTTTTCTACATCTTATGGGCAATCTTCATGGCTTTTCATCATTTTTTTTTTACCTCTGTGTATTTTCTGGTTTTGTTTGTTTGTTTTTTACAATCTCGCTCTGTCGCCTAGGCTGGAGTGCAGTGGCACGATCTTGGCTCACTGCAACCTCCGCCTCCTAGGTTCAAGCGATTCTCCTGCCTCAGCCTCCCAAGTAGCTGGGATTCCAGGTGCACACCACCACACTCGGCTAATTTTTTATACTTTTTGGTAGAAATGGGGTTTCACCACATTGGCCAGGCTGGTCTCGAACTCCTGACTTAAAGTGATCCATCCTCAGCCTCCCAAAGTGCTGGGAACACAGGCATGAGCCACTGTGCCTGGCCGTGTATTTTCAAATCATCTTTCAGCTCACTGATTCTTTCCTCTGCTTGATCCATTCTGCTGCTGAAAGCCACTAATGAATTTTTCAGTTTAGCAAATGTATTTCTCAGTTCTGAGACTTCTGTTTCTTATTTCAATATCTTAAGTTTCTCTGATAAATTTCTGAATTTTTTTTGTGTGTGTTATCTTGGAGATCATTGAGTTTCCTTGAAACTACTATTTTGAATTCTTTTTTTAAAAATTATTTTTTAGGGCTGGGCATGGTGGCTTCTCCCTGTAATCCCAGTGTTTTGGGAGGCTTAGGTGGGAGGATTGCTTGAGCCCAGGAGTTTGACACCAGTCTGAGCAACATGGTGAGAACTTGTCTCTACAAAAAGTATAAAATAAATTTCAAAAATTATTTTATTTTTTAAAATAGAGACACTATCTCACCATGTTACCTAGGCTGGTCTCAAACTCCTGGGCTCATGCAGTCCTCCTGTCTTAGCCTCCCTGAGTCCTGGGATTACAGGCTTGAGCCATGGTGCTGGCCTATTTTGAATTCTTGATCCTCCCACACTGTGCCCAAGGGACCTGTAGGTGAAACCTCCTACAGTGTTGTGTTGCTGAGCAGCCATTATGATTTGCCATCTCCTTTGGCTGAATTACAGAGCAGAGTTTCCAGGGCTGGGGATGGCAGACCTGCCTCCCACCTTTGTCTCTGCCTGTCCTCAGGGATTTCTCCCTTCAGGCACTTGAGATGCTTCCTGTGGGTTAAGGCAGGGACAAGTCTCCTGCTAGGGAATCCAAGATGATAGGGATGTTGGTTGTTCATCTCAGTCTTACTTTTTCCAGTGCAAAAATGGTGACTTGCAGGGAAATTTTCCTCACACTTGGTGCCAGGCAGAAGGGATATGGAAGTCCAATTCTCTTACCATCTGCTCGGAGCTTTTTCATTTCTCCATGGCCTCGAGAACTGTCTCATCTTCATGTTTGAGTTCTGGGACAATTCTCGTGATAATCTCAGCACTATACATTTGTTTTTGGTTGTCTGTGGAGGTGAGTGAAGTCAGCTTGCTTCTATGTTGCTACTTTGGAACCAGAAGTAGTCCAAATATATATTCTTATTTCTCCACTCTTTTTGTCAGCCCATGTTCAGTGGGCTGACTTCCATGTGTACTTCAGGGCCCCAAGTTCTGCCATAGCCCAAGGCTTCAGAGTCTTCACTGATATAAGGCACACTGGTTTTGGCCTACAACAGTGGCAGCGTTTAAAATGTCCTGAGATCACTGGCTACAGCAAGACCCCCAGCTCTGTTCAGCACCTCAACAGACTCTAAGCGCCACAAATTTCCCAAGAACTTATTAATATAATTATCCCACTGCTAGAAATTAAAATCTTGATAAAATAGACAAAAAACCCTAATCACACAGAAATTATGTCTCTGAAATAATCCTATCCAAATGTCTTCATAGTAGTGCACGGCAATTAGAAACTTTCAAGAAGAGATGCCTTTTAAGACATTATATTTGCCAAGTTAAATAAAAAATGTTTGGGGAAAAAGGAAATATCCTTAATTCCAAGTTTATGAGAAAAAGACAGTAGATCATTGCAAAACTTTCCTCTTGTTGTAAGAATTAACGTTTCCTCACTAACCAGTACCCTTGGCCTGGGGTCAGTTGCTATAGTTGTCCAACCACATCTTCCTTCTTATTCAGTAAGAAACCACATTTTGTTTCTTGCAATTCATTGTTTTTTCCATAAAATAATTTCTCTTTAAATTCAAGTCTGACTTGCTTTTTGCTTAAGATCAAGTTGCTAGCTGCCATTTTTCTACTGAGATATAAATAAATTTGAGGTGTGAATGACCATTTCAAATGCTTGATATAGCAAACTATTGTTGGAACCAGGCAGACCTTGGATCAAATACCAACATCATACTAAGTGAGTGCCTTTGAACAAGTTACTTAATGTTTCTGCCAGTTTCCTCATCTGCAAAATGTATCTAATATCTACCTTATAAGACTGCAGAAAGGATTAAATAGGTATATGCATGTTTTTTGTTTTCTGTTTTGTTTTTGTTTTCTGAGACAAGGTCTCACTCCGTCACCCAGGCTGGAGTGCAGTAGTGTGATCTCAGCTCACTGCAGCCTTGACCTCCGGGGCTCAAATGATCCTCTCACCACAACCTCCCAAGTAGCTGGGACTACAGGTGCACACCAGTGTGCCCAGATAATTTTCTGTAGAGATCTGGTTTTGCCATGTTGCCCAGGCTGGTCTTGAGCTCCTGAGTTCAGGCAATCTGCCTGCCTCAGCCTCCCAAAGTGCTGGGATTACAAACATGTACTATGCTACAGTGCCCAGGCTTATATGTAGGTTAGGAGGCCTTTTATTTGGTCTAGTTAAATGATATTATTACCACAACTGCTGGGTTATCTATCTGAGGGGGTGTTAGGTAATATAAGAAACAGTAAAGAGAACGAACGAAGAAAATGGATAAATTATTATTCTTCCTTGTGCCCAACATTAATGGGCAACCAAATCAACTACAGATGCTCCTCAATTTACATGGGATTGTCTCAATAAACCCATCATAAGTTGAAAATACCATAAATAAAAATACATTTAATACACCTAACCTACTAAACATCATACCTTAGCCTAACCTAACTTAAACATGCTCAGAATGCTTACATTAGCCTACAGTTAAGCAAAATCATCTCAGATAAACCTATTTTATAATAAAGTGTTGATTATTTCATGTGATTTATTAATACTGTACTGAAAGTGAAAAATAGAATGGGTGTATAGGTACTTGAGTATAGTTTCTACATGCATATGACTTTTGCACCATCATAAAGTTGAAAAATGGTTGAGTAGAACCATCATAAGTTGGGAACCATCTGTAGTTTAAATTTCTTTATCTCTCCTTATCCAGCAATGGAAAATGAAGTGACCTTTTAAAATTCCCCTTTTCATTAATTGAGATGCTTCTACACAGTACAATATTCTACCACATGGAACATACTAAGAAATGTAACATTTTCCCATAAACCTGCATTTAAATGTTTTCTTTTTAAACACGTTTTCTGAAGAGTTACTGAGAAGCACTCCATTAAGTACTATAATTTAAAAATTTACAGGTTGATTTTCTTTTTTTTTTTTAGACGGCGTCTCGCTCTGTCGCCCAGGCTGGAATGCAGTGGCGCGATCCCGGCTTACTCCAAGCTCCACCTCCGGGGTTCATGCCATTCTCCTGCCTCAGCCACCTGAGTAGCTGGGACTACAGGCACCCGCCACCATGCCTGGCTAATTTTTTGTATTTTTAGTAGAGATTGGGTTTCACCATGTTAGCCAGGATGGTCTCAATCTCCTGACCTCGTGATCCGCCCACCTTGGCCTCCCAAAGTGCTGGGATTACAAGCATGAGCCACCGTGCATGGCCTACAGGTTGATTTTTTTTAATCCACTAGAGTGGTGGGGGTCTCTACCAATTCTCTGTATAGATTCCTTTGGAAATCTGATTATTACTATGTCTGCTAAAAGGTAAGTATATACAAAATTGTGGAAATGATTTCAGGAGACCTACAAAACTCTTGAAGCCCATCTGTACACTCCAAGTTACAATACCTACTTTTATTGGAAAATATTATTATTATTATTATTTTTTGAGATAGAGTCTCACTCTGTCACCCAGGCTGGAGGGCAGTGGCGTGATCTGGGATCACTGCAACATCTGCCTCCTGGGTTCAAGCGGTTCCTCTGCCTCAGCTTCCCACGTAGCTGGGATTACAGGCACGCACCACTATGCCTGGCTAATTTTTGTATTTTTAGTAGAGACAGCGTTTCACCATGTTGGCCAGGCTGGTCTTGAACTCCTGACCTTAGGTGATCCACCCACCTTGGCCTCTCAGAGTGCTGGGATTACAGGCGTGAGTCACCATGCCCAGCCTGGAAAATCCTTCTGCAATGCAAATATTCACCATTTAAACTTGGGTGAATCAGTAAACCTGGGTTTTCATAAATCTAGATTCCTTAAACTAAGGTAGTCCAGCATGACAAATGAAATGCTTGTTAGTTTTATAGTTACTGCATGTTGGAGCAACTTATTTGGAGTAAAAATGTTGCCACCATTTACTTCCTCTGTTTGATTTGGGAACTTATCCCCTTTGGGCCCCAGTTTTCTCACCTCCAGAATGAGTAGATTCTCATTCTACCTGCATCTCTAGGCACTTATAAGATAAGACGTAAAGAGGTAACAGTTCCTCATTCACTATAAAGCATTACATGTTGAATGGAGTCTGCTGGAATGATCTGTCCTCAGACCTGTCCTCAGCTGCTACAAGCATCCTCTACTGCTGCATGTCTACATCAGGTGAGTGTTTCTCAACCTGATAGTAAGAAATTAGATCATGAGAAAGCCCAGAATTGTCTGGAGCCTCCTGCCATAGCTCTTAGAACCCTTGGTTGCACTTGACCTGTCCACAGGTGGTCTCTCTCTGGTGGCCTAAGAAAGGCCACTTGATTCATCTCTCTGTTTCCTGTGCCATGCACAAGCTTGATGCTGAATAAACATCTGAAATGATAAGCAAATGAAAAGCAGATGTGAAAAAGAGCAAACACTTTTAACATGTTAGGCTCCCTCGCTGTAATCTTCTCGTTTTCAGTAACTGGGATTTCAGCACCCCAATTGCTACCCCGAAGAGTCAGCAGTCAGCAATAACTACAACTCTTTTGTGCAAGCTGCCAGATTGGATCCTCAGAAGGGGCACACACAGGTATATGAGAACCACTATTTTACTATCATAATTTGTAAATCTCGTGGGTTAAAATGAGAGGAAAAAAACTGACCCTCTGTAAATACTTGACAATTGATAGGGAGAGAGGAACTATGCTCCTTTCAGGTGCTTTTTATATATTACAAAATGCTGTAATGTCACAATCCTTCATTCCTTTGAAAATGTTGTAGAAAACACTATATATGCCAACTTCACAAATCTGAAGTAC